>NC_000009.12:130103459-130417277 GCF_000001405.40 Homo sapiens
AAGTGGTAAATTTCCCTTATGCTCTGTGGCATCTCAGTTTAGCCAGTGGAAAGACTTTTTATAAAGACTTATGCTAAGAGCCTAATAACGGGCCTGAGTACAGAGCTTAATAGTGGGCCTGAGTATATGAGGCTGTAGGGCTGGAATCAGCCATGCTCACCCTCTGGTCTCTGAAAACACAGTTCCATTGTCTGGCACTTAGATGAGTTATTGTCACTGAGCACCATGGCCTGAAAAGTATGGGCATTGTGGCTAAATAGGGTGTTAAGTGCCACCTATCCAGCAGTCCAGCACCTGAGTGACTCCACTGGGTTTGGGGTACCTGAAAAGCAAAGTGTCCCTGTTATCTACTGCTGCATAACAAATCACCCCAAAACTCAGCGACTTAAAACGACAATAACCCGTCATTCTCTCTCTCAGTTTCTGTGGGTTAGGAATTCAAGAGTGGCTAGCTGGGTAGGTCTGACTTGGGTCTTGTGGTCATAGTCACACCATGGCTGGGAGCATCTTGAAGTCTCCACTCGCATCTGTCTTCTGGGCTGAGAAGCTTGCTCAGGTGGGGACTGGGACAGCCGGGGCTCCTGGGGGGGCCTTTCCATCTCTGCATGGTCTGTACAGCAGGGTAGTTTCAGGGTAGCCAGACTTCTTACAAGAAGGCTTAGGGCTCCAAAGGTCCCAAGAGAGCTGGGTGGAAGCTTTATCTACCTTGGAAATCACACAGCAGTACTTCCATCTTACTGTATTAGAGCAATTACGGCCTGTGCAGATTCAGGGGGGTGGCATAGAGACTCTCCTTGATAGCGGAGTGGCAGAGTTCTGGAAGAGCACGTGGGACTGGAAAGAATGCTGTGGTCGCAGATCGTGGGTCTGGAGGCCAAGGTGTACACCCCACATTGGGGCTGCTAGCATCATAACAGTCCACCCATGCTTTGGGGCCTCAGCAACTTCTCATGTCTGTAGGTCCTGGCAAATGTAGCCTACATCATCATAGAGTCCACCGAGGAGGGCACGACTGAATATGGCTTGTGGAAGGACTCTCTATTTCTGGTCGACCTGTTGTGTTGTGGTGCCATCCTCTTCCCAGTGGTGTGGTGAGTAGCTCACAGGGAGGGAGGCCACATGACAGCTTGGCTGTCAAGCCCAATAGCTGAACTGGCCATTCCCAAACTGATCTCAGTCACATGGGACGTGTGTTTAAAAGTACAGCTTTCTGAGTCCCAGACTGACCTGAATCAGCCTCCAGGGGCAGAACCCTGTGTCTTTTTCCAGTTACTCGGGGTATTCTGGCAGAGCTAATCCGTCACCATGAGCTGGCATTTAACAGAGTTCTAAGACAATAGAGAGGAATTGGGAAATGAGAACTTGGTAGTAACTTAAAGTAGCAGCCTGAATTTGTGGTGGTGGTAGGGAGTTGGAGAAATCCCATAAACAGCCAGTTCTTGCCAACTTAGGTGGAAAATGAGGAAGTTCATTAACATAAAACTAGTGATAGTTCTCAGCACACAAACATTTTTGATGTTTTCAGAATGGATTGCTCCATTCCTGGAAATGGCAGTGTTTAGATGCACAGATTGTGCATTGGGTCTGTGTAAAGAAGTGTTAGTGTCAAGTCAGTGGTTGATGAGAAAATATCCTTATTAAATCACATGCAGAGTGGTAGAAATTCAGAAGGCTAGCAGCAATAAAACACTTTACCCTTAGTGATATAATTCCATGGCTATTGGAATGCAATTCTTTTGAAATAAATTTTAAAGAAAATAGATTCACCCCGGCCTTCCATTACAAGTGCTTCTTTTTTTTTTTTTTAACCCGAGATGGAGTTTCGCTCTTGTTGCCCAGGGTGGAGTGCAATGGCTCAATCTCGGCCCACTGCAACCTCTGCCTCCTGGGTTCAAGTGATTCTCCTGCCTCAGCCTCCTGAGTAGCTGGGATTACAGGTGCGTGTCACCATGCCTGGCTAATTTTTTTTGTATTTTTAGTAGAGACAGGGTTTCGCCATTTTGGCCAGGCTGGTCTCAAACTCCTGACCTCCGGTGATCCACTTGCCTTGTCCTCCCAAAGTGCTGGGATTATAGGCATGAGTCACCGCAGCTGGCTGAGGTGCTTCTTATTGCAATGCCCCATCCAGTAAATTAATATTTTTGAGGATCCTGGGGTTTGTCAGTTACTCTCATTATTTATAACATGGTGCAAATGGAGAGTACTTCTCATTCCAGCCAGTTAGATTCACTCTTCACCCTCATTCCATCATACATCACACATGATCTCGTATCAGTTCAGCAGACAGCTACCAGCATAGAAGAGAGTATGAATGATGCTCCCACCTCAGCCTCCTGGGTAGCTGGGACCACAGGCACACACTACCATACCCAGCCAATTTTTTGTAGACAGGGTTTTGCCATGTTGCCCAGGCTGGTCTCAAACTCCTGGGTTCAAGTGATCTTCCCACCTCAGCCTCCCAAAGTGCTGGGATTATAGGCATGAGCCACCGCACCCAGTGGAATATGAATGACTCTTCCTCCTCACTGCAGCCTCCTGCCGTCCTGCACAGGAATTAGTCACTCGGGTATCTAACATAGGATGTCCAGCATTGTTTCCAGATCGAAAAGAGCACCTCATTAGGGAACAGAGGTTCACACCCTACTTTTACACATGCCACTATCAGAATAGTCAAATATAAGGAACCCCAACAAGCTGTCGAGGTGTAAGCAGCCATTTCCTGCCCCTTGTTAATTACAACACTAATGAGCAGATTCCAAATGGCAAAATTCCTTAAGGTAAATATCCTAAAAATTACTGTAAAATGAAAAAAGTCAGTAAGTACTGGAGAGGTGATTCAAGATTAATAATATTTTTAGGCTGGGCGCGGTGGTTCACGCCTGTAATCCCAGCACTTTGGGAGGCTGAGGTGGGCGGATCACGAGGTCAAGAGATCGAGACCATCCTGGCCAACATGGCAAAACCCCATCTTAACTAAAAATATAAAAATTAGCTGGGCGTGGTAGCATGTGCCTGTAGTCCCAGCTACTCGGGAGGCTGAGGCAGGAGAATTGCTTGAACCCAGGAGGCGGAGGTTGCAGTGAGCCAAGATCATGCCACTGCACTCCAGCCTGGCGACAGAACAAGACTCTGTCTCAAAATAAATAAATAAATAAATAAATAATAATAATAATAATAATACTTGTAAATATCCCGATTCAGCCAGCATTGCTTCAGGGCCAGCAGTGTACTGGTTAGCTTTCGTGTGGTGTTCCATTCAGTTCTCAAGCAGATAGCCCCTCTCACAGGTGGGCAAATTACGGAGGATTTAGGAAGAGTAATTGATTTGCTGACAAGAGTGAGTGACAGTGTCAGACCACAGCCGCCTTCCCTCACACAGCCTGTCTGCCTGTGCCCTGTTCAGCCCTCAGGGAAGTCTCTCTGTTGGTGGCTTTTCATGGTGCCTCCACCTCTCACCTGCGGCTCCTGTAATAATGTTAATGTTCCTCTGCCTGAAATGTAATGATGGTCATTAGGTACCAGCACATCACAGCCCCAGACAGTGTCCCTGGAGGCTGGCATTTTTCAGCAGTGTTAAAAATCTCCACTCGATAAGTTTGCATGGTGCTGTATGTTCACAGCTCTTAGACCTAGACTCTAGAAGTCAGCTGGTGACTTTCTTCTAGGGTTTATTCTCTCCTGGTGGCAGGTGAGCCCAGTGATGCTCCATTGTCATGGGAGTGTTGGGTAGGGGGTGGTTGTGGGAGTGAGAGATTAACAGGAGCATTAAATGATGGAGTTTTGTTTTCTCCTCACGCTCTGGTCCCTGCTAGACTTATTGCCACAGATTTGGCCAGCAGAGGGCGACTTTACCTCAGACGTGTTGATATCAACCATTTCCCCCCCTCTACCCGTTTTAGGGAGAGTGCTCTAAAGTGATGTAGTCCAACCTTTCAGCATGTAATTGAGAAATTCAGCCTCAAGTTACTAGAGCTGGAAATAGAGAGGAGTGCAGATTTGTCAGCTAACTTTTTGTTCTCTAAATGTTTATTTTTAGGTCAATCAGACATTTACAAGAAGCATCAGCAACAGATGGAAAAGGCAAGTTCTCTCGTGCTCATTTTGTGTTGCTCAGCTTGCTCTGAACCCACGTGCTGCGGCACTGCGGAGGAGTGGAGGCAGCCTATGGTGTCAAGATGCTGTCTTCCTGGGAGGAGAGCTAGGGGAGGCCTGGGGCCCACTTCGTGAGAGCAGCCAGGGGTAGTTTGGAGAAGGAGGTGTTGAGTCAGTTGTATAAGGAGGAGGTTGGGGGTGACTGCTGCTTATTAAGATGATTCATTTCATTTCCACTCGTGGTTGTGATTTTCACCTTCTCAAAACTGAGTCAGCAAGAGAAAATCTTGTCTTAGAAGGGCCAGATAACACTTCGCTGTGAGAACAGGAGGGATAATGGATTGGAGATGGCTATGTGTAAAGCAGCCCTGCCTGCTGATTTAACACACTTTCAAAATAGATGTGTCAGTATTCATTTAAAGCAAGACTCTGATGACAGAAGGAACCTTGAAAACTACCTGATATTGAAATGGTTGTGCCCTTTATAGCCCTTTTGCATCTCCTTGACTTTCCAGTCATGCCTCCTAAATCAGAAGAAAAGCTGCAAAGAAAATGTTTTGTGTGGTTCTGGGCTTATTTGAATAATGTTCATGACCACAGGCTGCCATAGCACAAGTGAGAATTTCAGACCACAAGGGTTTAAGGAGCAGTGCTCTCTTCTCTCAAAGCTCAGAACGGTCTCTGGATCCATGGTATCGTACACCCAGTGTGGATATTAACATTCTTTAATGCAGGTTATGAATAATAAATAAAACAGGTTTTTGTTAATAAAGTTTTGTTGCTGACTCTATTTCTGATTATAAAGCCAATGTAGATTCATTTTAGAAAATTCGGAAAATGCATAGTAGCTGTAAATCTTCTTTCACAAACCTGGTATATAACTAATAACGCATTATTTCTTTAAGTTAAATTAAACATGACTTTGAGGCTTCACGCCAGGGTCAGCCCTAGGTTGTTATTTAGAGCACAGTATTCTGGAGGATCTCGCCAGTTTGGGCCTGGAACAGATAGTATGGCATTCCTGCTGTCCAGGTTCACGTAACTCTTGCTCCTAGGCAGCCTGTGTGCAAGTCATACCCAGGCTTGGAGCCTTGGTCAGTGGTCAGAGGCCAGCCTCCCAAGGCCCACTCAGCTTCTGCGACCTGCACCAGCTTTTGTTTTCTTTCTAGTCCTGGGAATAGCCCTTCTCCCGTTTTCTCATTTTTTTCCCCTCAAAGATACCAGGTTCCCTTCTTTTCCCTCTGGAGTGTCCTCTTGTGATAGGTTCTTTTCAGTGGCTTTAAGCAGGTTCTTTTCAGTGGCTTTAAGCAGGAGTCACAGAGCTTTTGCTTCTAGCCGGGCTACATAGCCTTTCTTGGAGCCCAGTAAAGCACCCTGCCATCATTAGAAAAACCCAAGGTAGGAAGTACAAATCCACCTCTAGGAATAATTGGGGATATTCTTTTTTTTTTTTTTTTTTTTTTTTGAGACGGAGTTTTGCTCTTTTTGCCCAGGCTAGAGTGCAATGGCATGATCTCGGCTTACTGCAACCTCCACCTCCTGGGTTCAAGCAATTCTTCTGCCTCAGCCTCCCAAGTAGCTGGGATTACAGGCGCCTGCCAGCACGCCTGGCTAATTTGGGGATATTCTTCTTTTTTAAGACAGAGCTTTGCTCTGTCACCCAAGCTAGAATGCAGTGGCACGATCTCTGCTCTCTGTAGCCTCTGCCTTCTGGGTTCAAGCGATTCTCCTTCCTCAGCCTCCCAAGTAGCTGGGATTACAGGTGCCTGCTACCACGCTCAGCTAATTTTTGTGTTTTTAGTACAGATGAGGTTTCACCACCTTGGCCAGGCTGGTCTCGAACTCCTGACCTCAAGTGATCTGCCTGCCTCGGCCTCCCAAAGTGCTGGGATTACAGATGTGAACCACCACGCCCAGCCTCTTTGGGGATATTCTTGTCCTTATTTTTCTTTTATCGTGTTATATAAGAAGGTAGTTTTATTATATTTGTAACTTGGTGAACAGGTAGTCTTTTTCTTTCTTTTTTTTTTTTTTTGGAGACGAAGTCTCGCACTGTCTGCCAGGCTGGAGTGCAGTGATGCGATCTCAGCTCACTGCTACCTCTGCCTCCCAGCTTCAAGCGATTCTCCTGCCTCAGCCTCCCAAATAGCTGGGATTACAGGCACCCACCACCACACCCAGCTAATGTTTTGTATTTTTAGTAGAGACAGGGTTCCACTATGTTGGCCAGGCTGGTCGCAAACTCCTGACCTCGCGATCCACCTGCCTCGGCCTCCCAAAGTGCTGGGATTACAGGCATGAGCCCCCGCGCCCGGCTAGGCTTTTTCTTATTTTAATATATCGCGATGAGACCATTTAACTTTATTATCTTATACACTTCTGTATTTCTCATTGGTTCTTCCGGCTGTTTGGCTAAAAATGTGTAAAAATCCCAAGGGCGGTGCTTTTTGTTGGCGAGGCTTACCTGTGTGTTTCTCTTTGCTCGATCCTGCCCGTTGATGAATTCCTCCCTTCTTTGCGTCCTCCCCGGCCCCTGCTTCGTCCTCCTGACTCGTCTACCTGTTCGGTCCTCCATCTTGCTTTAGCGAGTGTGGGGTGGCTGTGGTGACTGCCACTGGGACCATTTATTCCACCTGAGGTTGGTTGGTAGCTGAGGATCTTAGTAAGGTGCTCTGTCTGGAGTAGATGGCACAGCAGGTGAGGCAGCATGGGGTCAGCGTTGTCCCCCAGCATCTGTAGTAAAGGGTAACTTCCTTTAACAGGAACGCTTTTGTCATGGCCTGGGCACACAAGGCAGTTTCTCATTTTTTTCCACCAGGTGACAGCATGGGACCTCTTCAGCAGAGAGCGAATCTAAGAGCAGGAAGTCGCATAGGTAAACCAGGGTTCACATTCCCCATTCTTAGGAAGACATCTGCTAAGGAAGCACCCATTTCTCATCAGCAAATATCACAAATACTCTGAAAGAGGGACAGAGCAGATTAGAACGGGATTGTCATTTTGGTTCATGTTCTTTTCCCTGAATTGATTGAGGCTGTGAGATGCTTTTGGGCATCACTCTGTACCCTGAAAAGTGGTTATGCTTGCGACACTCCCAGAGCCAGAGCAGCCGTGTTCCCAGCTGGAGCCTCCCCTGCAGAGAGGTCTCAGGAATGGCCTGTGCTGGAGCTGCCCTCGGTTGTGACTACAGGGCGGCTATGTGCTGTGAAGCTTGCGGGAAAGCGGGAGTGGGCATGCTTCCAGTCGCTGGTGCTGGGATCTGTGGCCCCATTGGCCCTCTGTGCCCCCTCAGTTCACTCCTGAGATCTGGAGGCAACTAGGAGCACAAAGGCTACAGGCAATAATGTCTCCTATTAGATTTGGAAGCTTTGCTGGATAGAGCCTGACATTCTGTTTCCTGTTCTCAGGCTCATTATTCCAGTGACTCATTTCATGGCCTTGACAGTAACTTGGGCTTTTCTTTTTTTTAATTTAAAATTTTTGTAGAGATGAGGTCTCACTCTGTTGCCCAGGCTGGTCTTAAACTCCTAACCTCAAGCCATCGTCCTGCCTCATGAGGCCTCCCAAAATGCTGGCATTACAGGTGTGAGCCACTGCATCTGGCCACTTCGGGCTTAAGAATCTCACTTTTAGGCCAGGCATGGTGGCTTAGGCCTGTAATGCTAGCGCTTTGGGAGGCCGAGGCAGGAGGATTGCTTGAGGCCAGGAGTTTTAGACCAGCCTGGGTGACATAATAGCAAGATCCCATCTCTACCAAAACCACACAAAAAACTGTGGCAGACCAGCCTGGGCAACATGGCAAAACCCCACCTCTAGAAAAAGATACAAAAATTATCGGGGCTTGATGGCACACGCCTGTAGTCCCAGCTACTTGGGAGGGTGAGGTGAGAAGATCACTTGAGCCCAGGAGATCAAGGCTACAGTGAGCTGAGATTGTACCACTGTACTCCAGCTTGGGCAACAGAGCCAGACCCTATCTCAAAACAACAACAACAACAAAACACTATGGCAAAGAATCTCATTTTTAGTTTAGGTGCAGTCCAGGCCCAGTAACTGCAAGTGAGAGACATGCCATTTGTAGTTTTCCTTCCTGCATTGGGGTGAATACAGCTTTCCGTTTTGGGGTGAATACAGCTTTCAGTTTTGGGGTGAATACAGTTTTCAGTTTTGGGGTGAATACAGCTTTCAGAGAGTGTTTGTTTGGCTTTTACTTTGTTGTCTCTGGATTCCTTTTGACCAAACCTGAGGGAAATCTAAAGGAAAGCATTGAGGCCGAAGCTGCCCACTGTCCTTTAGCCGCGTCTTTGTCTCTCCTGTCACGCGCAGTGGCTTCTCTCAGGTCCTCGGTCACTGAGACTCACAGCTGCACTGCATCCTCCGAGAGGGAGCTTAATTGAGTCTCGCACAGACACACCTAGCGCTGGCTCCACTCTGTCTCGCCTGCTAAGATTTACTGGCTCTGACTGCCCTTGAGCCCGCATCCGCGTTCCCTTCTCTTTCTCCAGTGTCATTACCTTATAGGACTGGCGTCGAGATACACACCGTAAATTTAATTAACAGTCTCTGCTGCTCACCATCCTTTTTTTGGGCCTTGTGTTTCTGAGGAAAAGTCAGAAGATGTATTCTGAAGAGCCTTAGCTTTCATGTGAGCTTCAGAAGTATTTAAACAATCCCGGTTGGCTGGCTGCAGAGTTGATGGAGGAACGGCTTCATTCCGAGGTGCCGCCGTGCTCTGAAAGGAGCCGCGACCATGCGAGGCATTTGTTAGGGCAGCGGTTCTCAAGGGGGTCCTCGGGATCAAAACTATTTTCATAATCATACGGTGTGAGTCTCTTGTGCTGTTGACATTTGCCTGATGGTGAAAAGCAATGATGGGTGAAATTGCCGGCACCGTCACGTGATTCCAGGCTGTGGTACCAGAATCTGCCAGTAGCCACTGCATTCTTTACTGTCACCTACTCACAGGGGGTGAAAAAGGCTCATATCACTTAAGAATGGTCTTGAAATAATAAAACTGTTGATGTGATTAAATCTCAACCCTTGCCTTTTAATATTCTGTGAGACAGCATGGGAGGTGTGCACACAGCACTGCTGCTGGGCCTGAAGTGTGATGGGTGTGGCCTTGAGGGAAAGTACGTGTGCACTTGTTTGAATTGCAAGCTGAACTAGCTGCTTTTATTTTATTTTTTTGTTGTTTTTTATTTATTTATTTTTTTGAGACAGGGTCTTGCACTGTTGCCCAGGCTGGAGTCCAGTGGTGTAATCTTGGCTTACTGCAGCCTCAACCTCCTGGGCCCAACCGATCCTCTCACCTCAGCCCTCAAAGTAGCTAGGACTACAGGCGTGTGCTGCTATGCCTGGCTAATTTTTGTATTTTTTGTAGAGATAGGATTTTGTCATATTGCCCAGGCTAGTCTCAAACTCCTGAGCTCAAGTGATCCACCCACCTAGGCCTCCCAGAGTACTGAGATAACAGGCATGAGCCACTGTGCCTGGCCAAGCTGCTTTTATCTGGAAGAATGACTGTTATGGTGACACAGACATGGGTTTGTGGTGGACATTTTCTTGAAAATGAACAAAGTGAACATATTACTTCAACAAAAACAACTAATAGTATTTGTTGCCAGTGATAAAAGAAAACTTGTGTTTATCCCTGTCAGCCTGACAGTTTCCTAACTGACAGTTTCCCAGATCTTTTTTTTTTTTTTTTTTTTTCCTTGAGTCAGGCTGGAGTGCAATGGCACAATCTCAGCTCACTGCAGCCTTGACCTCCTGGGCTCAAGTGAGCCTCCCACTGCAGCCTCCTGAGTAGGTGGGACTACAGGTCTTTCCACCATGCCCGGCTAATTCTTATATTTTTTGTAGAGACGGGGTCTCAATTTGTTGCCCAAGCTGGTCTCAAACTCTGACCTCAAGTGATCCACCCACCTCGGCCTCCCAAAGTGCTGGGATTATAGGTGTGAGCCACCACACCCGGCCAGTTTCCCAGTTCTTATAAGACTTATGATGTAAGCAGAGGTGATACTAACAATGTGATTTTTTTAAGAATTCTATAATAAAATGTTTCTGTATCTGGGAGATCTACATAACACACTGAAACATTGTCTTCCACCTGGCCAGTGCAGGATGTTCCATAGTCATGCATGGGGGTAAAAGCTCTCCTGAAAGTGCAGGATGGACCAGTGGAGTTTATTAATGTAAGAGTGTGGAAAGTTCATTGATAAATTTCAGATTCCCCACCTCCCTCATCTTTAGAAGCAACCTCTTGTCAGGTTTTAATGTAGAATCACAGACTATTCACAGTAATCTGAAAAGGCCTACATCTATCTGTATGGGGCCAGATTTTCTTCATATATTTTCACCAAATACTCCCTCACAGCAAGTTGAATGCTGATTGAATCAAATATGAGAACCCAGCTGCATGTTATTAAGCTAGACATTAAAGAGAATTACAAAAATAATTCTGGTCTTCTCATTCTTTTTTTTTTTTTTTTTTTTCATTTTTTTTTTTTAGAAAAGAGGTTTTTTATTTTGGGGCCAGGCACAGTGGCTTATGCCTGTAATCCCAGCACTTTGGGAGGCGGAGGCAAACGGATCAGTTGAGGTCAGGAGTTCGAGACCAGCCTGGCCAACATGGTAAAACCCTGTCTCTACTAAAAATACAAAAATTAGCTGAGCGTGGTAGCGCACACCTGTAATCCCAGCTACTCGAGAAGCTGAGGTAGAAGGATTGCTTGAACCCGGGAGGCGGAGTTTGCAGTGAATTGAGATTGTGCCACTGCACTCCAGCCTGGGCCGCAGAGTAAGACTCCGTCTCGAAAAAATATATACATATATTATTAATTAATTTTAGAGACAGGGTCCTGTGTCACGCAGGCTGGAGTGCAGTGGTGTGATCATAGTTCATTGTAACCTCAAACTCCTAGGCTCATGTGATCGTCTCATCTTAGTCTCCCAAGTAGCTGGAATTACAGGCATGCACTACCATGCCTCACTAATTTTTAAAATTTTTTTTGTGGAGATAGAGTCTCACCATTTTGCCCAGGCTGATCTTGAACTCCTGGCCTCTAGCTGTCCTCCTGCCTCAGTCTCCCAAAGGGCTGGGATTACAGGTGTGAGCCACTGGACCCATCCTGTTTTACTTTCTGATCCATATTTGTAGATATAATCATACTAACCGAAAAACTTGGGGTCTTTAGGAATTTTTAAAAGTGTGAAAAGGTCTTCAGACCAAAAGGTGGAGAACTGCTGTGTTAGAGATGAGGCTTGTTGAGTCTCTCATGGACATGGGGATGTGAAGATGAGTGAAAGCCTGTCTGGTTCTTCTCTTCCTTTGCCTATTAAGCTTATTCCAGACTTAGCTGGCCAGATGCTTGTGGTTGTTTAAGATGTCTGTTAGTCCAGGGCAGCTTATGCCAAAGAACTCTGTTGTATCTGGGTGTGTTCATATAAACAGACCTAACAAAAAACCTACTAGGGAAGACAAGAGGAGAAATAATCACTGAGTGCATCATGGCTGCAACTCATGTTTATATATTTAATTCTTATTTTTCATCCTTGCTTTCCTTGATTGGTGGTTTTTATCCCTTTGGGGAATAATAGACCTATTTGAGAATCTAGTGAGAGATATAGACTTCCCATGTCTACATAAAGTTTTCCATGTAATATCATGGATTCATGGACCCCAGATTTAATAACCTCTTCTTTAGATTAATTTAAATCATCTTATTACCCTTCTACAGTGATTTGGATAGGAACACACCAGCCGCATGATGTGAGACTTCCCAGAAGGACTCATTCCCAGAAGAGATCCTCCCCCTTTTTTCCGCTCATTTTTTTCTTGCTTTCTCTTTTCTATCACTTCCACTGGAATGGACCTCAAAGAGCAGTTCTGCTCTGGTCCTTTTTGTTTTCTTTTAAAAAAAAAAATAGGCCAGGCACGGTGGCTCTCACCTGTAATCCCAGCACTTCGGGAAGACGAGGTAGGTGGGTTGCTTGAGGCCAGGAGATCGAGACCATCCTGGCTAACACGGCGAAACCCCATCTCTACTAAAAATACAAAAAATTAGCTGGCGTGGTGGTGGGTGCCTGTAGTGCCAGCTACTCGGGAGGCTGAGGCAGGAGAATGGTGTGAAACCGGGAGACAGCTTGCAGTGAGCTGAGATCGCACCACTGCACTCCAGCCTGGGCGACAGAGCAAGACTCCGTCTCAAAAAAAAAAAAAAAAAAAAAAATTAGCCAGCCGTGATGGTGCACATCTGTAACCCCAGCTACTTGGGAGGCTCAAGTGATCTGCCTGCCTCGGCCTCTCAAAGTGCTGGGATTACAGGCATGAGCCACCGTGCCCAGCCAATGTGTGTTTTTTATTAAGCTGATTTAATACAGTGATTTTAAATTTCTTTAATCACCAAAACTCTCTTGTCATTACTTTTCCTTAGCAGATTGCACTCTATTCCTGTAATGCCATCAACTGAGTCGCAGCTTCTGATGAACATTATGAAATAATCCATTAACCAGTGATACCACTCTCAGTTCATTTAAGCTACATCCAAAAGCAGAGGTCTCTCATATCATCCGGCTGAGAAGCAGTCTTGTCTTGGACACATTGCCAGGCTTTTTTAGGCCTTTAAAGTGTTGGGAATCTAGAACTTCAGGGGGCCCACAGCCACCCAGAGGGCCTGGTTAGTGGTCCGTGGTGGCAGACCCTCCCTGGACCTGCCTGGGCCTGGTTCTTCTGCCTACTGGTGTTAACATGCATGTGCTTTCTGTGTGTCTTGAGACATTGTTGAGAACCAACTCTTCTCAACTGATGACTGCAGTATTTAGGGAAGGTCAGATTCTCTTGCTGAGAAGGTTTTGCCTGCTATTAACCAGCCTTTGTCATCAAGCATTGGGAAGTCTGACCTTCATCCTTGCCTAGCTCGCTGCTGTGACTGTGTGCAGTGGACAGGAGGGGTTGGGGGTAATGTGCGCCTCAGCCCAGCTGCAGGGTTGCGTCCCAAGTCTCACTGGCATAGCTCACAGCATTGCGGCTGCAGGCTGCGGCTGGCAGAGAAACAGGAGAGACTGACGGGAGCTGAGTCTGAGATCAGCGTGGCCCTTTGCACACCACCTTCTCGGGTGCCTTTGGTGCATTATGGCTCTAGAATCGAAGGTAAATAGGAGCTGGAAACCTAACAGGCTTGGCAACAGAAGTCTTTGTCAGAGCTAGCTTTCCTGGTATTGTGTGGTCTTTAGTGCTACTCTGAGGAGCTGTTTCTGCTGCTTTTGTTGATGCTTTTTATTTATCATTTAAGATATAATTTCGTTTACAATAATATGCACAGTCCTTAACTGTTCAGTTTGATGACTTTTCATATCTCCTGGGTCATTGCTTCAAATGTATATTTGAAATGTATTTTTTTTTTTTTTTGAGACAGAGTTTCGCTCTTATTGCCCAGGCTGGAGTGCAATGGTGCGATCTCAGCTCACTGCAACCTCTGCCTCCTGGGTTCAAGCGATTCTCCTGCCTCAGTCTCCTGAGTAGCTGGGATTACAGGCATGCACCACCACGCCTGGTTAATTTTTGTATTTTTAGTAGAGATGAGGTTTTACCATGTTGGCCAGGCTGGTCTCAAATTCCTGACCTCAGGTGATCGGCGCTCCTCAGCCACCCATAGTGCTGAGATTACAGGTGTGAGCCACCATGCCTGGCCAGAAATGTATTTTCGATTCATTTTCACATGACTCAACATTTTGAAGATCAAAGAATTTTATTCTGTGTGTAGTTGTTCTTGACCACTCGTAGCCTTTCCCATACTTGCTCCTGATATGGTCTTTGAGTGGGATTAGTGGGATCTTTTCTTAGTGGAGGCCAGAGGGCAGCTCGTGAACTAAACCCTCCCCAGAAGGGACATTTCAGGCCAGTGTGGTCTCAGGTCAGCCCGTGGCCTGCGTCCTTTGGTGCCTTTCTGGTGACTGAGAGAAGCTGTTCGCCAGACTTTCAGGCCTGTATCTGACCACAAACGGGGGAGCTCCTCTGTCCCCCATGCTGAGTGAGCTGGAGCCCAGGACTTAAGCAGATTGTGGAAATGCCGAGACTCAGCGTAAGTCAGAGGTACTCTTAACGCCAGCCAGGCTGTCCATCGTCTTTATTTCTTTAATTTTTGTGTTTGACTCAAAATTCCCTCTGAAGCCCAGCAGAGAGGAAGCAGGCAACAAGGATGAAGAGTAGGTGGGGGTGTTTTAGGCTCTGAGGCTGTCCTTACACTCAGGGAAGGATTGTTTTAGAAATTTTTCACGCTTTAAGTGGCTGTTGTGGGCCTTTGCTTCTGTGTGCCGCATAAATCATGTGGTGTAAACTCCTTAGAAAGGATTACTGCCTGCTCTTGGGCATCACCCAGCCTTTTGAGTCATGATTGCATCGTCCTGAACTAATCGTCCTGACCTGTGTCGTCCTAAAGTCACTAGTGGACTTTAAGGTTATGAACTGCCTTTCCCTTAGCATGAAGCGTAGGTGTTAAGAGCTTGGTCCTTGGAGGGAGGTGGACTTGGGTTTGCGTATTGGCTTCTCCACTTACAAGCTGGGTAACTTTGGTCATTTACTAAACTTCTCCAGGCCTGAGTGTGTCAGGCCTGCTTCCCCCACAGAGGCCATCGTGAGATGAAGCATGAGAGGTGCCCAGCCCAGCTTCTGGCACATGGTGATGACTCAGTTGATGGCAACGACCAGTGCTGTTGTTTTTGTCCTTGTTACAGTTCCAGGATCCTCTTGGGAAGTCAGCTGGGAAGGAGGGGATAATCTGTCTCCTTGCTGGCCTTCTTAGTTCCTCTTTCACTCAGAGAGGACAGGGGACCACCTAGGGCAGGGGCAGCACCTCCTGTGCACTGTGGGGGGCGTTGCTCTTCTGCTGAGTCATGGAGAGTATTGACTTGGGCATTTGCAGGGGCTGTGGTATTTCCTGCCTCAGTGGGCACTTGTCCTGTTCTCATCAGTAAGAAGGACTTACCAGAATCGAGTGTCATGGTTATTTTCCTCAGAGTGAGTTGGAGGTAGAGGAGCCCACAGGACAGGAGGTCAGCCTTACAGGACCCCCAAGACCAGGTGGACATGACACCCTCCCCAACCCCCGTCTCCTCCTTTTCTCTCCCCTGCAGAGGTTTCAGCATCTTCATAGCCGGGCCTGATTCCCTAAGATGGGCAGGGGCAGGGGCAGCCTGGGCATCTATACTTAAAGCTCTTCCGATGATTCTGTTGCTCACCCCCATTAAGAACCATTGCTATAAAGGAATTCTCCTCCACATGAGGAGGTCGATGCCTGGAGACAGAGGCAGCAGGCCAAGGGCAGGCACACCCAGCTGAGATGGGGCAGGGCTGGAAGGCAGGCCTCCTGGATCCTGCCTGGGGCCTTGTCTCTCTCCCCACACTCATTCTTTCACCGTATTTGCTGCTCCTCATGGTGAGGTCAGAAATAGCCCGCCCAGCCTTGGTGAGCCTTCGCTCCCACAGGAGCCCAACACCCAGCCCGCCACAGTCCGGTGAGCAGCAGGCTGTCGGTGTTCCTAAGTCAGGGAAATCTTTGGAAGAACAATGGAGGGAGTCGTGGGACCCCAGGCTGCGACCTGCTGCCTGGCTGCTCACTGCATCATGCTGGTTTCACCCTGCTCAGAGCGGGCTCCACCCCTGCTCGGCATCCTGACTCATCCTATGCATATGGCAGCGCTGCTTGCAGGAGAGCCCAGGCGCCCTGGCAGCCCCCAGGTCCCCATTTGTTCCAGTTTTACTCACTGGATTCTTGCCAGAGGTGGCAGCCGCTGTGACACAGTATATGCTACATTTGGTATTGGGCTAATCCTATATGACACTAACACTGTCATGGCAAGTAGCCAACTGCTCACTGCGAGCCAGCTGCTTTCTGTGTACTATCCCATTAATTCCCCAGCAACCCTAAGGGCGGGCATCGTTACTTCTGCCTTAACAGGTGAAGAAACCGAGGCTCAGAGAGGGTTAGCTGACTTATCGGAGGCCACACAGCCAGTGAGCAGCAGAGTTGGAATTTGAACCCAGGATGTTCAGTCGTGCAGGGCCCAGACTTTTAACCCCCCTGCTCTCCTTTTTCTTACTCCACGAGTAAGCTCAGTCCCTGCCTCTGCTGCTTCAGCTGTGACTGGAGCTCCAGTGTAGGGCTTGAGAGCCTCACCCCCGCCAACTGCTGTCTGATAAAGGAATGTCTTATGCGTGACTGGAAATGATGGCATCACGACTGGTGGGTTTTTATTTTTAGTCTGTTTTTTTTGTTTGTTTGTTTGTTTGTTTGTTTGTTTTACTGAGACAGGTACTCACTCACCCAAGCTGGAGTGCCAGTGGCACAGTCACGGCTTACTTTGGCCTCAGCCTCCCCTCCTACCTCAGCCTCTCAAGTAGCTGGGACTACAGCCATGTGTCACCATGTCCAGCTGGTTTATGTTTATTTTTAGTAGAGACAGGGTCTCCCTATGTTGCCCAGGCTGGTCTCTCCCTCCGGGGCTCAGCCTCCCAAAGTACTGGGATTATAGGCATGAGCCAGCCTGCTGGGTTTTGGAAACAACTGTGAGCTCTGCTTATTCTAACTACATTTCTCAAAGACAGCACTTGTTGTCCCCAAGGTCCATTTGTCAGTCTTAGCACCTACATGGCCTAGCATCTGCGCCGTGGTGATGTTTCTTCACTGGTGCCTGTGTGGGGCGCGCAGGCTCATTTATGGAGAGGCTCATTTATGGAGCGGCTCATAGCCCACCTCCCTTCAGAGGGTGTCTTGCCTGAGCCTGGAGGATGTGACGTGGCGACGCATGATGCCAGGGAGGTGCCAGGCAGAGTGCCTTCCTCTCTTTTGCTCTCACCCCACCCCGGTCCTTACTTGGTTAAGACCTGCAGTGCCTTAACCTCTTTGCTTTCTCTCAGTCCCCTCCCCATCCGCATTTCCTTCCCTGTGAAAGGAGAGACCCGTCAGACTTTACCTTGAAGATTCTCTCTGCTGTCTTCAACTTCATTGCCTTGTTGCTCTTCCTTCTTTCCTAGCAGCCACTGAGGTGGGATCAGCCTGCTGTTCACTGCCCCATCCACTCCTCGATCGCTCTGCATCGATGGACATCTCACTGCCTTTTAGAGGGGCCTCCGCAGAGTCAAGGTCTTTGACCTCATTTGGGCTTTTCCTCTTTTTTCTCTCCATCCTTCCTCCACGGAGGGATTGTTCTCAAGTGTAGACCTGATCGTGGTGTTGCCTAAAGCCTTTGGGAGGCTGGTTCGAAGGTGGCTGTGACCCCTCTCCGTTGATTTTTCAGTTACAGATCGAACTCCTTGTTCTGCTCTTTCCCTTCTCACTGCTGCAGTTGACTAGTTTAAAAAACAAACAAACGGGCTGGCAGGGTGGCTCATGCCTGCAATCCTGGCAGTTTGGAAAACAGATGGGAGGATTGCTTGAGCTCAGGAATTCGAGACCAGCCTGGGCAACGTAGTGAGACCCTGTCTCCATAAGAAGTTAGCTGGACGCGATGGTGTGCGCCTGTAGTCCCAGCTGTTTGAGATCATGTAAGCCCAGCAGGCTGAGGCTTCAGTGAACCATCATCACACCACTGCACTCCAGCCTGGGAGACAGCGAGTGAGACCCTATCTCAAAACAAAACAAAACAAAACAAAACAAAACAAAACAAAACCCTTCAGAATAGCAGTGTCCAATCTTTTGGCTTCCCTGGGCCACACTGGAAGAATTGTCTTGGGCCACACTTAAAACACACTAACACTAACGATAGCTGATTAGCTAAAAAAGAAAAATAAAATAATTGCAAAAAAATCTTATAATGTTTTAAGAAAGTTTACAAATCTGTGTTGGGCCGCATTCAAAGCTGTCCTGGGGCGCAGGTTGGACAAGCTTGCTTTAGAGGTTCCCTGGGACCCCCAAAACCAACAAGGAGAACAAGCTCAGTCTTCTGTGTCTTAATTTTTGGCTTTACTCTTAGCCCTGCCCCATTTCCTAGGCTCTCCACAGTCCAGCCGCTTTGAGCTACTTTTCCTTCCCTGATATGTGCAGCTCTCTCACCTCTGAGCCTCCGCACCTGCTGTTCCACAGCACTCTCCGCATTGCCTTCTCCCACTGTGGCTCACTGCTGAGCTGTGTTCAGGCCCTTTGGGAAACCCTCTCTTTCACTCCTTTTCCCTGGTCTGGCTTGGGAGCCCATGCTTACCCCTGTCAGGACACCTTGAAACCCAGCAGTGAAAACATGACACTTCCTTGTCTGGCTGATTTTCTTAGTGAAGCGAGTAGGAGTTTCCTTTGTCAGGACTTCAGCAAGCAAAATTCAGGAGAGACTTATTTATTTTTATTTTATTTTCTTTTTTTTTTGAGGTGGAGTCTCGCTCTGTCACCCAGGCTGGAGTGCAGTGGCGTGATCTCGGCTCACTGCAAGCTCTGCCTCCTGGGTTCATGCCATTCTCCTGCTTCAGCCTCCCCAGTAGCTGGGACTACAGGCATCCGCCACCATGCCCGGCTAATTTTTTGTAATTTTAGTAGAGACGGGGGTTTCACCGTGTTAGCCAGGATGGTCTCGATCTCCTGACCCCGTGATCCACCCGCCTCAGCCTCCCAAAGTGCTGGGATTACAGGCATGAGCCGCCGCGCCCAGCCTCAGGAGAGACTTTTAAAGCATTTTTTATCATTTAAACTGTCTAATTGTTGGTGCTGTGAAGAATCGAGTGTTCATGTTGAAGAGGTGTTTAGCTGGTTTGGGAGGGCCACGGTTCCGGTCATGTCACTGGTTCTGTTAGGCAGAGTACAGTATGAGCTGGTCATTTCATTGTCCCCTGCCGATGGGAACAGCAGGTTTGCATCCAGAGAGGAACACAAAAGGTTCATCCCAGAGGGCGAAGGTTAAAATCCCTGGGAGCACTTCATTATCGATATCTGATGCTTCTCAGTTCTCATGTCTTGTCCTCTGTGAAGGCCTTCCCATCCCTCAGGGGAGGAGGAACACCTGATCGCACACCGGTCAGCAGTGGCTGTGTGTGCATGTCACTCAGTGAGTGCATAATTTGTGCTTCGGTGCCCTTCTCTTCTCACAGGATAGCAGCTGCCCCGGGGGCAGAGGCTGCAGCTGTCGTGTATACTGCTGTATCCCAGGGCCTGGCTCAGAGTTGGGGCTTGGTGAGTTTGTATTGACTGAATAAAAAAGAGATGAGGCCAGACGCAGTGTCTCACACCTGTAATCCCAGCACTTTGGGAGGCTGAGGCAGGCTCTTGCCTGCCTGAGCAACATAGTGAAACCACATCTCTACTAAAAATACAAAAATTAGTCGGGCGTGGTGGCACACACCTGTGGTCCCAGCTACTCAGGAGGCTGAGGATCACTTGAGTCTGGGAGGTCAAGGCTGCAGTGAGCTGTGATCGTGCCACTGCACTACAGCCTGGGTGACAGAGCAAGACCTCTCTCAAAAAAAACAACAACAAAATGATGAGAACCAGAGAGATTTAATTTTTAATTTGCTTTTTCTGTTGTTTTTTGAGACTGGGTTCCTTCTGTCACCCAGCCTGGAGTGCAGTGGCATGATTTCAGCTTACTGCAACCTCAATCTCCAGTGTTCAGGCGCCTCCCACCTCTGTTTCCCAAGTAGCTGGGACCACAGGTACGTGCCATCACAAACAGCTAAATTTTTTTTTTTTGAAACAGAGTGTTGCTCTGTCACCCAGACTGGAGGGCAGTAGCGTGATCTCGGCTCACTGCAACTGCCATCTCCCAGATTCAAGCAATTCTCCGTCTCAGCCTCCCAAATAGCTGGGATTACAGGCGCCCACCACCATGTCTGGGTAAGTTTTGTATTTTTAGTTGAGATGGGGTTTCACCATCTTGGCCAGGCTGGTCTTGAACTCCTGACCTCATGATCCACCCGCCTCGGCCTCCCAAAGTGCTGGGATTACAGGCGTGAGCCACTGCACCCGGCCTATTTCTTTTTTTTCTTTCTTTTCTTTTCTTTTTTTTTTTTTTTTTTTGTAGAAACGGGGTTCTACTGTGTTGCCCAGGTTGGTCTCAAACTCCTGGACTCAAGCAATCCACCTGCCTCAGCCCCCCAAGTAGGCAGCACACCTGGCTAATTTTTTAATTTTTTTTTTTTAAGAGACAGGGAGGGGTTTCATCCTGTTGCCCAGGCTGGTCTCAAACTCCTGGGCTCAAGGGATCCTCCCATCTTGGCTTCCCAAAGTGTTGGATTACAAACAGGTATGAGCCACTGCACCTGGCCAAGATTTAATTTTTTCAAAATAACAAGACTGCCAGAGAGGTTGCTAGGTAAGAAAGCTGCTGCGATTTTGCAGATTTTGCATCTTCAGGTGTTGTGTGCGTGCCTGCGTGAATCTGCTGCAGCCCCAGAGGCAGGTGTTGTATCCTCTCAACTGTGAGACTTTCTGAGTGTCCCTCATTAGTGCATTGGGTTTCTCAGAGGAGATTCTTGTAGATTCTGTTAGTGATGTTCATCTTGAAGATAATTTAGGATTACAGGAATTTCTTTTGGAATCCTAAGCCTGATTGCTCCTCCCTCCCCGACAACTAATCATGAGCCCAAAGGAGGAAGAAGAGGAAATCTGAACCTTCACCACCCACGGTCCCATTCTTAAACTGAATCAGTAATTGAATGCTATTAAGCAAAATTAATTTGCCTCCTGCAGGAAGGTTTATGATGAATGAAAGGATTGCTGATCTGGGAGGGAGCCAGGCTTCCCTCTACTCATCAATATTTCAGAGCCGTAGGCAGTGTCAGGAAGGTAGCTGTCCTGGCTCAGCTGACCTTGAGCATGCATGAAGGTAGGATCCAGCCAGGGAGGTTGTACTGAAAGGGCTTATTACAAGTCACTTAATGATAACTTCAGTGAAATTTGCAAAATGCATCTGTGGGTTTATTGAATTTACACCCTCAGCTAGTGGGAGACCCCCCCAGGTGGTTCTCTGGGACCAACCTGAGACTAGTCCCAGTGGAGGTCACAGCTCTGTGCAGAGCTGAAATGTTTAATGCTGGCTCTCTGGGGGGAAAAAATTCCTGATTTGTAGCATCTGCCAATTCCTGTGATGTCAGTATACTCCCACCATAGCCAGGTTACAGCTGCTGACCCTGGGGCGGGAATCGCCTGTGCAAGCCAACTCCAGCTCATGGGGCTCACTGGGGCTGTGCTGCTCCCACATTTTTTCCTGGTGATTGGAGGAGAGACCGCCCAGCGGACTTGATTCCAGATAGATGGATGTGCCTCTGAGTGGTCCTCATCTGCATTAGAGGTGGCCTCTTGACTGAGAAGGTATCTGAATGAGGCTTACTTTTAAAAATGAGAAGTTAACGAGCTCTTCATTTTGTTCTTTCTTCTCTCTAGCTGCTATTAACTTAGCAAAGCTGAAACTTTTCAGACATTATTACGTCTTGGTAAGTAAAAAAAAAAAAAATCCTCAATCTATAAATAAAATCAATTCAAGGAGTAGAGCAAATGAACTTCCAAAGGATTGGTGAAAGCACAAGATGTGCCACCTGGAGCTGAGCAGTGTGGCTTGCTTTTTTTTTTTTTTTTTTTTTTTCTGGAGACGACGTCTAGCTCTGTCACCCAGGCTGGAGTGCAGTGGCACGATCTTCGCTCACTGCAATCTCCACTTCCCGGGTTCAAGCTTTCCGAGTAGCTGGGATTACAGGCACCTGCCATTACACCCAGCTAATTTTTGTATTTTTAGTAGAGACAGGGTTTCGCAAAGTTGGCCAGGCTAGTCTCAAACTCCTGACCTCAGGTGATCCACCCGCCTCGGCCTCCCAGAGTGCGGGGATTACAGCGTGAGTCACTGCGCCTGGCCAGTGTGGCTTGCTTTTTTGCTTTTTTTTTTTTTTTAAGACTGGGTCTCTCTATGCTACCTTAAGATGGACTCCAACTCCTGGGTTCAGAGCTCAAAAGATCCTCCCGCCTCAGTCACCTGAGTAGCTGGGACTGCAGGTGTAGGCCACCATGCCTGGCTTTCATTTTATAAAATCTAGCTGTGTCTTTCAAAATGGGAAATTAAATATCTGAGTTCCTTTTTTTTTTTTTTTTTTTTTTGAGACGGAGTCTCGCTCTGTCGCCCAGGCTGGAGTGCAGTAGTGCGATCCCGGCCACTATTTTTACTCATTTAGAAAAATGGGATCACACTGTCATGTTCTTCTGCAGCCATTTTTGTTTTATTCATTTAAAAAATTATTGGAGTATCAGCTGGGTGCGGTGGCTCATGCCTATAATCCCAGCACTTTGGGAGACCGAGGCGGGCAGATCACGAGGTCAGGAGATCGAGACCATCCTGTCCAACATGGTGAAACCCCATCTCTACTAAAAATAAAAAATAAAAAAATTAGCTGGGCATGGTGGCGTGTGCTTGTAGTCCCAGCTACTTGGCAGGCTGAGGCAGGAGAATCGCTTGAACCCAGGAGGCTGAGGTTGCAGTAAGCCGAGATAGAGTGCCACTGCACTCCAGCCTGGGCGACAGAGCGAGACTCTGTCTCAAAAAAAAAAAAAAAATTGGAGTATCTACCTCTCTCTTCTTTCAAATTTCCCTGCAGAAAACTAGTTACATGTTGTGGTAATAAATTTTCCTTAAGAACAGAAAAGTTAAGACAGTTTTTTTAAAACCTAAAACAGGACTCTGATGGACATGAAAAGTTCTATCAGCTAGCACCAAAAGACAGAGCTTGCTAGAAATTATTAGGATCATAATTTCTTGGAATATATAAGGTATAGGCCTCCCAGAGTTAGTTTGCTTCCTGAGTCTTGAAAGAACGTTTCCAAGTCTTTTTTTTTTTTTTTTTTTTGAGACGGAGTTTCGCTCTTGTCTCCCAGGCTGGAGTGCAATGGCGTGATCTCGGCTCACTGCAACCTCCGCCTCTTGGGTTCAAGCGATTCTCTTGCCTCAGCCTCCCGAGTAGCTGGGATTACAGTCATGCGCCACCATGCCACGCCTGGCTAATTTTGTATTTTTAGTAGAGACGGGTTTTCTCCGTGTTGGTCAGGCTGGTCTCGAACTCCTGACCTCAGGTGATCCACCCACCTCGGCCTCCCAAAGTGCTGGGATTATAGGCGTGAGCCATCGCGCCCGGCCCTGTTTCCAAGTCTTTCATCTGTTCGTTTGGCATTGTCACTTCAGACAGTTCCTTTGCTCAAGCAAACATCAGACTTCAGTGGTAGAGAGAGATGCAAGAGCAGACACTCCACTTGGGGTTGATTTTTTTTTTCTTTCTTTGTTTTATTTTTTCTTTCCCATGGATTTTATGTCATCCACCAAATAGGCACAGGTCATCACAGAACCTCTCTTGTTGCATGCAGTGATAATGAGTGGTCCTTGACCAGCAGGCCAGCTGAGCTTAGTCCCCTTGCACAGGCCATGCTCTAGTGGCCAGCACATTGAGTCTTTGTCACTGCAAGGAGAAATGAAGGCATCCTGTCTTGCTAGAGAACTTGGTAGTATTTGTACTTCTGTGAGTGTGGACCTCGAATGCTTGCAGCATCTGCCAGAGAAGAGGACAGAAGTCAGTAATTTCCCTGTGTGGCTTTATTTTGCTATTACTACTGGTAAATATTCCTCAAAGCCTGAGCATAAGAAATAAAATCTTTGGAGATTGAAATCAAGGGCTTATGTCTGTGGATAGGGTGAGGAAGGGTTAAGAACAACCTGACTAAAGTGTCTTGTGCTCCCGGTGGGTGTGGCTGTTAGCAATATCTTGGTCACCTGGAGAGAGAGAAGAAATTCAAGTGTAACTAGCAGAGTAGCCATGTCTCTCCGCTGCACGTATTAATTCACACTGTAAGTGTCACATACTTTTCTTTGAGTGATTCTGTTTTCTGTTTCCTAGTTCATTTGTGAAAGCAAATTGTTAAAGTGGTGTCCTAATTTTAATGTTGATCTGATTTCCTGTTTCTTTCCTCCTCATGCAGATTGTGTGTTACATATACTTCACTAGGATCATTGCATTTCTCCTCAAACTCGCTGTTCCATTCCAGTGGAAGTGGCTCTACCAGGTACGCTGCTCACAGGGCAGAATGCCAGAGAATTTATGCCTGAGGATAAAGTCTTGAAGTGTAACTTAACAGTTGTTACTAATTTATCTGGGAATGACCACTAAGACCTTCCATCTCTTCTTTTTTTTAACTAAAAATTTTTTTTTTAGTTTTTGAGACAGGGTCTCACTCTGTCACCCAGGCTGGAGTGCAGTGGCGCAATCTCAGCTCACTGCAACCTCCACCTCCCGGGTTCAAGCGATTCTCCTGCCTCAGCCTCCTGAGTAGCTGGGATTATAGGGATGCACCACCATGCCCAGTTAATTTTTGTTTTTTTAGTAGAGATGGGGCTTTGCAGTGTTGGCCAGGCTGGTCTCAAACACCTGATCTCAAGTGATCCGCCCACCTTGGCCTCCCAGTGTTCTGGGATTACAGGTGTGAGCCACCACACTTGGCCTCCTTCCATCTCTTCTGGCCTATAATTGAGATGATCTGTTTGTCCAGAAATGCTGCTGGATTCTATGAGGAATCTGAAAATAATTGCATTCTTGATTTTAGTTTTCAGTCTTAAAAGTCAAGAGAAAAGCTTCAGGTAGAGAAAGATTTGCCCTGAATCATTAGAACTTAGATGAGATGTGGTCCTTTCCTTTAGTTACAGGGCTGAGTAGTTAGAATTCAGGCTGCCCTTCTTCTTTGCCCATTTTATTATTTCGATAATAAGTATCTTTGCGACAAACTAGAACTAGCTTAACTACTAGAGGAAGCCACCAAATGACTTTTTTCTTGAATAACTCACTGGGTGCTGTAGGCACTGTGGGAGGAAGTGGGTATGTGGTGAGCTCTTAAAAGCTACCCATGAAGACTGGTGAAAGCACAGCAGAGCACAGCCTCGGAAATGTCAGCCCTGGGCAGGACACTCCTCGTTTAGGCCTCGGCAAGTCTAAGGAAAATGCCCTGTAGCAGGAAGTGGCATCTGAGTAAAGAACCATCGAGTGGTGGGTTGTGGGGAAATATGTCAGTTTGTTGAATTCCACTGCTTTCTGAAGAACAGTGTTGCTAATCTCTTTATTTTGGGGTGGTTTTTAAACTTGCAGCTCCTGGATGAAACGGCCACACTGGTCTTCTTTGTTCTAACGGGGTATAAATTCCGTCCGGCTTCAGATAACCCCTACCTACAACTTTCTCAGGAAGAAGAAGACTTGGAAATGGAGTCCGTGTAAGAAATCTTTCTTCCCTCTTCCTTAGCCCTGACCCCTTTGCCTAACACAAAGCAGCACAGTGTGAATCGGGTCGGCTGCTCTCAGCATTTCGTGGCTGCAGGGGTGGTTCCTCTATTTTTAGCAGAAGGAAGCGGACACTGGAGCCCCAGGCTGTCTGATCTGGTTTGAAGTACAGTATCTGCCAAACCTAGCTGGGTCTTGTCAGGGAAGATGGAACTTGCCGTTCCACTAAGCATCATTGGAGCCTGCTTTCAAGAACTCAGTGGCAAGAACTTAGGAATATACGTGGCCAGTTCACGAGGGAGAACAGGGGGCCGACTTTCTGTCAGGCCCGCCATCAGGCGCTTACGTCTGAAAATGGAATCTTCTGAGTCATCTCTAAGTCTGCTAATGATCCTCAGACATCCTCTATCGTCAGATAACTGCGTGGCTTTTCACAGCACAATGACTTTGACCTATATCTGAGCACTAATAGGGGCTTTTCTGAGTCACACAGTGAATGACTCTAGGGTCCTATTTTCTGGGAAAGGGCCATCATTGTCTAGAAAAATGAGTAGTGATTAAGCATATTTGCTTGTTAACTGAAATTTGATAAGCCAGGTCAATGCTGTGTTTGATGATTAGCCTAAGGCAGAGTTTTCCCTTCTTGGTTCACTGGTATCAAGTGTTCTGCCCCCAGCCCTGGCAGCCTTTGAATTCTTCCCAATTCAGAGGCTGAGACTCGGCCCATGCTAAGCTCTGCTTGGCTGTCAGCGGGTCAGGCAGCATGGGACAGCTCTCTCTGCTCAGCTCCACGGCAACAGTAAAGGAAGGCAGGTCCTGCCAGCGGGCGCCAAACAGCATCTCCCCATGCAGAGGAAGAAACACCTCCTTCTAAACAGTGGAGAGGAGTGCAGGAGGCCCATCAGCTGTGCCTTTCCCAGAAGTGGCAGGATCTGAGCAAGTGTCTGTTGGTTGAAGAGGCACACATGTCAGGCTGGCAACCAGCAGCATCAGGAAATAACCTAAGACGCGGTGTGTTTATCATTCCCCTGCTGGGAGCCTTTGGCTTGGTCCGTCCGCATAACACGGGGTTCTTTGGGTAGGCAGCTAGAAGCCGAGCGGCCGGGTCGCAGCATCGTCTCCTTTACTGCATTGTACTCCACAGTCGTAATGGGAGGTTCCCGCTTCCCACATCCTTTCCCTCAGCCGTTACATCTTGGAGCCTGGATGCATTATGAAGGTATTTTTGTTTCGTGGCAACAATTTTTTTAAAATTTTGTTTTGGTGCTTCTTTGACAACGCGGCCCACGCAGCTGCCCTCTGTGCAGCCATTACCCCACCAGGCCTGACACAGCTTCTCTCTCTGGGCCTGGGTATGAGGGCACAGTCCAAAGTAACACTGACTTTCTCTCTCTTTCCCCTTCTGTTTCTTTGACCATCTCTCTTTAGGCCTACCAGTTTTGGCAACAGAAGTTACCGGTCAATAATCAGCAAGTTAAAAAGTATCGGATGCGATTTCAATTATCAGACTTGGTAGCTGCCTCCTAGGCTGTGGGTATCCTCAATGATCTGAATTACTTCTGTCATCTTGAGGAGTGAGAGTGGAAGGAAATGTTTGGTGTGGGTTCCTGGGCCAGGAGGTTTTCTCCCTGGGGTTCCCATTCCAGAACGCTGTCCTCATTCATGGTTGCTGTTCACCTTTCACCACTCCCTGCATTATTTCATGTGGGCGAGGAACGTGTGTGGAAATGGGGATTGGGGACTAATAGACTTGTCTCTTCACCAGGTCTCCCCACACTTCCAGACCAGAAAACACTTTTTAGTTATAGAAATGGATATATCGGCTGGGTGCAGTGGCTCATGCCTATAATCCCAGCACTTTAGGAGGCCGAGGCAGGCAGATCACGAGGTCAGGAGTTCGAGACCAGCCTGGCCAACATGGTGAAACCCCATCTCTACTAAAAATACAAAAATTAGCTGGGCGTGGTGGCAGGCACCTGTAATCCCAGCTACTCGGGAGGCTGAAGCAGGAGAATCTCTTGAAATCGGAAGGCGGAGGTTGCAGTGTGCTGAGATCACGCCACTGCACTCGAGCCTGGGCGATGAGAGTGAAACTCCGTCTCAAAAAAGAAAAAAAAAAAAAAAACGCATGAATCCGTGGACCACTTAGGCCCAAGCCACATTTGATTGCAGTCTTGTGTGGCAGAAGGAACCTGTGTCCCATTTGGCACTTTTGGTTGCAAACACAGAGACTTGGGGCTTTGCAAGGAAAGGGGGTTACTGTTTAGATGTCAAGGAAAGAACGCTTATCTGCGGCGGTCGGATGTTGGCCCTTCAGCTGTTCGGTCCCTTAAGTGTTTGCACCAAAACTAGGACACCTAGTGAGGTGGCTGCGAAGCTGCTGAAGCCCCACCGCCGTATGTTCCTGCCAGGGAGGCTTTTGGGTGTTCATCTGACCCAGGTCTCTCTTCTCACTGCTGCAGAGCCTGAGCTTCCAGGACCGTTGCGGGCGCCCTGTCTGCAGGGGGCTAGCCAGGTTTCCTCACATCGTGGGGGCCCCAGGTGTCCCTTCAGCTTCCCAGAGGTTTGCTGGGGGAACAGGATGTAGCGCCTACCCCACCCTGGGCATCTGCCATCAGGTTTCTTCCTCTCCTTGAGTTCACTTCTGCCACTCCCAGTCCTGGCCACACACTGAAGCTCCCTGTCACCCGCCCTGCCTGTGACAACCTCCTGCGCTACCACACACCCTTACTCCCGTTCTCCCTCTTCGCACTCCCAGGACTCACCCAAGCCCAGGGTTGCCCCTGCTACCCCCTCACTGCCCCCGGCCCCTCCTGAATGCCAGGTCCCCCTGTCCTCCTGCTCCGCGTCACCTCAGCCTTGAAGCCACAGTCTTCCTGCATCACACCAAGCTCGCCCCTCCCCATTGTTCCCTATAGGCCTTGGTGACACGGACATCCACCCAGTCTCCTGCAGCCATGGCTGAACCACGTCCCTCTTCCTCAGCCCGTGCAGAGCGTCCTGTAGGCCTTACTTTGTGCCTCTCACCCCCAGCCCCACCCCGCCTCTTGCTCTCGTGCCTGGGCTTTGTGGTGGCTGACCTCTTCACTCCCGATCCTCTCCCCTTCCTGTCCATCCTTCTATTCCCCTGCAGACAGGGTCTCACTCTGTCACCCAGGCTGGAGTGCAGTGGCACTATCACAGCTCACTGCAGGCTTGAGCTCCCCGGGCTCAGGCAATCCTTTCACCTCAGCCTCCTTAATAGCTGGGACCACAGATGAATGCCACCATGCCCAGCTAATGTTTTTGTATTTTTTTGTAGAGATAGGGTTTTGCCATGTTGCCCAGGCTGGTCTCAAATTGCTGGGCTTAAGCAGTCCTCCCGCCTCAGCCGCCCAAAGTGCTGGGAATGCAGGCGTGAGCTGCCCTGGGAATACAGGTGTGCCCAGCCCTTCCTGTCCATTCTCCCGGGCTCTAGAATCACCTGTAGAGTGTTTTTGCAGTGCCAGTTTCCTGGCCGCACCCCTGGAGACTCTGATTCTCACCCCTTGGGCTCAGGATCTGTGCTTTTCTCACTCCCCAGGGCAGCCTGAGCAGGAGGCAGGGCTGAGAACTGCCAGAGTAGGAATCAAGGCCATCCTTGGGTGACCAGGCAGACTGGGCCCTCGACAACCCTGCCGTCCTGTGTCCACCCTGGTTCTCTCCCTGCCACTCTCCTTCCCAGACTGGCTGGATGTATTAAAATATATTTGCCGTAGGCCAGGTGCAGTGGCTCACGCCTGTAATCCCAGCACTTTGGGAGGCCGAGGCAGGTGGATCACCTGAGGTCAGGAGTTTGAGACCAGTCTCGCCAACATGGTGAAACCACATCTCTACCAAAAATACAAAAGTTAGCTGGGCATGGGGACATGTACCTATAATCCAGGTACTTGGGAGGTTGAGGCACGAGAATCACTTGAACCCAGGAGACGGAGGTTGCAGTGAGTCGAGATGGCGCCACTGCACTCCAGCCTGGGTGACAGAGCGAGACTTCATCTCAAAAAATCAAATAAAAAAAAAATATATATATATTTTTATATATTTATATATATATACACATATACAATCCACACACTGCAAGTACTTAGCACTCCCTCACTGCCCTGGGAAATGTCCTGGGTTTTTCCTTCATGCTTTTTGCCTGTTATATTTCTTCTTTTTGGAAACTCCCCTGACCTCCCACCCATCTTGTGGGCCAGATCCTCTGCATCTCATGACGGGCTTCCTGGCTTCCCCGATTCCCCGGCAGAGGGATTCTTCTCAGCCCGAGCCATCACCGAACCCGGTTCCCAGCACTCCTGTCTCTGTTGGAAGTGGCTTTGCAGGGTTGCTGTGGAAGACCATCTCTTCTCCTGGGCTGTGGGCTCCGAAGAGCAATAAGACCACTTCTTTTTCCTTGATGACCTAGCATGAGGCCTGTCTTGAAGAATAAAAGTTGTTTTCTCACTTGGCCCACCATGTGGAAAGGAGTATTTTCTTAGAGAAAGAAAGGGAGAAAATGTTTTTCCCAAGTCTGCCGTCAGGCCCATATCCGGGTCACAGTGAATGCGCTTTGCCTCTTAGAATCAACGTGCATTGAACTCTTTGTCCTTTTTTAACAAGATGCAGTAACCATAGGACAGCTGTGTGATTACTGGAGTGTTTCTGGAAGACGTGGGGTCGCATTTCTTTGTGGTCTCAGTCACTGTGGAGAGGCACGGGGGCTGCTACGTGGCTCGGGGCAGGGGCTTCTCTGGCTCATGCAAAGGCCCTACCTCCTGCATCCCCGTCTAGAGAAGGTCCCTTCAGGAGCAGCCCTGTGCACATGGATCCCTCCTGGGGCAAGTGTCTTCCTAAAGAGGCCAGGCCTGAGACACAAGCCAGCTGGCCAGAAGTGACGCTGGGCGGCTTCAGCTGAGGCATTTTCGTCTTAGGGGATGCTTTTAGAGTCACTTATAGCATCTATGGGATCTGGCCACATACCTTGTCCCAACTTTGCCATAAGTACAAATAACCTGTGAGTCTAAAGGACTCGTTTGAGAAAGGTTCCGGCTTGGGGGATTCTTTGAGCCTGGGCATGGTAGCACCATAATGGCAAGAATGAAGAGATGAAGAAGAGGGGGAAGTTTTCTTCCCTTACCCCATACAAACATTTACTTACCATGAGGTCCAGCTGCATGCACTCTAGATGGGTCACATATACGGCCACTGTGTTGCCATTTGTAGGGGAAGGGGTTAGGTAGTTGGCAGAGGGATGGGTTGGGTCCTTGGAAAGAGCCTGTTGAGTTGATTGATTGAATTTATTTTACTGATGAGGAAATTTCTTTTGGTCCACCATGGGGGAGCATAAATCCTCATTGTTTCCTCGCTTGCAGGGAAGATGCTGGGCCAAGCGGCTTTTGACACCCAGTATCTCTGCCTAGTTCTGCTACTCACAGAGCCACCCAGTTCCCTCATAGACCAGCTCACCTTCTGTGAGGCAAGAGATTATCCTCTTGAGAAGGTGGGGCCCGTGCATGTGATTCCTTCTAATGGAAAGGGCTGCCTTGCTCAGCTCCTCATGCCCTGCGAGACCAGCGATCTTCCATTTTTAATCCTTGATTTCAACGAATGGCTCCATGGGGCCTCCTCAGAGCCAGGCACCAACAGACAGAGCCCCGGGAGCTCACAGAGTGGAGGCAGAGGCCATGCGCTGAGGCACAGCCACATGGCCCAGCCCCAGCTAGCAGAAAGCAGCCAGTTCTCTGTCTATAGTGGCCAAAGAATCTTTGATCCTGGAAGGTTCCTCTAAACCTGTGGTTCTGTCCCCTGGCTCAGAAATGATCCATTGTGGCTGCTTATTAAAAATGTCTGGTTGGCTAATTAGCTTTCTTTTCTGAATGTCCATTAAGAGTCAGATTTCAGTCTCATAAGCGTAACTATCACATATCTGTGCGCCACAAAAATTCCGCAAGCTGTGACAAAAAGATTCATGATGATTGTGATAACGATAGCTGGTGTTTATTGATTAGGCACTCTGGAGAATCTCATTTTTCCTCATGACAGTTCTGGAAAGTGAGAATTACTTAAGCACAGAGAGTTCAAGTGACTTGGCCAAGGTTACACAGCTAGTAAGGAACGAACCAGGAATCACACTTAGATTTTGTCTGTTTCAAAAACCAACACCCATCATCAGTCCTAATCACCGTGCTGTGGCAGAGATGGCCTTTTACTAAGAGACTGTGAGATGTTCCTAATTGTTTTTTCTTTCCTTGTTCAGTGTGACAACATCTGGGGTGATGGAAAGTATGAAGAAAGTCAAGAAGGTGACCAACGGCTCCGTGGAGCCCCAGGGCGAGTGGGAAGGCGCCGTGTGACAGAGCCGACCCTGAGGATGGCACTGTCCAAGGAAACTGTTAACTTATTCATAGTCCTATTGGACAGCAGGAGCAGCTCCTACAGTGAACTATTGGCACCACCGACAGTGACACCAGGGCACATGGCTGGAGCACAGTGCCGCGGAAACCTGATTTTGTACTCTCTTTTATGGAAACGATCTGTGGCTGTTTAGAGGCAGCTGGATCCTCTTTCAGGCGGGAATGGGAGGGCGGGCACAGGGAGGAGGAGAGGAAGAGAAAAGGAAGAATTCATTTTTAATTTAGGTTTCTTTTTTTCTTCTTCATTTCGGAGCTCTAAGGTGTATGCAGTTGTGACCCCATGTGTGGGGAAGTGTAGCAAGGACGGCTGGTGGAGGGGGAAGGAGGGTGCGAGGTGTCTGTCTGATGCTTTAGGAAATGTCTACTGAGGACCCTGGGACTTAAGAAGAAGGGCGGGGAGAGTGCCATTGCCTGTTTGGGAGACAAAAATGAACGAAAACAGGTGACTTTGGAAAGCAAAGTCAAAACCCAGTTTAGGATGTAGCACCTGCCCCAGGATTCCTGCCCTCGGCTTTGCCCCAGACCCTTATTCCAGATGCTGAGAGTGACCAGGACAGCAGCTCCTGAGGCCCAGTGGTCTTCTTTCCAACAGGAAAAGAAGGCTGTGATGTCGCTGTCAGGATCATGCCCTGTGGCACAGCACAGGTGGTGGGAGGTGGTTTTCTGACTGAGATGTTGCCTGATGGATGGAAAGAAATGTATTTTTAAGTTCAAAAAGCATTATCCTGTGGCGTTGCCTGGACATCCACTCCCTGACAGCCCAGAGCAGCACTGTCTGGCTTCCCTTCATGCTTGTGGCTTTGTTGTGTTTGATCAGAATTTTGGGGGAAATGGAAAGTTTTCCTCAAGGAGCAGCTGGGGGCAGAATAGGTAGTATTTAAGCAAATACTTAAGTCCAAGCAAATCATCCCCATTAAAAAGCTTTTCCTGTAGGCTAGTAGGATTTCTAAATAGATGAATTCAACAGACTTGGTCCCCATAGTCCAAGAGTATGTATGTGAAGAAAGTGAGCATGATTCAACAGTTTCACTCTCAGGGATTTTAGGATGGCAAAATACTTCACAGAAACTCAATGATTAAGTTCCCTTCCACACTTCCAGAGCTTGAATGAACACAGGTAGCCACCTAAATTGAGCAGTATTGCAACTCAGAGAGAAAATCATCTGAATAGTAGGACAAGCTCAGAAGGTACATTGTGACTGAGGGCTTAAAAGGAGACCAAAACATGGCCCCATCAGGGAAGCTTCTTAATGCTTGGGGGGCCAGCTAGGTAGGGTTGCTTCCAAAAGCTGGAGCCCACCCCTGCCTAGGGGTTGTCAGAGAGCCACACCTGCAGGGGAACAGGTACCTCCGAGGGTGAGAGTCGTGGTCTCTGGGAGTTGTTTTCTCACCTCTGGCTTAGAAGGGTCAGGCAGAAACCACAGGATGTGGGGTCACACTCACTGTCCCAAGTTTGGGAACCTGAAAAAGTCTCCATTCAGAACATGGTTGTTCTCCCTGTCCCATGCTATCTTATCTTCCTAAATGACTAATGAGGAAGCGGGTGTTCTTTTTCTGCACTTTGATTCGCCATCTGGGTTCTGTAGGGTGCTCTGAAGGTGTGATCTGCCTTCTGGCTGATGTGGAGGAAGAGCAAGCGCCTTCCCAGGCCACAGCTGCTCACCTCTCGGCAGATATTTTAGGCAAGCATCCGTGTGTCTTCCCATCTTCAGGAGAAAGGTAAATGCACCCTAAGTGTTCACTTCTGGACCTTTTTCAAGTTCACTTGGGACTGTGTGACAGAAGGGAGTTGGAGGGAGGATGGGAATATTTTTAACACTTTGTTTTCCTGTGCAGAAACATAATACCAGTTTTCGCAGAAATGTGTCTCAATCTGTGACTACCAAAGCCCTCCTCAGTCCTTCCCTCAGAGGGACACATTTGCTGTTTCTCCCGCAAGCAGATGTTGTGGATGAGGCGATAGACTCCTTGGCAAGAACGAAAGGTGTGATGAAACCTCCCTGCTCGGAAGGGTCTCCGTGGAGGTGTCCTCATTTCACATGCTGGGTTTTGCAAGCGAGGAAGCCAGGCAGTGGAGGAACTAGAGAGAGGCAGGCGTGTGTGTGGACAAGCGCTGGAGCCGCAGCCCTCAGACTGGCACGGGAACGCCAGCGTTGGGTGTTCAGATTCCACGCGTATGTCTGGGCTCACTCACAGCATGGCCGAGTGTCTGCAGTGCTGGTCCTGACCCTTCCAGAGCAGCAGTGGACAGATGAGATAAGACTGTTTCAGAAACAAAGATGGCCACAGCCTTCCTAACAAGCAGGTCATCTGGCCATGTCTGTATTGTAACTGGTAAAAGGCTTCAAGTCAGATTGATGATCAAGAAAAGTCAAAACCCCAGCCCAAGATTGGGAAAGCAGGTGGTGGTTCCAAGCTTTTAAAAAATTATTGAAGCTCTCCATCCTGTTCTGTGAGTGTGTCTTCTCTTTCTCCTTCACGTCATAGCCGTGACCCACCGTTCATCTCTGCTCTTGCGTAAAGATGACCGATGGAGTCCAAAGCCAAGTGGCTTCACCAGCTGACAAGCCACCCTCCTGCAGCCTGAGTTTCACAGTCCACTGGGTTCGTTGTCATGCGGTGTTTGAATGGTTAAGCCCTTGCAGTATTTCAGATCGGGCAAAAAATATCGGATGCACATAGCAGAACCATTGGTGGTATTTATAGCTTTGCTTTGTACTCCTCACTGTTTCTGCCTACGCAAAATATCCATGTTTCCTCTGAGAAATCTGTTGTGGACTGAAAGCGCTGCTGGCTGTGAAATTTAATAAAGTGTGTATGCTTTGCTAGAAAATTATTTCTTGGACAATAGGAACAGTCATTGATCTGTAAATCCTGGCTCTTAACAGTGAGTGGCCAAGGACTTGATCAGCCCATTTCTTGGTCCCTCAGTGCTTTAAAATTTAAGTAGCACTGCATTTTGTAATGTTGAATATGACTCTAGTGACTTGTAGGAGGCACTTGTGAGGAGATGCTTGCTTCAGTGTAAAAGATGCTCATGGCCTGAGTCAGTTGAGTTTTCTTTCAAGAAACCACTTCAGAGTGAAATATCCAGGGTTTCCCCGCCCTGGACATGTCCAGCCTGCCCAGGCAGCACACAGCCCTGTAAGTCCACCTCGTGTGGGTGAGATTTCCTCCTGCGTGATGACCTCATCGCCATCTCTGCTGTCTCATTCCACAGCCTCCCTCCCTCTTCTCTCCTCCTCTGCCCTCGCCCTTCCCCCTTCCCCATCCCCTCCCCCTCCTCCTCTGCCCTCGCCCTTACCCCTCCCCCTTCCCCTTCCGCTCCTCCTCCCTCCTCCACCTCTTTCTCCTCCTCCTTCCCTCCTCCTCCCTCCTCTTCCCTTCTCTGCCATCTTTCTCCCCGTGCCTATTGATCCCACATAGGCTCATTCTGGGTACACCGGCTAAAGGCTTTGGTGCATTGCAGCGTTTTCTCCCAGCAGCTGTGTGAAAGATGCATTTTCTAAGCTAAGGAGAATTTTCTCAAGAGTGGCATACTCATGCCAAATATTATTGCTCTGGGCCATATAGGCTGGTCTTCCTCCACACTAAAATGGGTGTCTTGTTTTGGTACTTAAAACAGTCTACTCCAGGCATCCAGTCCTTACAGACCAAGGAAGAGCATAGCGATGCCTGTTGGAATTGCAGATGCATTCTGGCCTTCTCCCCCGTCCTGAAACATTTTCTTTGAGGAAGGCTCTTAGAACATTAGATAGTCTGCTGAGGTTGTTGGCCCAGCTCCATACACCCAGTAGAACAGTGGAACAACTCATGCTTCATGCTGCCAAGCTGCTGTACTTCAAAGGAAACAGATCTAGCACACTGCTGCACCCCTGCTTCCACACTCCACACTTCACCCCGCTGCTTTTCTCTGACCCGCCCCTGGCCTTGTAAGACTCACGTAAGCTAAGTCCAGGATGCCTGTGGCCTGCGGCTTGATTCTTCCCTTTAGGATTCAGCAAGTTAATGGCTTCCTCGCTATAGAAGTGAGACTTTGACTTGATGCCTCTTGGTATATCAAAAAGATATTCATCCAGAAAGTACCAAATGTTCTGAAAGACCCGCTCTTCACTCCAGTTTTCCCTAGGGTGTTTCTGGCAGGGCGTTTTTAAAAGGCATCTACCTGAGTTGACGCTAATACTTGTCACCACCTGGAACGTAGTTATCGGTCGGCAGGCTGAACATACTCCAGATTCCCCAGAGGCCACTTCTGTAGCCCAGCGATGCATCTGAGCCTCTCTGCGTGGTTTATGCTTGAAAAATAGATAATGCTTTTAGATGGTTCACTGCCAGGCCATGGGCCCCACACATCTCAGGCCCTGTGTGAGGGAGCACACTGAGATGGTGCAGGAGTGAATGGGCATGGCTTGGCCTCGCTACCTCGGGGACCTGTTGGAGTTCTGGCAGCAGGGTGTCTGCAGGTGGGACGGCGTTCTGGGCAGAGTCAGAATGGTCAGAATGAAACAGAACAGCCAACTCACCCACAGGACAGCTTATTTTGAGGCAAGGTTTTGGATTTTGGAGGAAGCAGCCAGATGAGGCGGTGAGCCTCCAGAAGGTCAGCCTTTGGAGCACGTAAGATACTGTTACAGGGTCCAGAAATCGTGTTCACATGGGGGCTTTGACTCTTCAAACAGCTTTTGCAGATCGTAAATTGCATTTGCCTAGTCGTGTGACCTCAAAAGAAGTCAGACATATTTAATCCAGAAATAGTTTCGTTTGAGGGAGGGCTTGCAGGTCTGTAAATAGCATTTGCTTTCCTGGTTAGAGATTGGGATGCAGAAGGAGTTTTCAGTATTTTTTTTAAAACACTAATGATCATTGAAGAGTATTTATGTAAACATACAACGTATAATGGGTGGGGGATCCGATCATGGTGATGTACGGGGTGAATTCTCTTGCCGTGTTGCAAATGTGTAAAATAAAGATTATCTGGCAGAACCGTGTGTGTTTGAGATGCAGGGAGTTGCCGGCTCCTGGTGCTGTCTCTCCTCCACCTCCATCTCATAATTTTTTTCTTTGTGATTTTTGTTCATTAAATTAGTTAACTGCCTCCCACCAGCTCCTACTGACAATAGTGACACCTACTAGAGAAGTTCCAGGCATCTTAGCCGATCTGTGGCAGCGCAATTAAGACCCAGATAACTGAAAACCGGTTGTAGGTTACTGCTGTCCTGCTTACGCTGGAGGCGGGCGATGTCTTGTGAACCAGTGTCGGGGCACTGCTGCCATTTGAGGGGAGATGGCAGGCCTGGCGCAGAGCCCGCACTGTGACAGGCGCAAATGCACCTTCTGCATCGGTTAGCAATAGCTCTGGGTTACCCCATGTTGGAAGCAGAGAAATCCAGGATTTTAGACTCAAAGCATTTTTAGAAGTCATTCAGTTCCAAAGCCCATATTTTACTAAGAATGTTTTAAACTGAGGCATATTTTACCTACAGTAGAATCCATCCTTTTTAAATGTACCGTTTGTTGCGTTTTGACAAATGGATGTACAGTCCTGTGGCCTCCACCACAATCAAGATGAAACGTGCCCGTCACCCCACGCAGCCCCCTTTTGCCCCTTCCCGGTCCAAACTGCCCCCTTTCTGAAACTACCACAGCCCCGGCTCTGATTCCAGCGTAGTCTCATTTGCCTCATCTAGAACTTCATGTGAATGAAACTGCGCCGGGTGCCCTCTTTCGTGTCTGGCTGCTTTCACACAGCATACTGATTTGTGATTCATCCCTCCAAAGCCCTGCCTTCAAAACGCAAAAACTGGGGCCTAAAGAAGGTTCTGCCACTGCCCACCCACATCCTTCCCCTTTTTCCCCCAGCTAGTAAGTGTCAGAGCTGAGACAAGAACCCAGGCCTGCTGACTCCAACCTTGTTGGGATAATAAGGATTAAGTCAAGGGCTTGGCCCAGTGCTGGGCACAGGAAGGCCTCAGAAAAATGGCTCTGTTGGTTACTGCCGTTGTGCTTATAAAAATGTGAGCATGGGCCAGGTGCGGTGGCTCACGCCTGTAATCCCAACACTTTGGGAGGCCGAGGCAGGCGGATCACCTGAGGTCAAGAGTTCAAGACCAGCCTGAGCAATATGGCAAAACCCTGTCTGTACTAAAAGCTACAAAAATTAGCCGGATGTGGTGGTGCGTTCCTGTAGTCCCAGCTCCTCGGGAGGCTGAGGCAGGAGAATTGCTTGAACCCCAGAGGTGGAGGTTGGCAGTGAACCAAGATCCTACCACTGCACTTCAGCCTGGGTGACAGAGTGAGACTCTGTCTTAAAAAAAAAAAAAAAAAAGTGAGCATGAACCTCAGTTCACCAGATCATAGGATTTCAGAATGAGAAGGAGAGAGAATCCCTGTCCGTGGCCAAGGTTTCCCAGTTAGTGGCCATGCCCCACCCGCAGCTCTTTCTGGAGACCTTGCCTGTGCCGCAAAGCATGAGTAGGAGGCATGGGGTGTCCTGAGAGTAGGGAGTCCAGGATTCAGAACCCAGGATGAGAGATGCCAAGGCAACTCGAGAAGGGGACAGCTGAGAAAAGACTCAGGAAGGACCTTGCTGATATCTAATCCAGTGGTCCTCAAACAGCAAGCACCCGAATCCCCGACAGAGTTCCTGGGGGGCCTGAGAGTCGGCATTGCTAACACACTCCCAGCTGGTGCCAACATGGCAGATCTGGACCACACTGAGAACAGATCCAACCCAGTTCTCTTCCCGAGTCTTGGGTCAGTCTTCAGCTGGCAACACGGACAAGGGCCCACCTTGCACACAGCTCTTACGGGACAGAAGTCGGCGGCTCTGTCCTGCCAGGAGGCATTGCAGTCGGGACCAGGTGAGAGACCGCAGGCAGGTGCTGGCAGGGGCCTGGCTGTCCTGCTGCTCCCCTGAACCATCCCACATGGGGTCCCCTTGCAGTTCAGGTCTCTCTGGCTCCTTCTTCCCCCACCGCTAGCGTGGAGCTTTGCCAGTTAGAAATTCAGGGGCTGACAGGATGAGCTTGAGAAGCCTTGGCGCCCGTGGGTTTGGCATTAGAAAAGCCCACGCCCACAAGTCTGACCCCGGCTTCAGTAGCTGAGCCTCGCACCCTCCTTTGATCAGTGTCGGCAGAGGAAGAGCCGCCTGGCGCAAAGCAAGGGCTCAGCAAATGAGAGCCCTTCAGTGCCTATGGCGGGCTGGACTTCATCCAGTAAGACCACCCCTGAGGGTGATAGGTCGTTTCAAGGTCATTTCAGAACAGCCCCTCTGCCTCCTCTGTTTGCTGAGCCTCCCATCACTAGGGTCCTGACCGCAGACACCAGCCAGCCAGGAGCTCCAGTGTGAGGCTGAGGAGACCAACCTGCCCTGCTGGCCCCGAAGACGCAGGTCATACGAAGCTGGTGTATTGACTTACTCTGAATATAAGCACCCATAAGCACTTACTCTCTGCAGCACTGGAACAGGCCTGGGCATTGCAGTTGCTTAGTAAATATCAACTGGACTTGAACCTACACCAGCGTCCTGGGAGGAACAGTTCTGTCCCAGGAGGTCTGGAAGCCAGCTTGGCGATCGGCAGGCATTGTCAGGGGAGCCAGATGCCTCCCAGGTTGGCCGCCCTCCTCAGCTGCAGCATCTCATTTCTTCCCTTTGTGCAGGAGTCTTGTCATGTGATTGGTCATCTCCAGCTGGTCCACTCTGATTGGCAGCTGGAAAAACATAACGGTCAACAACTCTAGTCTGGTAGGCAAACTCTTGAAGTCAGAGAAATAATTGGGTCCTGATCTTCAAGAGGCCGGGGGATTTCTGCTTGTTCTGATAAAACAGGCAGTGCAGGCTAAATCCAGAGCAGATATTGGCCCCAGTATGTGTTTCTGAGAAGAGCCTACTGCTCCCAGGCCCCAGGACCCTGGGTAGATCCTCCCTGCCCCCACCCAGGCTCCTTAATTTTCGAAGCTGCCTTTGGGTGGCCTGCCCTTCACCAGGAATCTGTCAGGTCGGCAGATTGGTAGCCGTAGACTCCCTCAGGCTAAGTAACAAGGAGGCTGGGTAAGTGCTTACCCTAAGGAAAGAAAGCGCAGACTTCCTGGAGGCTGGCATTGGCTTTGCCCTCCCGTAAGCCACCTGCATGGTGGGGCGTTTCTGAGAATCCGTCCTGAGCCCCTCGGCACTGGCCCGCCCACTCCCACGAAGAGAAGCACGCTCAGCAGTTGGGAACTGGATGTTGGGGGGTCGGTGTGACCCACTTGGGAGCTGCACCTTAAACTGCTCCTTCCCAGTTTGCCAAAGGAATGCTGACCTTTGCAAAAATGAGGGAGCTGCTCATTAACACACATCTGCAGGAATCGAGCTTGCGCCCTGCATCAGCCATTCTAGCGTATGTCCTTAGACATAACTGCGTCTCTGTCACTCAGAGCCCTGGTTCCAGTCGGCCTCCGTCGCCTAAGGTTCAACATCGTTCAGCACACGCTGGTATGGGCAGGGCTGCAGATGAAATGATGAGTAAGCCTGGCTGTGCCACACGGGAGAGAACAGTACTGAGGAGGGGAGCAAGCCACGGGGCAAAGCCATGGGGCACAGCTGAGCGGCAGCACCACGTCTCCTCCGTTCCCACTCACTTCTTCCCTCCACCTTTGCAGCCATCTCGCTGTCCCTCGGTCCCCTTACTCTGCATCTTTCCCCTTTCCATGTCACCTGGCTCCTTCCATGAAGCAATCAAGCTTGTTCAAGTTTTCCCATGAACAAAAAGCAGCTAACAAAAAAAACAGCTGCAGGCCCCCGTCCCCCTTCAGAGCTCTCTGAGTTCCGCTGCTTCATCTTCCAGACGCCCCGGCGCACTGTGGGCTGGTTTCCACCCTGCCACGGTCTGGCTAGAGTGACTCGCAACCTCTGGGGGCTTGACTATTGTCTTCCTTGACTTTAGCAGCTTATAACACAGTGGGAGAGTCTTCCCCTCTTGAGATGCCCGCCACCACTCCTCATATGCTCCGTCGACCAAATTCAACTTCCTGTGGTTTTCCAGGTCCTTCAGCTGTGTGGCCACGGTCAGCTCGTGTCTACCCTTTAGTGTCGGGTCCTGGGCTCTGTCCCAGCTCTAGCCCTGCCCAGTCTCTCCCACTCCCTGGCTGACACCCAGGAGTTTATTTCAGCCTAACGCTGTCCTGAGATCCTCATGGCTCATTCTGCTGCCTCCTGGGCTGGTCCTTTTTTTTTTTTTTTTTTTTTTTTTGAGACGGAGTCTCGCTTTGTCACCCAGGCTGGAGTGCAGTGGCACGATCTTGGCTCACTGCAACCCCCACCTCCTGGGTTCAAGCGATTCTCCTGCCTCAGCCTCCCGAGTAGCTGGGATTACAGGCACCCGCCACCACACCCAGCTAATTTTTTGTATTTTTAGTAGAGACACGGTTTCACCATGTTGGCCAAGCTGGTCTCGAACTCTGACCTCAAGTGATCCACCTGCCTCGGGGCGCTGGGATTACAGGTGTGAACCACCACGCCTTCCTGGGCTGTTTTAAAGAGACATCAAAAGCCATACTTTCAAAATGAAATGACCACGCTCCTCCCTGATCCTGGTTAAAACAAAACAAAACAAAACAAAAACCCACCTGGCCCTTATCCTGGATGCTTCCCTCTCCCCACCCCCACCCCGTCCTGTGGTTAAAGTCCACCCACTTCGGTCCCCACTGCTACTGCCCAGGCCAGCCACCCTCATCTAGATGACAGCACCAGCCACCTGCCAGCTGGCAGCCAGGCTTCTAGTCTTGCCCCGCTTCCAGCCTATTTGCCATGTGTTAGCCAGGGTGACTCTTCGAAAGTGCTTGCCCTCTGTGTTAAGTATAGAGATTACAGAAGTGAGCCAGGAGGGTACAAGATCAAGATAAAAAACAATTGTATTTCTATACAAAATAAACAGTTCAAAAATAAAGAAAAGAACTTCATTTACAATACCATCAACAAAATGAAATACTTAGTAATAAATGTAACAGCTACAAAACTTATACTGTGAAAACTATAAAATGTTGAAAGAAATTAAAACCTAAATAAATGGAAAGACATCCCATATTCGTGGATTGGAAGACAATATTGTTAAGATGACAATACTCCCCAAATTGATCTACAAATTCAGTGTAATTTCTAGCAAAATCCCAGATGGCTTCTTTGCACAAATTCACAAGCTGAAGCTCATATGCAAATATAAGGAATCAAGAATAGCAAAAACAATGTTGGGAAAAAAAGGACAGAGTTAATGAACTCACTTCTCAGTGGGTTTTTTTGTTTGTTTGTTTGTTTTGAGACGGAGTCTTGCTCTGTTGCTTAGGCTAGAGTGCAGTGGCACAATCTTGGTACACTGCAACCTCTGCCTCCTAGCTTCAAGTGATTCCTGCCTCAGTCTCCCGAGTAGCTGGGATTACAGGCATGCTAATTTTTGTATTTTTAGTAGAGACAAGGTTTCACCGTGTTGCTCAGGCTGGTCTTGAACTCCTGACCTCAGGTTATCTGCCCACCCAAAGTGCTGGGATTACAGGTGTGAGCCACCATGCCTGGCCACTTCTCAGTTTTAAAATTTACTGCAAAGCTACAGTAATCAAGAGAGTGTAGTACTGGCAGACGTATAGCTATGTAGATCAATAAAACAGAACTGAGAGTATGAAAGAGTTGCCCAGGCTGGAGTGCAGTGGCTATTCACAGGCATGATCATAGCTCATTGCAGCCTCAAACTCCTGGGCTCAAGTCATCCTCCTGTTTCCTGAGTAGCCAGGACTACAGGCTTGTGCCACCACACACAGATCTTTTTTTTTTTTTTTTTTTTTATTGAGACCAGCCTGGGCTGGTCTCAAACTCCTGGCCTCAAATGTTTTTGTTTTTTTGAGATGGAGTCTCGCTCTGTCGCCAGGCTGGAGTGCAGTGGCACAGTCTTGGCTGACTGCAACCTCTGACTCCCTGGTTCAAGTGATTCTCCTGCCTCAGCCCCCTGAGTAGCTGGGACTACAGGCGCCCGCCACCACACCCAGCTAATTTTTGTATTTTTAGTAGAGATGGGGTTTCACCATGTTGGCCAGGCTGGTCTCGAAATCCTGACCTCAGGTGATCCACCTGCCTCAGCCTCCCAAAGTGCTGGGATTTACAGGCATGAGCCACTGCGCCTGGCCAAAATTTCCCGTCTTTTACATGTACAGTCCAGTCATGTTAAGTACATTCACTGATCTCCAGAACTCTTTATCTTGCAAAAATGGATACTCTATGCCTATTCCACAATTCTCCATTTCTTCCAGCTCCTTACCCCCACCGCTTGCCCATCACCGTTCTGCTGTCTTTGTGAATCTGACTACTATAGAGATTTCATATATCTGGAATCATACAGTATTTACCTTTTTGTGACTGACTTATTTCTCTTAGCATAATGTCTTCGAGGTTCTCTTTGCTTATTTCTGTTTTTTGTTTTTTTTGAGACAAGGTCTCCTTCTGTCACCCAGGTTGGAGTCAGTGGCATAGTCAAGGCTCACGGCAGCCTCGACATCCTGGGCTCAAGCAATCCTCCCACCTCAGCCTCCCTAGTAGCTGGGACCACAGGCATGCACCACCATACCTGGCTAATTATTTTATTTTGTGTAGAGATAGGGTCTCACTATATTGCCCAGGCTGGTCTGGAACTCCTGGACTCAAATGATCCTCTCACCTCAGCCTCCCAGAAATTCTTTGTATATTCTGAATATTAATCCTTTTTCAAATATATGGTTTACAAATAGCTTCTCTCATTCCGTGGGTTGTCTTGTCACATTTTTTATAGCGTCCTTTGATGCACAAAAGTTTTTAATTTTGATGAAGTCCAATTTATTTTTTCTCTTTTGTAGTCTATGCTTTCAGCATCCAATGATATCCAAGAAATAACTGGCAAATCCAATATCACGAAGATTTCCTCTATGTTTTCTTCTAAGAGTTTTCTATTTTTAGCTTTTCTATTAGAGCTTCGATCTATTTTATTTTTGTATATAGTGTAAGACAAAGGTCCAACTTCATTCTTTTGCATGCAGATACCGAGTTTTCCCAGCAACCACTGTTCGAAAAAAACTGTCCTTTTTCCATTTTTCCAAAGAAAGTACACAGCCAGCCAGCACGCGAACAGACGCTCAGCATCATTAGCCATCCAGGGAATGTAAATGAAAATCACAGTGAGATTCACTTCACACCCACCAGGGTGACTGTAATCAGAAAGACAGAAATGACAAGTGTTGGTGAGGACATGGAGAAACTGGCACCCACATACACAGCTGGTGGGAATGGAAAAGGGGGCACCTGCCCTGGAAAAGTTTGACAGTTCTTCAAGACAGTAAGTGTAGAGCTACCATATGACCCAATAATTCTACCCCTAGAGACAAGGGGTAGAATGCTTTTCCTTCTTTTTTTTCCTTTTTGAGACAAAAGAAATGAAAACCAGGCTGGGCACAGTGGCTCACGCCTATAATCCCAGCACTTTGTGAGCCCAAGGTGGGCGGATCACCTGAGGTCAGGAGTTCGAGATCAGCCTGGCCAGTATGGTGAAACCCCATCTCTACTAACCATACAAAAATTAGTCAGGCATGGTGGTGTGCACCTGTAATCCCAGCTACCCAGGAGGCTGAGGCAGGAGAATCACTGGAACTGGGAGGTGGAGGTTGGAGTGAACCAAGATTGTGCCACTGTACTCCAGCCTGGGCAAGAGAGAGAGAGACTCTGTCTCAAAAAAAAAAAAAAAAAAAAAAAAAAAGAAAGAAAAGAAAAAAAGAAACGAAAACCTATCTCCATACAAAAACTTGTCTACAAATATCCATGGCAGCATTAATTATAATAGTCAAAAAGTGGAAACACCCCAGCTGTCCGTCAACTGATACATGGGTCAATGAAATGCGATTGGGATATTACTCAGCAGTGAAAAGGAAAAAAGTCCTTATCCACACTGCAGCATGGAGGAAACTTGAGAACACAATGCTCAGAGAAAGACACAAAGGCCACAGGTTGTGTGACTGTTTCCATACAGTGTCCAATTTCCACTTTCCATACAAAATCCAATTTTAGATATGTCCAGAATAGGCAAGTCTATAGCAAGTGGATTCATGGTTGCTTAGGGGTAGGGGAATGAGGATTGTGGGGGTGAATGCTACGGGGCATGAGGTTTCTTTAGGGGGGTGATGAAAATGTTCTAAAATTGTGGTGTGTGGTGATGGTTGCACAACTCTCTGAATAGACTAAAAGCCACTAAAATGTACACTTTTTTTTTTTTTCGAGAGAGGGTCTTGCTCTGTCACCCAGGTTGGAGTGCAGTGGCACGATCAATGCCCACTGTAGCCTCCATCTTCCGGGCTCAAGCAATCTTCCCATCTCAGCTCCCCAAGTAGCTAGGACTATGGGTGTATGCCACCATGTCCAGCTAATGTTTGTATTGTTTATAGATAGGAGGTCTCCCTATGTTGCCCAAGCTGGTGTCGAACTCCTGGGGTCAAGTGATCCTCTCTCCTTGGCCTTCCAAAGTCCTGGGATCACAGACATGAGCCACCATGCTCAGCCAGAAGTATACACGTTAAATAGGCAAATTGTAGGCCAGGCGCGGTGGCTTATGCCTATAATCCCAGTACTTTGGGAGGCCGAGGCGGGTGGATCACGAGGTCAGGAGATCAAGACCATCCTGGCTAACATGGTGAAACCCTGTCTCTACTTAAAAATACAAAAAATTTAGCCGGGTCTGTTGCCGGGCGCCTGTAGTCCCAGCTACTTGGGAGCCTGAGGCAGGAGAATGGTGAATGAGCTGAGTGAGCCACTGCACTCCAGCCTGGGTGACAGAGCCAGACTCCGTCTCAAAAATAAATAAATAAATAAATAAATAGGCAAATTTTATGGTATATGAATTATATCTCTTTAAAGCTGCTTAAAAAATAGACAAGATATACCATTATTTGAGTTGAGAGGTGCCTGTGGGGGCACAGCATCAGGTACTCAGCCCTGGCTAGGTGTGTTCAAGGAGGGCTGCCTGGAGGAGGTACTAGCCAAACTCTCCCGTGTAGGATGAATTAGCTTGATAAAGTGGTTGGTGGTGGGGAGGTGTTCATGCAGAGGGAACAGCATGTGCTAGAGCTGGTGGTGAGAGATTGCTGTGGGGGACGTTTCCTGGCTGCCTCTCTGGCCTTTATCCCTTTTTATTATTTATTTTTTGAGACAGAGTCTCACTCCGTCACCCAAACTAGAGCGCAATGGCACAATCTCGGCTCACTGCAACCTCTGCCTCCAGGGTTCAAGTGATTCTTGTACCTCAGTCTCCTGAGTAGCTGGGATTACAGGTGTGCACCACCATGCCTGGCTAATTTTTTTTTTTTTTGTATTTTTGTAGAGATGGGGTTTCACCATGTTGCCCAGGCTGGTCTTGAACTCCTAACCTCAAGTAATCCACCCTCCTTGGCCTCCCAAAGTGCTGGGATTACAGGTGTGAGCCACTGCACCTAGCCCTTTCTTCCCTATTCTCGACTGGACCTCACATTCTTCAGGCTTGTGGTTTAGGTGGGACTGACCCCCACTCCTAGCTCTAAGCTTGGGCCTTGATTGGCTGAAGCTTATCAACACACCCCTTTTCTTCCCTCCTTGCCCCTTGTGTTGATTGGTTCAAGAACAGACAAATGGCCCCCTTCAGGCCCATCTGGGCCAATGAGACCCAGTTCCTAAGACTTGATTGGCAGGGTCAGGGGTCGGGAAGAAGTGGGTCTTTTTCAGCAAGATATGAACACCGAATAGAAGCCCTAAGCTGCTGCCTTCAGCCAAGTGGAGTGCCTTCCTGGGAACGGCTCCACTACGAAGGAAGCAGAGCCAGACATGCAGAGAGGAAAACCAGATTCTCTTATAGCCTGTGAGCCCTGGATCAAGCCTTGCCTGAAGGCATTGTTGCTGGACTCAAGTTTCATGAGTCAAAAAGTTCCCTTTTTGCTTTATCCAGTTTGGGTCAGGTTTTCTGTTGCTGTAAAGTGCTTTTGCAGATAATTGTTACTGGAAAGGGGTCCAGATCCAGACCCCTAGAGAGGGTTCTTGGATCTTGCACAAGAAAGAATTTGGGGTGAGTCCATAAAATGAAAGCAAGTTTATTAAGAAGCTAAAGGAATAAAGAATGGCTACTCCATAGACAGAACCGCCCCAAGGGCTGCTGGGTTTTGTTGTTGTTGTTGTTGTTGTTTTGTTTTGTTTTGTTTTTGAGATGGAGTCTTGCTCTGTTGCCCAGGCTGGAGTGCAGTGGCGTGATCTTGGCTCACTGCAACCTCCACCTCCCAGGTTCAAGCGATTCTCCTGCCTCAGCCTCCCCAGTAGCTGGGACTATAGGCGTGTGCCACCAAGCCCAGCTAATTTTTGTATTTTTACTAGAGACAGGGTTTCACCATGTTGGCCAGGCTGGTCTCGAGCTCCTGACCTCAGTTGATCCGCTTGCTTTGACCTCCCAAAGTGCTGGGATTACAGGCGTGAGCCACCGCACCCAGCCTGGTTGCCCATTTTTATAGTTATTACTTGATGATATGCCAAACAAGGGGTGGAGTTATTCATGCCTCCCCCTTTTAAATCCTAGAGGGTAACTTTCTGTCATTGTCATGGCATCTGTAACCTGTCATGGTGCTGGTGGGAGCGTAGCAGTGGGGACGACCAGAGGTCACTCTCGTCGCCATCTTGGTTTTGGTGGGTTTTGACCGGCTTCTTTACTGCAACCTGTTTTATCAGCAAGGTCTTTATGGCCTGTATCTTGTGCCGACCTCCTGTGTCATCCTGTGACTCAGAATGCCTTAATCGTCTGGGAATGCAGCCCAGTAGGTCTCAGCCTTACTTTACCCAGCCCCTATTCAAGATGGCGTTGCTCTGGTTCAAACACCCTGACAGAAGGAGCACACGAGGCGTCGGGGAGCCTGAGGGTCTTCACAGTCTCCCTGGAGCATCTGGGGGGGCTCCCCAGATAATGTTGGGGCAGAATTCTGAAAGAGGAGAAGGGGGTAATTAGGGAAGGAAGGGCAGGGCTGTCACAGGGAGGACTGAGACAAAGTGTCCCTCCTGAGAATCTGCGGAGGAATTCATTCATCACAGTGGCAGCCTAAGAGTGCCCTGTAGGCAGGCAGGCAGGCAGGGAGCCAGGTGGGACGCATTAGCGAGGGCCCCAACCCCAAGCCAACACTGAGAGAGTAAGAGGGGGCTGAGTTGGCACTGCCCCTAGATTAGCTCATCCTCCCATCTTGTTCTTTTTTTTTTTCTGAGATGGAGTCTCGCTCTGTCATCCAGGCTGGAGTGCAGTGGCACGATCTCGGCTTACTGCAACCTCTGCCTCCTGGGTTCAAGCGATTCTCCTGCCTCAGCCTCCTGAGTAGCTGGGATTACAGGCACACACCACCATGCCCGGCTAATTTTTGAATTTTTAGTAGAGACAGGGTTTTACTATGTTGGCCAGGCTGGTGTCGAACTCCTGACCTCAGGTGATCCGCCTGCCTCAGCCTCCTGAAGTGGTGGATTACAAGCATGAGCCACTGCACCCGGCACCTCCCATCTTATTCTAAAGTGAGGTCCAAGGGGATCACCCAGGAGCCCTGGCTGGGGAGTCTGGGTGTGCTGTCTCCTGGACCAAGCCCTTTCCAGATACCACTCTGGGTTTTGGCTGGAAGCAAACCTTCCAGGCCTGAGCCCGGGATAAGGCTGATTTTGTTGTTTTTGAGAAAAAGCTCCTTTGCTTCATCTAGAGTTCCCATTCTAGAGGGCTCCTTTGCCCTCCCTGCTTTTCGGTGAGTTTGCCTCTTTCTCCTGCCTTTTTACTGTCCAGGCCTCAGAAAATCCATCAGCGGGTGGCTGCATTGATTTTTAATCACGTTTTACCTCTGTGGAATGAGTCTCTCTGGACCCTTTGGAACTGCTCTGAGCATCGGGGATCCAGAGTGTCTTGCACTGGGCGATTCAGACAGAATTATGAACAACGCTGCATTACTCTTCTGGAGGGGCCTGCTGGGAGCCTTGTCCACACGGCAAAGCAGGGGAGTGTCTAGGGCCACTCAGGAGGCAAAGGGCCTAACTGTTGCAGGGCCTTCCAGGCTAAGGGCTGAACCTCACCCTCCGACCTGTAGACCATCAGAGACAGCTGGTAACCACTGGCGCGTAAGTCACCCCCAAGCCACCAGCCCATTTGGAAGATACTTAAACCTACATATTCCCTTCTCTCTAGTCTATTTTCATTCTGTCCCTCAGCCCTCTGAAGGGCACCCAGTGGCTGGCGAGACCCTGTCACCAGCTTGGTATTGAGAGGTATCTTAGTCTGTGTGGGCTGCTATGGCAAAATACCATAGACTGAGTGGCTTATAAACAACAGAAACTTATTACTCACGGTTCCAGAGGCTGGGAAGTCTAAGACCAACGTGTCTGCAGATTCCATGTCTGGTGAGGACCTGTTCCTCATGGCCATCTTCTCACTGTAACCTCACATGGCAGGATTTCTCTGGGGCCTCTTATTTATTTTTTGAGACAGACTCTCACTCTGTCACCCAGGCTGCAGTACAGTGGCACGATCTCAACTCACTGCAACCTCTGCCTCCTGGGTTCAAGTAAGTTTCCTGTCTCAGCCTCCTGAGTAGCTGGGACTACAGGCACATGCCACCACGTCTGGCTATTTTTTGTATTTTTAGTAGAGACAGGGTTTTACCATATTGGTCAGGCTGGTCTTGAACTCCTGACCTCAGATGATCCACCCACCTCAGCCTCCCAAAGTGCTGGGATTACAGGCGCGAGCCACCGCGCCCGGCTGGGACCTCTTTTTAAGGGCACGAATCCCATTTGTGACAGCTCCATCCTCATGACCTGATCACTTCTGAAAGGCCCCACCTCCTCATACCATCATCTTGGGAGTCAGTATTTCAACATAGGAATTTAGGGGAGGCCGGTTTGGTGGCTCATGCCTGTAATCCCAACACTTTGGGAGGAAGAGGCGGGATGATAGCTTGAGCCCAGGAGTTCAAGACCAGTCTGGACAACATAATGAGACCCTGTCTCTATATGTTAAAAAAAAAAAAAAGAAAGAAAGAGGCCGGGCGCAGTGGCTCACGCCTGTAATCCCAGCACTTTGGGAGGCCGAGGCAGGCAGATCACAAGGTAAAGAGTTCGAGACCAGGCTGGCCAACATGGTGAAACCCCTTCTCTACTGACAATACAAAAAATTAGCTGGACACGGTGGTGCATACCTGTAGTCCCAGCTACTCAGGAGGCTGAGGCAGAAGAATCACTTGAACCTGGGAGGCAGAGATTGCAGTGAGCCGAGATTGTGCCACTGTACTCCAGCCTGGGTGACAGAGTGAGACTCTCCGTCTCAAAAAAAAAAAAAAAAAGAAAAAAAGAAAGAAAAGAATGAAAAAGGAATTTTAGGGGAACACAAATATTCAGTCCATCACAGCATATTTCCTTCCAGTGGAGCAGGGCTGAGGACCACGAGGAGCGGGAGAAGCTGGGTGGTCAAGAGCTAGAGAGAGGCCAGTCTCCATGGACTGCCCCCCATTTTTGCCTCTTCTTCCACTTCCTGTCCCCGACCTGGAACCCAGCTCTGGGCAAAGGCAATTGGGTATTGCTGTTGTTGCTGGACAGGAATGGGGGCTGAGGAGCTGCTCCACTCCCCCGTCTCCATATTTCACCTGTTGGGAGAATAGGAGGAGGGGCTGGGTCACTAGGTTGGGTGCATTTCAGAGCCCAGGGAGCAGATACCATTGTTTTGCAAATGAAGCCCAGGGAGGTAGGGGGCTGTCCCAGACCTCCTGCCTTGCTGCAAGTCCTAGAGAGTGTTCCAGAACTTCACCTAGGCCTCTAAACTCTCAGCCCACCTGGGGCTTTTCGTACATCCTATTTTTTTCTTTTTTTTTTTTTTCGAGACAGAGTCTTTCTCTGTCATCCAGGCTGGAGTGCAGTGGCGTGATCTCGGCTCACTGCAACTCCACCTCCCAGGTTCAAGCGATTCTCCTGCCTCAGCCTCCTGAGTAGCTGGGATTATAGGCACCACTATGCCTTATTTTTTTTTTTTTTTTTTTGAGACGGAGTCTCGCTCTGTCACCAAGCTGGAATGCGGTGGCACGATCTCAGCTCACTGCAACCTCTGCCTCCTGGGTTCAAGCGATTCCCCTGCCTCAGCCTCCCGAGTAGCTGGGACTACAGGCACATGCCAACACGCCTAATTTTTTTTTTGTATTTTAGTAGAGACGGGGTTTCATCATGTTGGCCAAGATGATCTCAATCTCCTGACCTCGTGATCCGCCCGCCTTGGCCTCCCAAAGTGCTGGGATTACAGGCGTGAGCCACCGGCTAATTTTTGTATTTTTACTAGAGACAGGGTTTCACCATGTTGGCCAGGCTGGTCTTGAACTCCTGACCTCAGATGATCCGCCCGCCTCAGCCTCCCGAAGTGCTGGGATTACAGGTGTGAGCCAACACGCTCAGCCCTTTTTTTTTTTTTTTTTTTTGACGCAGGGTCTCACTCTGGTTGCCCAGGCTGGAGTACGGTGGCACGATCTCAGCTCACTGCAGCTTTGACCTCCTGGGTTTGGGTGATTCCCCCACCTCAGTCTCCCGAGTAGCTGGGACTACAGGCATGTGCCACCATGCCTCGCTAATTTTCTGTATTTTTAGTAGTGATGGGTTTTGCTATGTTGCCCAGGCTGGTCTTGAACTCCTGGACTCAAGCAATCTGCCTGCCTTGGCCTGAGTGCTAGGATTACAGGTATGAGGCCTAATTTGAAACATTCTTCCTCTCTGTTCCTTGGAATCCACACAAAGTCCTGTCTGACCACCTGTAGAGGGTCAGTCTTCAAAGGCCAGTCAAGAATCCTGGGTTGAACATGGAGCCCCAGGCAGGGCAGGCGGGAGCCAGGCACCACCATCGGCACAGCAGCCAATGAATGAGGTCTCGAGGCAATTGAGAATGAAGGGCACCTGCAAATGACAGGTGTCCCCTGGTGGCTGGACCCCAGGAAGGGGCTGTCAGGCTCCATCTGTGGAACCTCAGGAGCCTTGCTGGTGGGGTCCCCTCAGGCCCTCCTAGGGCTGCTTGGAGGAAGAGGCTATGGGGGTGGAGGGCTGGTAAAGGTAGGCTGACTTACCCACACAGCAAGCGCTTGGTAGCCCCAAACACCAGGACCCCTCTGCCTTCTGCCAACCCCAGCAAGGTGCCCACAAAACTGGGCAAAGTAACATGGTGGGTCACAGCAGAGCACACATCTCTTTGTAGCTAGATTTCGGGATTTTTTTTTTTTTTGAGACCGAGTCTCACTCTGTTGTTGCCCACGCTAGAGTGCAGTGGCGCGATCTTGGCTCACTGCAACCTCTGCCTCCCGGGTTCAAGCAATTCTCCTGCCTCAGCCTCCCGAGGAGCTGGGATTATAGGTGCCCGCCACCATCCCTGCCTAATTTCCATATTTTTAGTAGAGACGGGATTTTGCCATGTTGGCCAGGCTGGTCTCAAACTCCTGACCTCAGGTGATCCACGCACCTCGGCCTCCCAGAGTGCTGTGATTACAGGTGTGAGCCACCGTGCTCAGCGATTTCAGGCTTTTTATATGACACAGTGAGCCCAACATGCACAGAGAGGGGCTCAGACAAGCCTGACTTGAATCCTTTATGGCCAGTCACCAGCTGTGTGACCTGGTCCCCAGCTCCTCAACCTCTCTGGGCCTTGCTGCCTAACCCGCAGGATCCTGCAAAGGCTCAGCGAGCTGATGCACAGGGAGTACGTGGCGCCCTGCCTGGCACACAACCAGGCGCAGTAAGTGGTAGCTGCCATTGTTGCCGCTGGACTTACTAATTACCAAGGCTACGCCAAATTCAAGTCTAAAAACAAGAGCCGCTAAAGGACTCCAGAGAAGGCAGCGTGTCCTGCTTTCTCTCCTGGTCAATTCTGATGCCTCAAGACTGGCCCCCAACTTAGAACTGTTTTGTTTGTTTTTTTGTTTGTTTTGAGACAGAGTCTCGCCCTGTTGCCCAGGCTGGAGTGCAGTGGTGTGATCTCGGCTCACTGCAACCTCCGACTCCTGGGTTCAAGCGATTTTCCTGCCTCAGCCTCCTGAGTAGCTGGGATTACAGGCTCGTACCACCATGCCCGGCTAATTTTTGTATTTTTAGTAGAGACGGGGTTTCCGCATGTTGGTCAGGCTGGAACTTAGAACTGTTACAGCACACACTGTCTCAGCTGGACGGAACCTTGAAGCCCCTCATTGTACAGACAGGGAAATCGAGGCCCAGAGAGTGAGAGCGATTGTCTAAGTCTGCACCAGAGGTTAGTGGGCTTGGAGCCCAGATAGTCGCCTGGGATTATTGGATTCCACGTGTGGCTGACCTTAAGGATGGACTTCATGTCATTGCCAAAGGGCAGCTGGGGGTGGGGGACCGAAGAGGCCACGTCCACCCATTCAGCATTGTTGTTGTGGCTTCACTTTCAGTTGGGCATGGGGCAGGCAGCAGTGACAAGACACACACAGCCCTGCCCTCATGGGGTGGGGCTCCTGGATTGGCCCACATATAACTCATGTATGGGGGCTGAGACCCTGGGAGAACTGGGCCAGGACCTATCCCTTGGATCTGTCTGGGGGAGTCCATGTCTCAGACCCGGCTTGGGAAACCAGCAGGTGTCACCCTAACGGGCAGTGCTGGGACAGGCCAGATGGTGGGCAGCTCCCTGGCACCAGAGTGCGGAAGGGCTCCAGGGCCTGGCTCCTCCTCCCAGCTCATGGTCTGAGCGTCTCTGAGCTTGACCCTGGGAGAGCCCGCTGCTTGGAGGCTCAACTAGGAACCTGGTCAAAGCATCCACCCCACACCGGGAGGAGCAAGCCCCAGTTCACCTTCTCCCATCTGTAAGATGAGCACATTGGACCTGGTGGTCTTTGAAGTGTACCTCCCAGCTTTGAAAGCTCTTGAATCCTATGATAGATGGTATTTGGGGTGACTGCCCAAAACCCCCTTTCCTGAGGGTAGACCTCTGGAGCCATAACGACATGATCCCACCCTCATTGGCCACAGCTGATTGGACTGTGCCAAACAACTGGCTCATGTGGGCCATTCAGATCCTCCCTCCCAGATTCGGGCACTGTGACTCAGCCATCAGTCTGGTGGGCACGTGAGCTGGGGGGAAGGCGAGATCCAGGCGGGGGCAGAGGCTCAGGGAAAGCTGTCTATAGAGACAGAAACTGCCCTGATAGCTGGGGTCCCGGGACTTTTCCTTTAGCCTCTCCCCACCATTCATTCCCCATACTTGCAGACAAAGCACCTAAGTTACTTTGAGGCACCTCTCCGGCCCCCGCCCCTCCCGCCCCACCTACTAGGAGCAGCCTTGGCGAAACTGTCCAGCAAGCTACCCTGCCTACCTCCTGTCCGGTGTGGTCCTGTGACCCCTGCATACCCTCTCCTGGGACTTATGTATTTATTTATTTACGTTTTTGAGACGGAGTCTCGCTCTGTTGCCCAGGCTGGAGTGCAGTGGTGGGATCTTGGCTCACTGCAACCTCTGCCTCCTGGGTTCAAGCGATTCTCGTGCCTCAGCCTCCCGAGTAGCTGGGATTACAGGCACCTGCCACCACGGCCAGCTAATTTTTGTATTTTCAGTAGAGATGGGATTTCACCACGTTGGCCAGGCTGGTCTCAAACTCCCGACCTCAAGTGATCCACCCACCTCGGCCTCCCAAAGTGTTTTGATTACAGGTGTGAGCCACCATGCCGGGCCTCCTAGGACTGAATTTTGAGCAAACGGCTACACAGAGGGAGGAGAATGGCCAGGGCCAATGGCTGTGTCCTGAACTGACAGTCTGGAGACCCCGTGCCCTTGTTCCTGCTGTGTCGACCCCAGATCCTGCAGATTCCCAGGCCCTGCCCTTCCTCCTCTCCTGAGCGCTTCCACACGCATGTTGCCAATTCTGCTGCCACCTTTGGTCTCTGTTGCAGGCCACCCTAGAGCCTGGGTGGTTGGAGAGAGGAACCAGCTCCCTCCCAGTGGCTGTCCTCACTGTGGGTGCCCTGGCTGGCTCTCCTGCCCTTCTACTAAGTTCTCCTTTTTGCTTCATTGGCTTGGGAGCTTCTAGCCTTGCAAACAAAGATTCCCTGGCCTTCCCTCAGACACACGAAAACCGTGAGTGAGAAAATGACAGGCGCTGGGGAACACAGCCGGTTCCCCTGGCCCCCGGGAGAGTCTGTACAGCTCAGCCCACCACTGCCCCATGCTGGGATACCAGGAGGCCTCACCGAAGCCTCGATACTCACTGGGGAAGGTGAAGTTCATAGAGGGCATGTCTTCCCCAGGAAGCAAGAGGCTGCGAGGACCAGAACACACTGCCTGATGGCTCCCTGGAAAGAGAGCAAAGAGGTCCCTTCTCACACGCAGGGCACCTAAGAAAACTGAGGAGGGGCCGGACATGGTGGCTCACGCCTGTAATCCCAACACGTTGGGAGGCTGAGGTGGGCAAATCACCTGAGGTCAGGAGTTCAAGACCAGCCTGGCCAACACGGCAAAACCCTGTCTCTACTAAAAATACAAAAATTAGCCGGGCATGGTGGTGCACCTCTGTAATCCCAGCTACTCCAGACGGGCCATGCCGGGAGCGGAGGGCCGAGGGCTGTGGTCAGCCCGCTCCAGCAGGAGGACATGAGCCAGGCCTGTCCAGAGGGCTTCTGCATCCTCTTCTGGAATAAGGACCAGGGAGGTACCTGTTTCATGCCCAGGAGGTCACGATAGCGCCTATCAGCGTTAAATGCCATCTGGTCCTCGCAAGGAGCCCCGTCCCCTGGTTCACTGGCTTGGGGGTGCCCCCAGGTCAGGGTTTCCCCAGTGTGGGGTGGACACCCCCAGTGACCTAGGAGACAGTGATGTCAGGGATCACACAACCTCGTACCACACAAGTTTGTGCCACTGTACTCCAGCCTGGTGACAGAACAAGACACTGTCTAAAAAAAAAAAAAAAAGAAAAAAAAGAAAACTGAGGAGGGAGGCCTTTGTCCCTCTCCAGATGGACTTTGCATCTGTCTCTCAACAAGCAGGCTGCATGTTTATTCACAAATGCACTCGGCTCGGCAGCTCCATGTAATGACTGCTTCTCCCATGCAGGAGAGGCCAGCTTCAAGGTCCACAGCAGGCACCCGGGGCACCTCCATCCCCACTTACCACGGAGGAAACCGAGGCTCAGGGGCCACACGCCCAGCCCCGGCCCCACAGCCAGGACTAGCACTCAGACTGCTGGTGTGGGGGCCTTTCCACAGGAAGTTTGGTGACATGGTTTCTTTTTTTTTCTTTGTCAATAATAAGTATTATAAGAATATTGCTAAAACAAATATATTATTGTTTGTCAGTATTAATAGCCAGGTTTTACTAAATAGTGCTAAGCATTCTACACACATCACTTAACTCTCATAACAACCCTTGTGGGGGTGGGTGGTATTTTTATTATCCCTACTTTCCAGATGAGAAAACAGAGGCTTAAGGAGTTTAAGCGACTTACCTAAGGCCACACAACAAATAAGTGCAGTCCGGCTCCAGGGCCCGTGCTAACTAACCAGTGTTCCACTCTGTTTTTCTCTCGCACAACAAAAAAACAAGGACTGGCCAGGGGGCCCAGTAAGGCTGTGACCACCATGGCAGACAGCTCTGATGTGTGGGGATGCCCATCTCCTGGTCCTGTCTGAACACAGACTTGCAAATTGCCATTTGCCCTGAGTGGGGAATGATGTACTCCAGGTGAAGTCAGCCTGCCACCTGGCAGGCGAGGTGGGTGGGAGACACTATAGAATTCTTCCTAAGGGAGCACAGAGACACCTGTGCCCCAGCTGACTACTCCTCCCCAGTGACTATGATTGACAGCATAAGGGATCGAGCCACTCCCTCCAGCTGATTCTGCCTTGCCTCCCATTCCTCCCGACATAATGGTCCAGCAGCCACTACCCATGGGCTGGAGTTGGCAGCCTGCTGAAGAGGATGGTGGGGACAAGCGAGAACCAGCTCAGCGGGAGCCGGTGCGTGGTTACTGAGCTCCTGCTGTGGGCTGGCCACCTGCCGATGTGACATCAGAAGCTGAAGGAGCTGGTTGCTGGGTGGGCTCTCTCCACCACTGTCCATCCTGTGAATTTCAGCACTGTATTAGTCTGTTCTCATGCTGCTGATAAAGACATACCCAAGACTGGGTAATTTATAAAGGAAAGAGGTATAATGGACTCACAGTTTCATGTGACTGGGGAGGCCTCACAATCACGGTAGACAGCAAAAGGCACATTTTACATGGTGTCAGGGAAGAGAGAATGAGCTGAGTGAAAAGGGAAACCCTTTATAAACACATCAGATCTTGTGAGACTTACTACCAGTATGAGGGGAACCACCTCCATGATTCAATTATCTCCCACCAGGTCCCTCCCACAACACATGGGAATTATGGGAACTACAATTCAAGGTGAGATTTGGGTGGGGACACAGCCAAACCACATCAGGTACATTCCACAGACCTACTCGGGAGGCTGAGTGCTTCACTCCCTTCACCTGAGCCTCCCGCTGGGGTTTAATGTCACTCCACTCACCTGTAGGAAATGCTCTCTTCACTCCCCAATATCTTCTCCCAGGGGAGCAGGGACTCATACAACAATGGGCTCCTCGTGGTTCTTCTTATTTTTTTAGAGTTGGGATCTCTCTCTGTCACCTAGGCTGCAGTGCAGTGTGTGATCACGGCTCACAGCAGCCTCCTTGAACTCCCAAGTTCAAGCAATCCTCCTGCCTCGGCCTCCTGAATAGCTGGGACTACAGGCATGCCACCAAACCCTGCTAATTTTTAAAAACTATTGAGAGATGGGGTCTTGTGCTATGGCCCAGGCTGGAGGGCAGTGGTGCAATCATGGCTTATGATTCTTCAGCCTCAAACTTCTGGCCTCAAGCGGTCCTCCTGACTCAGCCTCCTGAGTCACTGGGATGATAGGTGTGAGCCACTGAGCCTGGCTTTCCTCATGGTTATTTATTCCATAGGACATTGGTTCTTCAGTATGCTAAAAGGAGTTTTAAAAGAATGTCCTACCCAAGTAAGTGTGGAAAATACTTCATTAAATAACACAGATTTCTTTCCTGCAGGACTTCTCAGAGCATTTACTATGCTAATGTGCATTGTGACTGGTCAACAGGGTGCTTATAGTATGGGATGCTCCCTAAAAACATTTGACAAGGGAATTTGTTTCCACCCAGGACATGTATACCACAGAAACTGGTTTTTCTTCAGAAGATACTGGATTATATACTTTTGACAATGTTTCTTTTAAATTTGAAGAACAAAATATGATCTAAAACTACTTCATTATTAATAAAATACAGTGTTGGCCAGGTGCAGTGGCTCGTGCCTGTAATCCCAGCCCTTTGGGAGGCTGAGTTGGGTGGATTGCTTGAGTTTAGGTCAAGACGAGCCTGGGCAACATAGTGAGACCCTTACTCTTAAAAAACAAAATAAAGGCCGGGCACAGTGGCTCACACCTGTAATCCCAGCACTTTGGGAGGCTGAGGCGGGCAGATCACGTGGTGGTGGGCGCCTGTAGTCCCAGCCACTTGGGAGGCTGAGGCAGGAGAATGGCCAGGACCCAGGAGGCGGAGCTTGCAGTGAGCCGAGATCACGCCACTGCACTCCAGCCTTGGTGACAGAGCAAGACTGTCTCAAAAAAAAAAAAAAAAAAAAGAAAGAAATACAATGTGACAAACACGGTGGCAGGTGCCTTTAAATCCCATCTACTTGGGAGGCTGAGACAGGAAGATTGCTTGAGCCTAGGAGTTTGAGACCATCCTGGACAACATAGTGAGACCCCATCTCAATTTTAAAAAAGGACAGACAGGCCGGGTGAGGTGGCTCATGCCTGTAATCCCAGCACTTTGGGAGGCTGAGGTGGGAGGACTGCTTGAGCCTAGGAGTTTGAGATCAGCCTGGATAAGATGGCGCAACCCCATCTCTACTAAAAATACAAAAACTAGCTGGGCATGGTGGCGTGTGTCTGTAGTCCGAGTTACTCAGGAGGCTGAGGTGGGAGGATCACTTGAGCCTGGAAAGTCAAGGCTGCAGTGAGCTGTGATTATACTGCGCTATAGCCTGGGAAACAAGAGTGAGATCATGTCTCAAAAAAAAAAAAAAAAAGAGAGAGACAGAGAAAAGAAATATAATGTAAGCACATCTGAAGTTGTTTTTTTTGTTTTGTTTTGTTTTGTTTTTTGAGACAGGGCCTTGCTCTGTCACCCAGGCAGGAGTGCAGTGGTGCGATCTGGCTTACTGCAACCTCCATCTCCCAGGTTCAAGCGATTCTCATGCCTCAGCCTCCCGAGTAGCTGGGACTACAGGAGCCTGGCATCACACCGGCTAATTTTTCTATTTTTTGTAGAGACAGGGTTTCACCATGTTGCCCAGGCTGGTCTCAAACTCCTGAGCTCAAGTGATCCGCCCGCCTCAGCCTCCCAAAGTGCTGGGATTATAGGCGTGAGCCACCGTGCCTGGCCGTTTTTTTGTTTTTTGAGACGGCGCTTCACTCTTTTGGCCCAGGCTCTAGTGAAATGGTGTGAGCTTGGCTCACTGCAACCTCTACCTCCCAGGTTTAAGCGATTCTCCTGCTTCAGCCTCTTGAGTAGCTGGGATTACAGGTGTGTACCACCACACCTGGCTAATTTTGTATTTTTAGTAGAAAAGAGATTTTACCATGTTGCCCAGGCTCGTCTCAAACCCCTGACCTCAGGTGATCCGCTGACCTCAGGTGATCCACCTGCCTCAGCCTCCCGAAGTACTGGGATTATAGGCGTGAGCCACCTCGCTTGGCCGTTTTTTTATTTTTTGAGATGGAGCTTTGCTCTTTTGGCCAAGGCTCGAGTGAAATGGCACAATCTTGGCTCACTACAACCTCCGCCTCCTGGGTTTAAGCGATTCTCCTGCCTCAGCCTCCCGAGTAGCTGGGATTACAGGCGTGCCACACACCCAGCTAATTTTGTATTTTTAGTAGAGAAGGGACTTCACCACGTTGGCCAGGCTGGTCTTGAACTCCTGACCTCAGGTGATCCACCCACCTTGGTCTCCCCAGGTGTTGGGATTACATGTGTGAGCCACTGCGCCCGGTATTTTTCTTTCCTTTTCTTTTTTCTTTTTCTTTCTTTTTTTTTTTTTTTTTTGAGATGGAGTCTCGCTCTGTAGCCCAGGTTGGAGTGCAGAGGCACGATCTCAACTCCCTGCAGCCTCTGCTTCCCAGGCTCAAGCGATTCTGCTGCCTCAGCCTCCTGAGTAGCTGGGATTACAGGCATGCACCACCACGCCCAGCTAATTTTTATATTTTTAGTAGAGACAGGGTTTCACCATGTTCGTCAGGCTGGTCTCGAACTCCTGACCTCATGATCCGCCCACCTCGGCCTCCCAAAGTGCTGGGATTACAGGTGTGAGCCACCACGCCCGGCCGTTTTCTTTTTTTTTTGAGACAGGGTTTCACTGTGTCGCCCAGACTGGAGTGCAGCGGCGAGATCTTGGCTCACTGCAACCTCCGCCTCCCAGGCTCAAGCCATTCTCCTGCCTCAGCCTCCCAAGTACCTGGGATTACAGGCATGTGCCACTACCACCTGGCTAATTTTTGTATTTTTAGTAGAGATGGGGTTTCTCCATGTTGGCCAGGCTGGTCTTGAACTCCTGACCTCAGGTTGATCCACCCGCCTCGGCCTCCCAAAGTGCACATCTGAAATTTTAAACTTCCTAGTTGGCACATTAGCAAAAAATTTTAAAAGGTGAAATTAATTTTAATACTATATATTTACCCCATTACATCTGAAACATTTATCAATTCAATATATAACGAAAATAAAAATATATTAATTAGGTGGCTTTTATTCCTTTCCTTGTACACGAACCTTTGGAATCGGTGTGTATTTGGTGCTCACTGTGCATCTCCATTTGGACTGGCCACATTTCAGGTGCTCAGTGGCCACATGTGGCTGGGGGGCCTCCCTGTTGGACATCACAGGTCTAGGCGTTTGCTACCATAGGGGAGTAGACGTCTGTGAGGGTTTGGATGTCACGGTTTGGTTTGTTAGAGGAACAGAGATGAGGCAGGCAGGGCCTCATAAGCCTTGTAGAGGCTTTCCCCTGAGAGCAAAGAGAAGCTTCGCTGGGGGGATGGATGCGGAAGATTAGCAATAGAAAGTCTTACTCTGGCTGTGGTATGGGGATTTGAGAAGGAGCAAGAAAGATGCTGCAGAAATTGCTTTGATGGCTTGGAGAGAGAGGGTGGTGGCGGGATTCCACTGATTGTGGTGGAGGTGCAGAAAACTGTCCAGCCACCCAGCAGGCGGAGCTTGCAGTGAGCCAAGATCGTGCCACTGCACTCCAGCCTGGGCGACAGAGTGAGACGCCGTCTCAAAAGAAAAAAAAAAAAGAAAAGAAAGAAAGAAAAAAGAAAACTGTCCAGCCCTGAGGGATTTTTTTTTTTTTTTTTTTGAGATGGAGTTTCTACCTTGTTGCCCAGGCTAGAGTGCAATGGCGCGATCTCGGCTCCCCGCAACCTCTGCCTCCCTGGTTCAAGCGATTCTCCTGCCTCAGCCTCCCGAGTAGCTGGGATTACAGGCATGCGCCACCACGCACGGCTAATTTTGTATTTTTAGTAGAGATGGGGTTTCTCCATGTTGGTCAGGCTGGTCTCAAACTCCTGACCTCAGGTGATCCACCTGCCTCGGCCTCCCAAAGTGCTGGGATTACAGGCGTGAGTCACCGCGCCCGGCCGAGGGCTCTTTAAGAATTGAAACCAACGGACAAGGTGTGGTTGATTGCATACAGAGGATGGGATTCTGCAGAGCAGGAAGGGCCAGGAATGTTTCAGACTCTGGCTGGAGCCTTTGGTTGTCAGCGGACCATTTGTAAAGGAACAAGGATTCTTTTTGTGGGGAGTGGACCGCGGTGAGTTATGTTTAGGGCCTGTTGAGTTCGAGATGCTTACGTGACATGAGAATGGATACTCCCGGTAATGCACCTACCTACAGGTCCACAGACTAAGCCCTTGGAAGGGGGATAGGCCAGGGCTGTTCATCTGGCAGAGGAGGAAACCGGGGCTCAAGGATGCAGCAACTGAGCGGAGCATTTGATCCAGAGTTTGCCCAACCTGTGTTTAATATTTTCCCCATGGACTTCCTGGAAGAGCAACCGAGCAAGCTTCCCTAACCCTAACCCTAACCCTAAACCCAAGCCAAAACCTAACCCTAAGCCTAAGCCAAACCTTAACCCTAAACCTAACCCTAACCCTCACCCTCACCCTCAGAAGAGTGAGCTTATGAAACCGTAGCAGGGACCCTTTTTGCTGAAAGGCAAGGGGGAGGGCTAGAGGCTGGGTTAAAATGCAGATTGCCAAGCTATGCTCCAACCTCAGTGACATTCATCGTGTGTGGAGTGGAAGCTGGGGATCTGGGTCATGGACAGGCCCCCTGGGGGAGTCTTGGTGATTCTAGAAGGCCTCTACTTTGGGGTATTTGTGGATGAGTGAAAAAAATTGACAAAATACTTTTCTTATTCAAAAGAAATGTGTGAGCTGGATGTGGTGGCACACGCCTATAATCCCATCATTTTGGGAGGACAAGGTGGAGGGATTGCTTGAGCCCAGGAGTTCAAGACCAGCCTGGGCAACATAGTGAGACCCCATCTATACAAAAAATTTAAAAAATTAGCTGGGTGTGGTGGTGTGTGCCTGTAGTCCTGCTGCTAGGGAAGCTGAGGCAGGAAGATCACCTGAGCCTGGGAGGTCAAGGCTGCTGTGACCCATGATTGTGCCACTGCACTCCAGCCTCGGTGACAGAGTGAGACCCTGTCTCAAAAACAAACAAAAACCACAAAACAAAAACACAGAAGCAATGTGTTTAATTGTAGAAAACAATCTGTAGAAAATACAGATGAGCCCGGGCGCGGTGGCTCACACCTGTAATCCCAGCACTTTGGGAGGCCAAGGCGGGTGGATCACCTGAGGTCAGGAGTTTGAGACCAGCCTGGCCAACTTGGTGAAATCCCGTCTCTACTAAAAATACAAAAAAATTAGCCAGGCGTGGTGGCGCATGCCTGTAATCCCAGCTACTTGGGAGGCTGAGGCAGGAGAATCACTTGAACCCTGGAGGTGGAGGTTGCAGTGAGATGAGAGCTCACCATTGCACTCCAGCCTGGGCAACAGAGCGAGACTCCATCTCAAAGAAAAAATAAATAAAATAAAATAAAATAAAATAAAGTAAAATAAAATACAGATGAGATTCTGAAATTAGTGGTGATGGTTACACAATATAGCAAATATACTAAAATGGCTGAATGTGTGCTAATTTAAAATGATGAAATTTATGCGAATTATATCACAAGAAAAAAATGCAAGGAAAAATGCAGATGAGAGAAAAAATAAAAGTGACTCATAATCTACCTGTACTGACAACTGATAGGATTCCCTGGAAGCCTGTCCTTCAGACAGCTTCCTACATGGGTGCAGAGATTTATTTTCATTATTCTATACACAACGGTTTATAACCTGGGTTTTAAAAATCATTTAATTTGACTTATTTATTTATTTATTTATTTTGATACGGAGTCTCACTCTGTTGCCCCGGCTGGAGTGCAGTGGTGCAATCTTGGCTTACTGCAACCTCTGCCTTCCGGCTTCAAGCGATTCTCATGTCTCAGCCTCCCAAGTAGCTGGGACTACAGGCAGTGCACCAACATGCCCAGCTAATTTTTGTATTTTTAGTCGAGACAGGGTTTCACCATGTTGACCAGGCTGGTCTCGAACTCCTGACCTCAGGTGATCTGCGCAACTCAGCCTCTCAAAGTGCTGGGATTACAGGCGTGAGTCACCACGCCCGGCCTGGTTTTGTTTTTTCTGAACATAGACCTCAACATCCTCCTTGGGTGTTTCACAGACATCTCAGATCCATTGCTGAGATCATCACCCCCTCTCTGAACCTGGTCCTCGTCTGGTGACCCCATTTTGAGAAATGCATCCATCCCTCAGGGGCTCCTGGACACCACCAGGGGGCCACTCTGACGCCTCTGTCTCCTGTAGGGCTGCTCTTCCCAACCCAGAGATCCACGGTCATGCCTTCCTCTCTTGTCCCTCCAACCCACATCTAATCAATGGCCACTCAATTTCCCAAGTCCTCAATGGCATCTCTGCCTTCACCCTGCCTGCTCCAATCTGCACAGCAGCCAGAAGGATCCCTTAACCTGTGAATTGGCCATGACACCCCAACTGGAAGATGGGCTGCACGTTTTTCGTTTGTTTGGTTGTTTTTCTCTTTTTTTGAGACGGAGTTTCACTCTTGTCGCCCAGGCTGGAGTGCAGTGGCGCGATCTTGGCTCACTGCAACCTCTACCTCCCAGGTTCAAGCACTTCTCCTGCCTCAGCCTCCTGAGTAGCTGGGACTACAGGTGTGCGCCACCACGCCCGGCTAATTTTTGTATTTTTAGTAAAGATGGGGTTTCAGCATGTTGGCCAAGCTGTTCTCAAACTCCTGACCTCAGGTGATCTGCCAGCCTCGGCCTCCCAAAGTGCTGGGATTACAGGTATGAGCCACTGCGCTCAGCCTGGGTTGCACGTTTTTTTCACTTAAACATCAAAATCCTGTAGTGGAAAGACCTGGAACCTCTGCTTCTTGGATTGTGACCAGGGCATCAGAGAGCAGATCTGAGTCCTTCATGTGGTGGCTCAGGCTCAGCATTTTAAGCTGATGTGGGCAGGGACCTTTTCAGCTAAAAACCAGGTCAGGAAGAGGGATGGCTGGTCCCAAGGCCCAGCACTTTCCCACATGCCGTCCCCACATCACGGGGGTCCAAAACACTCCCCCCACCCTTCCCCAAGCAGTTCCCATGCTTCTCCCTCCTTCCTAAAACACATTCTTCCCTGGCTTCCAGCACTGCCTCCTGGTGGTCTTCCTACCTCCCCGTCAGCACCCCTGCTGTCTCCCTGGCCTGACCTTCTCAGCCTACACTCCCTCCCTCGGTGACCTCATCCTGTCTCAAGACTTTAAAGGGCATGTCTGCCAGGATGGCTCCCAGTGCATACCTGCAGCCTGGACCTGTCCCTGAACTCCAGACGCCTGTGCCACCTGCTTTCTCCCGTCACCACTTGGACATCTGGTAAGCATTTCACACCTCACCTGTCTGCAGTAAGATTCCAGCTCTTCCTGTCCAAACCTGTCCACTCCCCATCTTAGCAAATAGAAACCCCACTCTTCCATAAGCTCAGCTCAGAAAGCCCGGCCTTGTCCTTGAGTCCCCTCTCTCCGTCTCATACCTTCCAGCCCCCAAATGTCTCTCCTGCCTTCCAGCCCCCAAATGTCTCTCCTGCCTTCCAGCCCCAAATGTCTCTCCTGCCTCTAAGCATACTCCATCCACTCCTGCTTTCCCCTGAAGCCCCTGCCCAGGCTGACCCCCGGGCCCCAGGAAGTCTTCAGATGGGGATGGACTTGCTGGCCTGGAGGAGCTCATTCTGCAGAGGAGGTAGGATGGGCCTCAGCTGGAGGGATCTGGTGTAGACTTGGGAGCAGAATGTCTCCCAACCTTGAAGACCAACTCAGAGGAGACAGCAGTGAGGGAATCCTGCTCTCACTACCCTCAAAATGTCACCGAGTCTAGCCAGTTCTGTGTCCTCCAAGGCCACACTACACGTGGCCACCACCACCTCCTGGCTGATGATACAGTGACCTCTGGCAGTTCCCCATTCTTACCCATCTGTGCCTGGAGTCAGTTCTCCCTGCAGCAGCAGCTGAAGGGGCCGGCTAAGCACATCAGATCCCTTGAGTCGGGAGTCTGACCTTGCCTCCCCACTCTGCACCTCGCCCTTTAAAGCCCACCTTACTGTACCCCTGCAAGGCCACACACAAGGCTGTACGTGGGCCAGCTGGGCTCCACCTGGGCTCTGCCACGGGGCCTGGGCGATGCTCCCCCTCTGCTCTCAGTGAGGCTCCTTCTCTAGCCAACACCACACACCTCCGGCCCTCAGCCCTTCCCATTTTCCTTCCCGCCTCATTTTTCTTCTTTCACCTGTGAGATACATTCTACTCATGCAGCGTATTTATGGTTTCTTTTTTCTTTTCTTTTCCTTCCTTCCTTCCTTCCTTCCTTCCTTCCTTCCTTCCTTCCTTCCTTCTTTCCTTCTTTCTTTCTTTCTTTCAGACAAAGTCTTGCTCTGTCACTCAGGCTGGAATGCAGTGGTGCGATCTCAGCTCACCACAACCTCTGCCTCCCAGGTTCAAGTGATTCTCCTGTCTCAGCCTCCCAAGTAGCTGGGACTACAGGCGTGCACCACCATGCCCGGCTAATTTTTGTATTTTTAGTAGAGACGGGGTTTCATTATGTTGGCCAGGCTGGTCTTGAACTCCTGACCTCGTGATCCGCCCGCCTTGGCCTCCCAAAGTGCTGGGATTACAGGCATGAGCCACTGCGCCCCCGTGTTTCTGGTTTCTATGCTGCACTTATGCATGTTGTTTATTGTTTATAGCACTCTCCCCTCACGAAAGTGTAAGGTCCCTGATGGCAGGGATCTGGTCTATGTCCCCAGGGCACATAGTAGGTGCTTAGTAAACATGTCCCGAATGATGGGATGAATCTGTGAAGTCCCTGAGTTCCTTGGCAGGTGTTCCCATGTATGTTCCCCCACCCTCTCCATTCCTTGCATGGTGTTTGTTGCCAGTGTGATTTTGTGATCGCTGTGCAGCAGGTCGGGTCAGATCCGTGAGCTCCCATGTTGGTCTCAGTGCCCAGCACGGCACCTGGCACAGGGGCAGTGAGCAAGAAATACTCACAGGATGAGTACCTGGGTTTCTTGTGTGTGTGTGTGAATGCATGTGAGTGTGTGAGTGTGTGTGTGTGTGTGTTGAGACAGGGTCTCATCACCTAGGCTGGAGTACAGTGGTGCCAACAGGGCTTACTTCAGCCTCTACCTCCTAGGCTCAAACAATCCTCCTGCCTCAGCCTCCCGAGTAGCTGAGACTACAGGCATGTGCCACCATGCCCAGTTAATTTTTTTTTGTATTTTTTGTAGGAATGGGGTTTCACCATGTTGCCCAGGCTGGTCTTGAACTCCTGAGCTCGAGCCATCCACCTGCCTTGTCCTCCCAAAGTGCTGTGATTATAGGCATGAGCCACCATGCCTGGCCTGCCTTCCCTCCCTCCCTCCCTTCCTTCCCTCCTTCCTTCCTTCCTTTCTCTTTCTTTTTTTCTCTTCTCTTTTCATGTGTGTGTGTTTGTGTGTGTGTGTGTGTGTGAGAGAGAGAGAGAGAGAGAGAGTCAGGGTCTTTCTCTGTCACCCAGGCTGGAATGCAGTGGCACAATGACGGCTCACTGCAGCCTCGCCCTGCTGGGTTCAAGTGATCCTTCCACTTCAGCCACCCGAGTAACGGGGAGTTAGGCATGTGTCACCAAGCCCAGCTAACTTTTAAAAATTTTTGTAGAGATGAGGTCTCCCCTGTCAGGCTGGTCTTGAACTCCTAAGCTCAAGTAATCCTTCCACCTCAGCCTCTCAAAGTGCTGGGATTACCAGCATGAGCCACTGCACCCAGCCTGAGCACCTGGGTTTCTAAAGGGCTTTAACTACTACTGCTGTCATCCAGCCAGGCCCTGGTTCCCGTGCTGGCTCTCCCTCCTCCCAGGCAGGATGCTCAGCACAGTCTGGTCAACTGTTAGCCCCCCACTGTGGGCCCCTCACTGCTGTCCACTCTGAGTTGGTCCTCAAGGTTGGGACATTCTGCTCCCAGGTCTACACCAGATCCCTCCAACTGGGCCCACCTCCTCTGCAGAATGAGCTCCCCAAGCCAGCAAGTCCATCCCCATCTGAAGACTTCCTGGGGCCTGGGGCTCAGCCTGGGCAGGGGCTTCAGGGGAAAGCAGGAGTGGATGGAGTATGCTTAGAGGCAGGAGAGATATTTGGGAGCTGGAAGGCACTCGGCCCTGCTCAGGGTTCCTCTGAGCTTTCTGGACCCTCCGAGGTTAGAACACTGTGGAAAGAAGGGAGAAAGAGACCCCACTCCTGCCTCATCCCTGCTAGCCCCGGGGAGGGCTGCCTCATCCTCCCCGCTCTCTCCCCTACCCCAGGGCCCCAGCACCGGGTGTCATTCTTTCCTCCGTCCTTCGCTCATTCACAGAGATTTGCTGGGTAACACCTCAGGCGGCCTTCTGGGTTATGGAGATGCCTCTGCCCTCTGGGAGGGTGTTCTCCCATGGAAGAGACAAACAGGATGCAGAAAACATAGGTGACGTTTGTGATGGATGTGAAGGAGAGAAACTAAAGCCGAAAAGGATAGGAGAGTTCTCAAGATATGATGATATGTTGGATGAGGTGGACCGGGAAGGCCATGCTGGACCTACCACCTGAACCACACCCCCCTACGCGAATCCACTGGCCTCTGTCCATTCAGGTGGAGCCTGTCACCCCAGCCTCGGCTCAGAGAAACAGCTCTGAGCAGCTCTGACCTGTCACTCCAGCAGCTCTGACCCATCACTCTCTGCTGAAGTCCTTTCATGGGCGCTGGTGGGCAGGGGCCCAGCTCCTCGGCGAGGGGCCTCTCCTGGCCTGCCCCGTGGGCCCTGCCCTTCTCCCAGGTCCCCTGTGCCTGCAGCCGTGCGCAAGCCCGCAAGCCGGGGAACTCTCCCTCGGGCATGCAGGCCTCCCCGCCTCTCCAGGTTGCCTGGGCCAGAACGCTTCTCCATCCACCTCCCTTCCTGACCCTGGGTTTGGAGGTCTCCTGCCCCCAGGCCGAGAGTAGGTGCTCCCACCGCTACCTGCCGCATCCCGCACAGCCCCCTGCCCGCCCTGCGAGGGCTGGGGCACTCCTGTCCCGTGGGCCGCCGTGTCCCCGGCACCCCATGAATCCGTGTCGAATGAATGAATGTCTCCGGGCCGGGACCTGGCCTCATTCACATCCGATCTTCCGGGCCCTCCCCGCCGCGGCGGGGGCCGGAGCGCCAGGGCTGGATTCGGGGAGGGGGTGGCGGGGGTGGCTGCCCCGCCCTGGGGCCGCGTTGAGCCGAGGGGACGCCCCTCCGGCTGGCTGGCGAGGCCGGGGTCCAGCTGGCGGAGGCCGCGGCCAGGCGGGTGCGGGGCGGGAGGTGGCGCCGGGCGCTGAGTGGCGGCTCCGGGTCCACCCCTGGCGCGCGGGTGCGGGCGGGAGGGGGGAGGCGGGAGGCGGGGAGCGCAGGGGCGGCGGCAGGCGGGAGGCAGCAGCGAGCATGTGCCGCGGAGCCCAGTAACCAGGGACGACCGCGGCCACACCGCGCCGGCGCCGGCGCCCAGCCCAGGCAGCCCCGCGCCGCGGCGCCCGGACCGCCCGGGCCTGCCCAGCGGCCGCCCCACGCCCCGGGCGCCCCGGCGCCGACAGCCGCGCAGCGCAGCGCGGGCGCCGCAGACAAAGGCGCGGCCCCGGCCCGGCCCGCCCGGCCCAGCCGCTCCTGCTGGGCGCCCCAACCGGGTCCGGCCCGGGGGGGCGGGGGCCGCGGCCGCCGAGGATGGGGAAATCCAACAGCAAGTTGAAGCCCGAAGTTGTGGAGGAGCTGACCAGGAAGACCTACTGTGAGTGCTCCCAGCCCCCAGCCCGCGCCCCGCGGTCACCCCCACACCCACCGCCCCCGCCCCCGCCCCCCGGACCCGCGCGCTACCCGCTCCGCGCTGCCGCCTCCGCTCCGTCCTCCCCGCCCGGCCTCCAATGTGGACCCCTCGGAGGTTCCCGGGCCGCGCCCCTGCCCCCCGCCCGGCCCCATTGTTCTGGCACCCCCAGCCCGGGGAGTGCGCGCCGGTCGGCGTGCGCGGCGCCACCCCTAGGTCCGGAGGGGCAGCCCCAGCCCCCTGGCGGCCCCCTCTCCGCAGAGCTGTCCCAACGGGCAGGGGCTGTTGCCAGGGTGGGGCGGTGGTCCCGGGAGGGGGCGCCCGGCTGCGCGGAGCCGACTGGCACGAGCGCGCGGGGCTGGTGATTCATGCATCACGATGCCGCCGCCGCCGCTGCTGCGAGATTGGCCTGTCGCCCCCTCCCTGGCCCCGTTCGTGTGGGGGGGGGGGTGGCGAGACTTGGCACAGCGCTCGTCGTGCGGTGACGGCGGTGAAGGGTCCCCGGCACCCTGTGGGTTGCAGCACTTACAGGCTGGATTCTCCCTGGCCCCATCTCTGTCTGCCACACCGGGAAGTGGGTTTCTACAGCCCGGGTCATCTGGGCCGCGTGTGATCATTAGCTGTCGCGGGCTGCCCGGAGGAGGATGGCCTGTCCTTTCTGGGCGTCTCCAGATCAGCCTCAGTGTGTCTCCCTCCACTTGCCTAACTTCACAACTCTGCAGTCCCCTTGCAGTCCTAGTTTCTCCATACCAGGCTTCCCCCTTCCCTGCAGCCTCTCCGGAGGTGCCCTGGCATACCAGGGGTTAATGGTAATGGGTCCAGACCACCCAGGGGATTGCCAGAGGGAAGGCTTCAGCATCGGGGTCTGGAAGGACCTCTGCCTGGGTGTTTGACTTGGAAGGGGACAGTGGTTCTGGGCTTGGGTTGGAATTCAGAACCCATCCCCGGGCAGCTGCGTGGGCCCAGGCCCTCTGCACCACCCCTGGAGGCAGCAGCTTGACCGCCAGCCCCATGTGTTGATGGAGGCTGGGGAGGCAGCTCCTGGTGGTGCATTGCACAACCTCTGCTCCCCGCTTCCCCCCACTCCATCGGCCTTCTGGGCACGTCTGCAGGTCTGTCCAAGCCCACGCTTCAGCTCCATGCCCCTCACCCCTCATGCTTGGAACAAAGGGGGCTTTCCTGAGCGGGTGCTAGTCTGCTGCGAGGTGCTGGCCCTTCTCCTGTGGAATCCTGCAGCATGGAGCTCACATCCCAAGAGCTGCTACCTGGAAGGGGTGAAGCCCCTGGGCACAGGGGCTGTTCTCACCCTCTCTCCAAGGTGGGCAGGTGGGTGGCCCATTCCAGTCTGGCTGCTGTTTTGTGAGATTCGCTGGGGACTCCTTCAAGCTAAGTCCAGATGTGGCCCACAGCCGCCAGCAGGTGGACTTCCTGGGTCCCTGTGCCGGGGGAGGGTGAGGACACCGTGGGCTCCATCAGGAGTGGTGGGCATGGGCTGCACGGGATGCCTCCATCATGGTGGGACAGGGGAGTGAAGCCAGGTTTCCTGCTCATCGAGCATGTCACGTGCCAAGCTCTTGGCATCATTAGCACCTCGACTCTGCCACAACTGCTCTACCAGGCTGGGTGCTGCTACGATCTCCATTTACAGATGGGGAAACTAAGGCTCAGAGGGGCAAAGTGGCATTCCCATGATCCCACAGCTAGTGACCAGGCAGTGCCAGGACTTGAACTCCGGTCTGTCCTGCTCCAAGGCTAGTGAGAGACTTCAGAGCTCGTGCCAAGAGCTCTTCTGGGCCAGGCACAGTGGCTCACGCCTGTAATCCCAGCACTTTGGGAGGCCGAGGCGGGTGGACCAGCCTGACCAACGTGGAGAAACCCCCATCTCTACTAAAAATACAAAATTAGCTGGGCATGGTGGCACATGCCTGTAATCCCAGCTACTCGGGAGGCTGAGGCAGGAGAATCGCTTGAACCTGGGAGGCGGAGGTTGCGGTGAGGTGAGATTGCTCCAAGAGGGAAACTCTGTCTCCAAAAAAAAAAAAAAAAAGCTCTGCTGGGTGTCTTTTTCTGGCTTTTGCTAGAAGCCCATGATGGTGGATTCTAAATGGGAAGGGCCTGGGGTGATAGTCCTGTCCGGCCCCCTCCTCCGGGCAGATCTGTCAACTTTAAGAGAAGTTGAGTCAACAAAGCTTTGTTAGGAACTGGCCCTTGTGGTGCTGGGCTGGGCTATTTTTAAAGGCCTTTGGAGACGTGGAACAGTTTTGGGCAGAGAGAGAGTTGGCCTGGGTACTTTTCCTCTGTCGAAGCCCTTATTAGGGGTGGGCCGTTGGAGGTGGCGGTGGGTTCATTGGCCTCCTGTCTGCCTCCCGCGCTGACGTCAGCTCCCTAGTGCAGGCCCTTGTGTGTGGAGCTCACAGCTGTGTTCCCCCCATGTGTTGGCCTTTAGTAGGTTCACAGAATGAAAAGTCTCCCAACAGGACAAGCAGAGAAAGCTTCCAGCTTGTTCTCCCGCCCCCAGATGGGCTTCCTTCTGATGGGGAGTGGAGCCATCTGCTCTTTGTTCTGGGGGATTCTGTGTATGGGGTCAAGAGAAGCGCCCCAGGAAGGACTCTCAAATGTCAGAATCTCCTGGTTGATTAATAAACATGAAGGTACCTGGGCTGCCCTCCCGGATTTCCGATTCTTTAGGTCTGGCTGGGGCCCAGGAATTTGCATCCTTGACACGTGTTTGTGCTGCAGATGGTGGTCCTGGGGAGCCCGGATTGAAGACCACAGTTCCAGTGTATGCTGGGGGTCCTAGCCCACCTCATGCATAGCTGGCCACAGTGCCAAGGGGGCCTAGAGGGGAGCCATGGGTCCACGTCCGAGTCGGTGCTGGGCAGTGTCCTTGGTGGGCGTCTCTGGCTCTGTCTGTGGTGGTCTGTGTGTGTGAGGAAGCAGGAGTGTCTAAAGGCCCCAGCAGTGTGGCCCTCACTGGACACACTGGGATTCCACCTGGCTCAAACCCTAACCCAGTCCTCAGCCTTCCACCAGCAACAGGTTAGGGAGAGATGGACAGGGTCACTCTGCAGCCAAGACTTAGACAGTGGCAGTCAGCATTGCGGGCGGCCCAGTTTCTTTCAGGTCTGGCCCACTCTCTTCCAACCTGCTGGTGAGGCTGTTGGCTTCCCCGTGTGTCCCGGCTGTGGGATGGGCCGGTCCCCTCACCTACCTGAGCCTCAGTTTCCTCATCTGCAAAATAGGTGTGCTCATGGCACCTGAACTCAGAGGATGTGAGAAGTCAACAGGGTAACTCATGTGCAGTGTGGGGCCTGATATGTGGCGTGGGGTATGTGGTCAGTAAATGCCAGTGATCGTAATTAATGCTTATTTGTTCATTTTCTTTCTTTCTTTCTTTCTTTCTTTCTTTCTTTCTTTCTTTCTTTCTTTCTTTCTTTTTTTTTTTTTTTGGAGACAGGGTCTGGCTGTGTTGCCCTGACTGGAGTGCAATGGTGCAATCATGGCTCACTTAAACCTTGACCTCCTGGGTCCAAGCAATCCTCCTGCCTCAGCCTCCCCAGTAGCTGGGACCATGGGTGTACAACACCACACCTGGCTAATTAAAAACATTTTTTTTGTAGAGTTAGGGTCTTGCCCTTTTGCCTGGGCTGGTCTCAAACTCTTGGCCTCAAGCAATCCTCCTGCCTTGGCTTCCCAAAGTTCTGGGATCACAGGCCTGAGCCACCGCACCCGGCCTTAATATATATCATTTTGACCATACAATACAGCTTCATCTTGAACTGGGCTTATGTGTATTTTGTGGGCAAATTTCTTCTCTCCACAGAGGAATCTTGCTGACTCTGGTCTTTGTGCCTGGCACACAGAAGGTGACATCTATGACTGCTGTGCCTGAATCCCAGCAGGGGCCTGCTCTTACGTGTAGCGGCCTCCGCAGCCCCACTTGTGAATTGTGAAGCTGCCCTGGCCTGTTCATTAAGTGCTCACTGTGTGCCAGGCATGGAGACAGAGGAGTGGACCAGAGAGATGGAATCCCTGGCCTCAGGAGGAAAGCAGCCGGGTTATCCGAAAACTCCAGCATGGGGGTGCAAGCCATTTGTGGTGGTCTGAGCTGCATCCCCTTAAAGGCTTCTGAGGCCACTGCAGGCCCAAGCCAGCCAGGCCCAAGAGGCACAACCTCTGCCCTCCTCCCTTCTCCTTCTCCTCCCCATGATGTTTGCGGTCCTTCCCAGGGACCCTCGGTCTGGGACTCAGGGGTGGCCACCTCCTCCCTGTTGCCTTTGGTCAGCCCAGGCTCTGCCTTGACCTTGCCTGCCAACCTTGACTCTCCTCTGCCTTTTCCCTAATGCCCAGAATGGTGCCGGCACACAGGAGCAGGTGGAGGGCAGGAGCCCACGGCTGACGCCTCTGTGACCCCGAGCAGAGGACGGGTCCCTGGCTCCAGGTTGGGGTCAGCAGTTGGGTTCTTGGGTGTCTCTGGTTGTGGACTGTCCTGGGGCCCATGAGGGCCCCTTCCTCTAGGGTGAGGAATATTCTCTGATCATCACTCCCCACCCAACTCTGCTCAACCAGGGTGGGCCAAGCTGCTGCCTTCAGGAGGCAGTCACTGGAGACCATCTTGGGACAAAGCTGGGGGTTGTGTGATGGCTGCGTGGGGACATGGAGGGCCCACAGCCAGGCACAGGGTGAGCCACAAGGAGAGGAAAGGACCAAAGCAAGGGAGGGGCTTCGGCCGTCCCTGTACATCCCGTGTGCGTGGGCATGAACCAAGGAGGCCTTTCCTTTCTCTGACAGTGGAGCAGAGCAGCAGCAGGAGAGACTGAGGTGGACTCTCGGCATCGGGATGGGCATCTGGGCAAGAAACATCACCTGTGTTATTAGGAGAGGACTCGATCCCCTGCGGTGCGGGGCTGGGTCCTCACTCGGCCTTGGTGACCTTGGGGAAGTCCCTTGGCCTCTCTGAGCACCAGCTTGCTCATCCTTCAGACCTGCCTTCCAACTCCATGGATCTAAACAGGAGAAGCTTTGCAGTCCGGGGAGCGGGCCAGAAAGACAAAGGGGTTGTTTGGCAGGAGAGTCCCTGGGAGGGAAGGAGGGCTCAGGGGCGAGTTCTGCGGTTCTGGCCCCTTCCTTGGGCAAACCTCCTCTCACCGGCTTCACTTTCCGCCTCTGGAAAATGGGCAGTTTTGGAAGGCCTCAGTGTTGAGGAGGATTCGGGGCATATGAAGGGTTTAGCTTGGTGCCTGGTTCTGAGGGGAACCTTTATTTATTTATATTTTTATTTCTATAGAGATGGGATCTCGCTATGTTGGCCAGGCTAGTCTCGAACTCCTGGCCTCAAGTGATCTCCTCCCATCTCGGCCTCCTGAAGTGTTGGGATTACAGGCATGAGCTGCTGCGCCTGGCCATGAGGGGAACCTTTCAAAACTTTCCTGGCAGCAGCTGGTCCTTGGGGTGCAAGTCTTCCGCATCCAGGGCAGGTGGCCTGTGGCCACCCCCTTGTACAGAGAGGGAAGGGGCAGCTGGTGAATGGCAGGGACTCACCCAGGCCCCAGAGCCCAGCCTCCTCCTCACAGGCTCTTTTTGCCCTTTCTGCCTCCTTGGGCTCCAGGTTAAATGGGACCCAGCTTCTCCCTTCCCTACATCACCCCACAGAATTCTCCCATCACCCCGTGTCAGGGGAAAGCCCTTTTCCCCGGCAGAGGCCTTGGGATCGGACCCAGCTCCTGCTGCTCCCAAGGCCTGTCTTAAACCCCTTTGGGGCAAGGCATGGGCAGTGGAGGGGGGTGGTGTCCTGTCGAGTGGGCCGGGCCCATGTCACCCTCTGAGAGGCCACAGGAAGGAATTTGGACATTATTCGAGATCCGTAGGGAGCCGTGGAAGGGAGGTGATGGAGACACATTAGATTTGGGTTTAGAAAAATTGTTGTTGGCTGCAGTCCCGGAATGGACTGGCGGGGAAGAGGGGTGGTAATGAGACCGAAGGTGATCATGGTGATGAACTGGAGTATCGGTGGGGATGACATGAAAGACAGATTCCAGATATATTTAGGAGGAAGACTCAGTAGGACTTGGTTTCCCTCCCCTCCCCTCCCCTCCCCTCCCCTCCCCTCCCCTCCCCTCCCTTCTTTCCCCTCCCCTGCCCTCCCCTCCCCTTCCCTCCCCTTCCCTCCCCTTCCCTCCTCTTTTTTTTTTTGAAACAGAGTCTTACTCTGTCACCCAGGCTGGAGTACGGTGGCACGATCTTGGCTTACTGCAATCTCCACCTCCCGGGTTCAAGCAAATCTCCTGTCTCAGCCTCCCGAGTAGGGGATTACAGGCATCCGCCACCACTCCCAGCTAATTTTTGTATTTTTAGTAGAGACGGGGTTTCACCATATTGGTCAGGCTGGTCTCGAACTCCTGACCTCAGGTGATTCACTCACCTTGGCCTCCCAAAGTGCTGGGATTACAGGCATGAGCCGCTGTCCCTGGACTCATAGTTTTCATTACCTTGTAAATTTGGGATTATCTACTTTTTATTTTCTGACTTAAAAAAACCTGACCATTCTGAATGTTTGCCCGTATCATGAACTATGCTTTTAGAGCATGATTTTTTTTCATGGTGCATCATATGGACAGAACATATTTTATTTAATCTCCTGTCATTGGACAGTTAGCTTCCTCCTCCCATATTGAAAATACTGAGATGAACATCTTTGTACCACATCTTTGCATGAATGTCTTTGCACTAAATCTTTGCACTTATCTTTTCTTGAAGATAAGAACCCAGAACGGGGTTATGGAGTTAAAAGGCTGGGGATGTTTTGAAAGGCTTTTGATTAAAAATTGTTGAATTGCTCTCCAGAAAGGCTGTTCCAGTTTACATTTTCAGCAAAAGTAGATGAGAGAGTGCCTATTTCTCTGCATTCTTGCCAGCACTGGGTATTACTGTTTTCCTTACTTCTTGCCAATTTTATGGGGAGGAAAAGAGGTGGCTCACTGTGTCAACATTTATTTCTTTGAATACTATGAAATAGAATCCTAGTATCTTTCAGCTGGAGGAGACTCTTGGGGCCAAGTAGTTCAATGCCCTCATTTTACAAGTAGGCAAATTAAGCGCCAGAAAGGTGAAGCATCTTCCCCAAGGTCACACAGCAAATATGTGGCAGGAACTGCTTTGTTCCTGTCAGGGCACCTCCCACTGTGCCAAGGTGAGTTGGCTGTTGGGGTTCAGATAGGGATGTCTTGCCTTCTTTTTATCTATCTATCTATCTATCTATCTATCTATCTATCTATCTATCTATCTATCTATCGAGATGGAATCTCACTTCCGTCACCCAGGCTAGAGTGCAGTGGCGCGATCTCGGCTCACTATAATCGCCACCTCCCGGGTTCAAGCTGTTCTCCTGCCTCAGCCTCCTGAGTAGCTCGTATTAGAATGTGCACCACCACACCTGGCTAATTTTTGTATTTTTAGTGGAGATGGGGTCTTGCCATTTTGGCCAGGTTGGTCTCAAACTCCTAGCCTCAAGTGGTGCACCCACCTTGGCCTCCCAAAGTGCTGGGATTACAGGCGTGAGCCACCACGCCTGGCCTAGGGATGTCTTGACTTCTTCACTGAGGTCTTCTGCTGGGGTTCATCTTGCCCCAGATATCTCTAGCACTCTGGTAAGAAAAAAAGCCAATATAAATTAAAAAGCACATCATCATTATGGTCATAACAAGATGAATCAATTTTCACATTCTGTGTGTGATCTATTTTGCAGGGCAGAGAGTGTCAGAGATTACGTTGCGGCGTTTCTAGGTAACTTGAGATTGGGGTCATATTCTGACCAAGGGCAGAACGGCAGGTGCTGAGGACTTGAAGGTCAGTTCTGCTGTTTCCTGGCTGGGCAATCCTGGCCAGCTCCTTACGTCTCTGAGCTCTGAGGTCCCTTGCGCATGAGACAGGGATGTTTGCACAGGGATCTGCACGTAGTAGGTGCTCAGTAAATGCTCTCCCAGGAAGGAGGCTGCTGGACCGGCTGTATCAGGGACAGCCGTTCTTGGCCACTCCCCTGGGCAATCACAGAGTGAGCTGTCACAGGCTCTTGGCTGAATTGGGAGCGAGTGGCAAACATGGAGGGCCTCTGTGGTGGCCCGGCTGGGTTGGTGGCCGGATTGTTCTGTGTCTGGCTCCTGGCTTGGTGAGTTGGGGAGGGAGAAGGGTTGTGGCAGGCTGGCTTTTAGGCTCCTGTGCGCCCAGGGGCTCAGAGGATGGACAGCAGCCTGCCTGGGATTAAGTCCCAGGACCATCATGGCCTGGACAGTGGCTTTGGAGTCACTAGTTCCCTCTGGGACTCAGTTTCCCTTTCTGTACCATGTTCAAATTCCCAGATAGTGAGACCCAGTGGGGAAGGTACGTCAGGGCCCCAGGGACGGAGTGTGCTTGGGCTGTGGTGTTCAAGACCCAGGCCCTTGGATCTTCTCAGCCTCAGGCATGGTTCTTAGCCTCTCGATACCTTAGTTTTCTTATCTGGGGGTTGGGGATAAGGGACTTCTACTACACAGAGCCGTGTGCGGGGTTAGGAATAACAGACGTTGAACTTGGCGGCTCATCTCGGCCCTCCTTTTGCTCCTGGTGGTGGTGGAGGATCTGCGAGCTGCAGCACGGGACGGTCAGGGGCTGTCACTGCGGTGAGAATCTGGTATTAGGCATGTTCCGTGTGACCCAGGCCTGTCCTTGGTGTTCACGTGTGTTCCTCACCAATTCCACCCAGGAGCCCTGTGGGGGTCCCCTTTTTACAGATGAGGAAATGGAGGCTCAGAGTGGATGAGAGCTGGCTCATGGTCCCACGGCTGGAGAGTGGTGCCATTGGGGTCTGATCCCCGTCCCCTCTCAGCCTGGAGTCTGCACACTGAAGCCCTGGGCCGCGGTGAGGGGCCCCTGCTTGGTGGAGGTGCCAGGGAGCCGCCATGGAGGTGTGCAGGTGAGCGTGAGCGGGCCCGGGTGCCTGGTGTGGGTGTTGCAGGCAGGGCGGGTGCTGCGGGGCACGTGGGCAAGTCCCGATTCACGTGGGCACGCTCCGAGCGTGAGTGACGGGGTCATGGCGTGTGTCAGGAGTGGGTGAGCCGGGCACTCCTGTGCGCACGCGTGTGGTGGTGTGTGAGGGCAGCTCTGTACAGGTTGTAAATGTAGGTGTGCCTGGGGGTGGGGGACGCTGGGGAGGGAGGCACAGACAGGCCGGGAGCCGCGCCAAAGGCTGGGAGCTCAGCTGCCAGGTCTGGAACCAGGTGATAAGCTGCCACTCCCCAAGGCAGTAGGGGAGTATTGTGGTTGGGGGGAGATGACAGCAATGACGACCACCGTTTACCCAGTGGGCACTCGGGACCAGGAGTGCTGAGTGCTGCCCTCTCCCCAAAGCCCTGGGAGTAGGGACCCTTATACCCATTTTACAGATGAGGAAAGGGAGGCCCAGGCAAGTTCAGGGACACGCCCAAGTCCCCCCAGCCAGCCAATCGATGGCCAGTCGGGGTTCAGGCTTAGATCTTTATGTTGCCAGAGCCACGCCCTTCCCACCCGGCGCCTGCCTCCCACCGTCTCTGTGAGCCTCAAAACCTTGGAGTTCCCTGCCAAGGGGAGGGAGCGCCCAGTCCCTGGGAGCATCCAAGCCGCTGCTGGAGCATCAGACACTGGCCAGGCATCCCGGACTCCTGGGCTGGGTGTGAGGTTGGTGGCAGATAGGATCCTTCCCGCTGGTTCCAGAGGTTCTGCCTCCTGCAGGAGATTTGGGGCAGCCTCCGCCTTGCCTTCCTCCAGGAAGGAGGCAGAGTTGAGGCCTTGTGGAAAGGCGGCAGGAGGAGAGGCGCTGATAGGAGTGTGTGGCGCAGCTGTGCCCTGGCCTCAACGGCTTCCTCAGCCTCCACCCACCCCAGTGGAGGCTCAGCAGGTGCTGACCGTGTGTGGGCGCTGGGCTGATCTCAATGGTCATCCTCCCGCCCTGGGAACTTAGGAGCAACGTACCGCCATCTTACGGTGCTGGCACCACCCCTGCTCCTGGGAAGCCTTGTCACGGACAAGGTGGTGAGGACTGAGTGCCCCTGGCCATCCTGCCCTGCCCTGTGCCTGGCTCAGCCCAGGTGCCTTCGGAGGTATCTGTCCGACAGAGAAAGAGACCAAGTCCTCACAGGTGCAGTGTGGGTTTTGGGGGCATGGTGGCCAAGGGGACCCCCGTGACTTTTAGCTCCTTGAGGTCTGGGCCACATCTTGTGGTCTTTGGTGTCTGTGGGGTGTGTGGCCCGGGGTGTCCTCGCCTCTGCAGAAGGCTGGGATCTTTCCGAAGAGTTTTTCCCTGCAGTGCTGTGGTTTGCTCTCCCTGGTGACCAGGACAGGACCTGCCTGTGCTCCTGACCTACAGTCTGTCGGGGAAGGGGGACAGCCAGGGAGTTGAGAGTTGGGTCCTGGTTCCAGCCTGGCTTGCTGTGGCCTCTGGCTGCCCCTCTCAGGGCCGCAGTCTCTCCATCTGTTCCACTCTCTGTGAGATGCGATGTCACCATTTCTCAGCTCCGGGTGCCCTGACCATGCGGCTGGGGGGGGGAGCTCCTTGCCCAGGAGGGGTGCAGGGCAGTTGCTGGCTTTGGCACTTCTGAGCCACCGAGGGGGCCCCAGGAAGCTGGTGAGGCATCCAGGCCACTGTGCTCTGGATTCCCTGGCAGGGGAGCAGGGGGAGGGCAGGAGGAATGTGGCTTTGAGGAATGTTTAACCCAAGGCAGAAATAGCACTCTGCCTTTTTATTTCAGGCTTGAGTTTTCAGCAGGGAAGTGGGTTCAGTGTGCCTTTCTCTCTCTCCAGCTGTGGGGCCATGGCCACCTCGGCTCCCCCACAGCCCTAGCCTTTGGGGATGGAAAGTGGCCTCTTTATCTCTCTTTCTTTCTTTCTTTTTCTTTCCTTCTCTCTCTTTCTTCCTTCCTTTCTTTCTTTTTTTCTCTCTCTCCCTTCCTTCCTTCTTTCTCTCTCTCTTCCTTCCTTCTTTCTCTTTCTCTTTCTCTTTTCCTTCCTTCCTTTTCTTTTCCCTTCCCTCCTTCTTTTCTTTTCTTTCTTTTTTTTTTTGAGACAGAGTCTCGCTCTGTCGCCCAGGCTGGAGTGCAGTGGCATGATCTCGGCCCACTGCAAGCTCTGCCTCCCGGGTTCACGCCATTCTCTGGCCTCAGCCTCCCGAGTAGCTGGGACCACAGGCGCCCGCCACCATACCCTGCTAATTTTTTGTGTTTTTTAGCAGAGATGGGGTTTCACTATGTTAGCCAGGATGGTCTCGATCTCCTGACCTCATTATCCACCCGCCTCGGCCTCCCAAAGTGCTGGGATTACAGGTGTGAGCCACCGCGCCCGGCGTCTTTTCTTTTCTTTCTTCTGCTATGGGAAACAGAAAGAGCCCTAGACTTGGAACCAAACAGAGCTGGGTTCAAATCCTTTGCTCTCCACTTCTAGCCCTGTGACCACTTCCTTCTCTGAATCTCTGCAGAACTGGGAGAGGGATGCTGAGCCAAGATGGCTTTTCTGGTGGTCTGGTGTCCGGGGCTCCTCTCAGGGACCCACAGGCCTGGATTCAAATCCCAAGGCCTCTACTGGTTAGTTCTGGGACCTTGGTCTGGCCTTTCCCACCGAGCCCTCAGACTTCATCTGTGAAATGGGCAGATGCCTCCCAGGATTGTGGATGGCATTCATGCGAAAACATTGGTGACAGGGCCTGGCACGGCTTATCCCAGGCTTTTAATCCCTCCTGATGCATCCCCGCGCCTTCACCTATAAAACAGGAAGACAATGCCTCTTGCAGACTTTTTGCTAGGTTGGATGAGGGAGCCATGCAGCGTGCTAGGGCAGCCCAGAGGCACCTTTTCTTTCTTTTTTTCTTTTTCTTTTTTTGTTTTGAGACAGAGTCTCGCTCTGTCACCCAGGCTGGAGTGAAATGGTGCAATCTCGGCTCACTGCAACGTCTGCCTCCCAGGTTCAAGCGATTCTCTTGCCTCAGCCTCCCAAGTAGCTGGGATTACAGGCGTGCACCACCACGCCTGGCTAATTTTTTTTTTTTGTATTTTAGTAGAGACAGGTTTTCGCCATGTTGGCCAGGGTGGTCTTGATTTCCTGACCTTGATCCGCCTGTCTCAGCCTCCCAAAGTGCTGGGATTCCGTGAGCTGAGATTGCGCCACTGCAGTCCAGCCTGGGCGACAGAATAAGACTCCGAGACTCCGTCTCAAAAAAAAAAAAAGGGGCTGGGGTTACAGGTGTAAGCCACCGCGCCCGGCCATCCCAGAGGCAGGCACCTATTCATCGGACCCAGCCCTCTGCTTCCTCCCACTGGCCATGGATGGGACCCATCCTCGTCCACACTCGCATCAAAGCCCAGCGGCTACTTCCAGGGGGGATGTCCTTGGGCCCGGCCTCCTCCTCAGTCCTGGTGGTGACGACATGTTTCATAGTCCCCCTTGATTCAGCTGGGAGCTGTGAGGACCGACTGCATCTTATTGCATGACTGCGTCTCGTTGCGTGGCTGCCGGAGTAGCCCCTGCTCCTAGAACAGAGCCTGTGCATATTGTTGGAATGAATGAGAAAACAAGTACATAAACGAGCAAGCCAATGAATGAACGAAGTTCCTTCTTATCCATCTTGGGCTTTGCTTTCCGTTTCTGTCCAGCCCTCTCCTACCTCCTGGGCTGGGGGAGGGGGGTTTTCCTCCGTGGCTGGGGGATCCTGAGAAGTGGGGTGTGGGGAGGCTGGGCCCCAGCTGGCCAGGCCTCGTGAGGACCCCAGACCCTTCTCACCTGCTGGGGCTGGGGAGTTGAGGAGGGGTCCAAGCCGCCAGCCAGCCAGCAAGGCCCCTCCTCCCGGCCCTGCTCCTGCCTCTTTGTAGGAACCGAAAGATTCCTGTTCAGAGGCAGGAGCTGGGGCTATTTTTGGCACTGTGGGGGAAACAGCGAATGCTTTCCTTCTGTTCAAAAATATATGGTGTGTGTGCTGGGCAGAGGAGGAGCTTGAGAGCTCAAAGCCTGCACTGGCCGGGTTCTTGCCCCTCGGCCAGTGGCCCCACCACCCCCTGCGCGCCCAGCAGCCCACACAGCCTTGCCGGGCCATTGTTGTCTTCAGGCTTTCCGTGATGAGGCCTTTGCTGCGCCTGAGCGCAACATGATCTCAATTAAAATGAAGAGCAGCTGTCAAAATCGCTGAGCGAAGCCTGCCTAGGTGCCCCGGCCATGATTCCCCAGCTCAGGTTCTGTGGAGCTGGGGACGGCCTTGAGAAGAGATCTAGGTGCATCTCAAGGAAGGAGGCATGGCCAGCAGGGAGCAGAGGGGAGGCCCTGGGTCCTGTGGGGGGCATGTGTGGCCAAACGGGTTCCTGGGCCACCTTGCCAGCCCTCACTCCTTGATTTAGAGAATGTTTATGGAACAGCTGCCTCGTGTTAGGCCCTGCGGATGCTGGGGCCACAGGGCAGGCTGGCTGGCTGGATTTCTGGCCCTGCTGGCATTCACAGTTTGGCGGGGAGGCAGATGTCAGGCTGGGATAAGCGTCAAGACAGGGCTTTGCACAATGGACTGGGAATCTCCCTGGTCTGGGGTGCATCTGGGAGGGCTTCCTGGAGGAGGTAATATTGTAGTTGAGACCCGGGGCTAGGGTTGCCAGACATACTGAAAAATGATTTGCTGTTTACCTGATATTTGAACTTAACAGGGTATCTGTATTTTTGTTTGCTGAATTTGATAGTACTGCTTGAGGGAGATGAGAAGTTTGCGGGGAGGGTTTGTGTGGGGGACGATGAGAGTGCTTCAGGCAGCAGGAACAGCATGTTCCAGGTCAGTCCTCACCTTCCAGGGCTCCCGAACCCCCAGCCCCAGGAAGGGGTGGGAGACACAGAGCTGGTCTCCATCACAGCTCAGGCAGAAGCCAAATTGGTCACAGAAGCCACACGGTCACATCTAATGTCATGGCCAGTAGAGCAGGGAGCCCTCTGGATGGAAGCCCTGAGAGGGTCCCAAGGAGGTGTCAAGGTTTGGCAACTCTGGGGACATGAAATTGCACGGTGACTGCAGCATAGAGGGCCTGTGGCCGTGAGGGTGCTGATGGCGGGAGGGCCCTGATGGCAGGAGGGCCCGTGCTGTGCTCAGCCTGGCTCCAAGCACGAGGGGCACTGACGAGCGATTGAGCAGCTCAGAGGTGAGCTTATGTGGCCAGAAGCAGATCCGCGGAAGTCCCTTGGCCTCTCCAAGCTTCGGTTTCCTGGTTGTGGAGTGGGGTTGCTGATGGCCCCTGCTTTAGGAGGTACCTGGAGAGGCGGGGCGGGGGCGCGGGCAGTGAGTTGGTCCCTCAGAGCTGTTGGCTGACCCAGCAGGGCAAGGGCTCCGCTAGGAGGAGTGTCTCGGAAAGCAGGGGAGCAATGTGAGGCCACAGGGCACACCTGGGAGACGGGGGGCCCTGCCCAGGGAGGCACCGGCAGGTATCCCAGTCAAGGTCAGGGTCCGGCCTACAGCGAGCTCTGGCCAGGCTGATGTGTCCGAGTCTGTGCCTCTCTGTGCCCCGTCGCTGCCATCCCTGGGTCCTCCTGCTCTCTGAGCACCGTGACAAGGACCCTGATGAGTCACTCTGTGCCTCCTCCAGGAGGGCAGGTCAGGGCCGAGCCTCCACCCTCCGCTCTTAAAGGGCCAGAGCCGGAGTCAGGGCTGCTGCCTGCTGCTGGCCAGGGCTGCCTCTGCCTGGGCTCCAGCAGCAGCCCTCGCCACCCCTCCCAGCCAGTTGCCCTGGAACACATGTCCTAAAACCTCCTGTGGTCCCTGCAGGAGCCGTTCTGCCCTGGTGCAGCTCAGGGGCCAGACCTCGGTGTTTCGGAAGCAGATCCACTGCATTCTGGGAGGGGAGGTGCTGGCAGTGGCCAATGCTGGTTCCACCCCTGGTGCCACCGTTGCCCAGTCTCTGCGTCCCTGCCAATGCCATCTCCATCTATCCCTGTGTGGAGGGCCTCGCACCTTCCCTGGGGTCTCTCTTCACCTCTCGCCTCTGTTGCATCTTGGGAGCCTCACAGTGCTTCCATCCAGAGGGCTCCCTGCTCTACCGGCTATGACATTAGGTGTGACCGTGTGGCTTCTGTGAACAATTTGGCTTCTGCCTGAGCTGTGATGGAGGCCACACAGCTTTGTGTCTCCCACCCCTTCCTGGGGCTGGGGTGGGGGTCCCTGGAGGGCTAGGACTGAAGCAGGAATGTGGGGACTAGGGTGGGGGAGGCAGATGCCACATGATCCAAAGTGGGGAGATGGGGGGTGGTGGCCTGCTCGGCCTCTTGCAGTTCCTGCCCCTGTGGGGTGCCCCCGTTATTAGCCCTGGCCATCTGGTCTTGTCTTTGGGTGCTGTGACACCTATATTAATAGTAGTGGCAATTGTTAACATTTTGGGATACTTGCTGTGTTCTCTCCACCTGGACCACACCACGCTGCCTCTGGATAAGGTTTTGTTCTAGTGTGATGTGGCTTCTTGTGGTTCCTGAACTCGCCAGGCTCTGGATGGCCTCTGAGGCTTGGACCTGCAGCCTCTCCTGGAAAGCTCTGCTTCTTCTTCTTTGCCTGGCTGAGGCCTGCACATCAGCCCTTTCCTCAGGGAGCACGCCTGACCCCCTAGGCTAGGTTGGGTTCCTGCTTCACATTTCATTAATCCTGAACTTTCCTTTTTTTTTTTTTTTTGAGACGGGGTTTCGCTCTTGTTGCCCAGGCTGGAGTGCAATGGCTCGATCTCGGCGGAGCCTCCTGGGTTCAAGTGATTCTCCTGCCTCAGCCTCCCGAGTAGCTGGGATTACAGGCATGTGCCACCATGACCTAATTTTATATTTTTAGTAGAGACGGGGTTTCTCCATGTTGGTCAGGCTGGTCTCGAACTCCCGACCTCAGGTGATTCACCCGCCTTCTTGGCCTCCCAAAGTGCTGGGATTACAGGCATGAGCCACTGCGCCCAGCCTCTTTCCTTTGTTTTTCTTTTTTGAGACGGGGATCTCACTTTGTTGCCCAGGCTGGAGTGCAGTGGTGCAATCTTGGCTTGCTGCAACTTCTGCCTCCTGGGTTCAAGCGATTCTCCTGTTTCAGCCTCCCGAGTAACTGGAATTACAGGTGCCTGCCACCATGCCTAGCTTATTTTTGTATTTGTAATAGACACGGGGTTTTGCCATGTTGGCCAGGCTGGTCTCAAACTCCTGACCTCTGGTGATCCGCCCGTCTTGGTCTCCCAAAGTGCTGGGATTACAGGCATGAGCCACTGGGCCCAGCTGAGCTTTCCTTTCTTATTATGACAGATAGACAGCTGTGTGGGTGTGTGCTAACAGGGTGTGTCTCCCCTGTTGTATCAGGGACTCAGAGGACAGGAACCTGTGTCTAGGTCATTGCTGTGTCCCTGGAGCCTGGCTCAGGTTCTGACCCATTGAGTGTGCTCAGAAATTAATTGCTGGATGAAGGAAAGGGTGAAAATCCTGTTTGTTCCTTTAACCAGCCTGCAAGAAACGTATTGTGACCGCCACTATTCCCATTTTACAGCTAAGGAAACTGAGGCTCAGAGAGGTGAATTTAGTTACCCAAGGTCACTTGTCTACAGGGGCTAAAGAATGAGTCAGTTTAGACAAAGACCCTTTCTACTGAGTAGGTCAGTTGCTTCAGTGCCTTCCACAATGTCTGACCTTGGCAGTGTTTGGGAAATGCTTGTGGAATGGGACTGATCCGGATCCCTGAGTGCCGGGGTCGGCTCTGAAATGTTTGAGAGGGTCCCCACCAGGAATCTTGAGAAAACTCCACACACCCAAGATTTCCCCAGGGTCTTGGCCAGCCACGGTGGCTCACGCCTGTAATCCCAGGACTTTGAGAGGCCGAGGTGGGCGGATCACTTGAGGTCAGTAGTTCGAGACCAGTCTAGTCAACATGGTGAAACCCTGTCTCTACTAAAAATACAAAAATTAGCCGGGTGTGGTGGCGCGTGCCTATAATCCCAGCTACTCAGGAAGCTGAGGCAGGAGAATTGCTTGAACCTGCTTGAACCCAGAAGGTGGAGGTTGCAGTGACCTGAGATTGTGCCACTGCACTCCAGCCTGGGTGACAGAGCTAGAAGATAGACTCCATCTCAAAAAAAAAAAAAAAAAAAAAATATATATATATATATATATATATATATATTCCCAAGGTCTCGAAGGCCCCAAAGAGGCAGAAGATGTGGCTTACTTCCTTTTGGAAGATTCTGAGCTGAGTCTGGCAGGAAAGATGGCTTGAGCCAGGGGGTAGTTCTTGTATGTTTATGCAAGAGAGAGAGAGAGAGAGAGAGAGAGAGAGAGAATATATGTGGTCATTGGAACAAGTTCCTTTACTAGCCAGAAATAACTTTGGGTTTTAGAAAATAAAAGTAGCCCTGTCTACTTTCCAACTTACCCACCTAAAACAAGAACATGCATTCTGTGAGAACACACATACATTGAGCACCTACTATGTGCCAGATGCTACCATTTGGCTGCAACTTAGGCAGACATAGATCCTGCCCCATGGAGCACCCAGCCATTGGGGAAGGTCCAAATCGGACAAAAGCAGGCACTCACAGAGACAGAACAAAACCATTTCTCATACAGCTTCTCTGAGGCCACTGTGTACATTTTCAACTGGTTTCTTTCCATCTATTTTCTACGTATGTAACTATGGTAGGTTTTATCGCCCTTAGTTTTCTGGTGAGAAAACCAAGGGAGGTTAACCGACTTGTCCAATGTCACACAACTGGAACATGGTAGAGCCGGGATTTGAACCTATGTCAGTGCGACTTGATCTGGGTCACTCAGCCAGTCAAAGCAAGTTAACAGATCAGCAGATACTGAGGACCTTTGCCTGCCAGCACCAACGGCACTTTGTTGGGGCGTCAGAGATGCCAAAGATTCAGTAACTCTTTGACAGCGTGCGGGAGGTGGGCAGGATCATCCTTGGGGATGATATCTCCCAGCTAAAGCCTTCCTGAGCCTGGACTCTGGAGTCGATAAACCTGGCCTCCATCTCCACTCCTCCACCCCTGACTGCGTGATCTTGGTTGAGTGCTTTGCCTCTCTGTGAAACCGCAGTTTCTTGGAAGTGGGCTGGCAGGGACCCCCGCCTGTCAGCACAGGGCCTTGGGGAGGATCCCAAGGGGCTGAGAGGGAAACGGGGCTTTGATTTTGAATCTGAGCAGCTCTAAGCAGCCTCTCTCCTGGCTCCACTTCCTGCGGGAGCGGCAACAGCTTCCCATCTTGGTGTCTGCCCCAAGGCCTGGCCCTCTGACTTTTATTCAGACACCACGACTCCTCATCGGCACAGCATCTCCAGGGCGCCCACCATGTGCTGGGCTCAGTGCTTGTGATGTGTATCCTCTCGTTGGCCCCTGACAGCGGGGCAGGGAGCACGCTGACCCAGGCCACGTGGCGACTGGATAGTTGGTAGACCCATCTGTGCAAAGGCCCTGGGTGATCCCTGCTGGACTGTGTGTCCCAAGCCGAGAGCCTGGCTTTAGAGGGCCTCGGGCAGGAGAGCCAGGCCTGGGTGCAGAGCGGTGAAGAGCAGCTCCCGGGAGCTGGGGCTGAAGGTTACCTGGCCTGGCCCGAGTCTGCCCTCCGGGGCCAGGGACTCCATCTACTCGCCATTCCTGAAGACAGGCTGGGAGATCCCCCAACAGGTGAAATACCCCCCGATTCGAGTGCTCAGCCTTCCTCCCACCAGCCCGGAGGCTCTGGCATCTTTTACATGGAGGCGAGGCAGCCGTGGGGATGTAAGGAAGGGAAGTGGGGGCCGGTAGGGGGTGGTCAGAGCCTGGTCAGCTGGATGGCCGTGGGCATGGGGCTCCCCTGATGAGCCCAGGTGCCTCATCCTGAGACAGATACAGCAACAGCCCATGGCCCCCTGGGCTGTGTGAGACGCTAATGAAATGAGGGTTCAGGCTGGTGCCGGGCAGACCGCAGTCAGCACCCGATGGCGACAGTGGCCGTCACAGCTGCTCACTGCTGCACATGGCGGTCTGATGGCCCTGGTGGGCAGCCTGCTTGGAAGGGGCAGCGAGCAGAGCAGACGGGGCCCGCCCACCTTTCCTGCCAGCCGCTGTGTGCCCCAGCCCAGTGCTGGACCAGTCCTGGCTGGCACTCAGCGAACTGGGGTGGAGACAGTGACTGCCAAGGAGGCTGGGACACCACTCCCACAGTGGGGACACGTGATGGGGGGCTGGAGGGCAGAAGGGCTGGGGAACGCGCGGCGAGTGGGTCAGGGCGAGGGGCTCCTGCAGCGGCTTTGCTCAGCCAGGAGTGCCCGGGAGCTCTGGGCAGCAGGCCAGGCCTCCTTTCTGGGGCAGCTCAGGCCTGGTGCTGGGGCCCAGCTGCCCTTTAGCCAGGCAGTGGTGGCAGACAGGTATGGGATTGGGAGTGGGGGGTGGTCTCTCTTCTCACCCTGGCAGGGGCATCGAGTAATAAGTACAACAGCAGTGATGATCATGCTGACTGCCTCGTGCCAGGCAGCTCCTGCGTCTGCTGTCACGTTACTCTGAGCTTGGAGGCAGTGCCGCCGAGCACTCCATTTTAGAGAAGAGGCTGCCGCCCTTGTCCAAGGTCGAGGGTTAATGAGTCTGGGGCCCGGCCACGTTGTCTGGCCCAGAGCCTGTGCCCACCTTCCTGTCCTCACTCCAGCCCTCTCGGGGGCTGCTCTTCCTGGACACGGGGCCTGTCGTTGTGGGAAATGAGGCGCTCCAGACCCTCATTTACTTGTTGCCTGAAGGTCACTTTGTGGAGCGTGGGAGCTGGGGGGCCTGGAGGTCTCAGGAGTTGACCTCTTTCGTGGGACAGAGAGGGGAGGGTGCGTGGCCACGTTCACACATTGGGTCAGGAGCAAAGGTGGGCAGCCAGGACTCCCTGCCCACCCAGGAACACCAGCATATATCCCCGGGGCCTTCTGAAATCACCTGATGCTGCCGTGTGACTCCAGGGAGGTTCTCCCCCAGGAGCCGGTGCTGCAGTGAGTGGGGGGAGTGATCTGAGGCCTTGTGTGCTTGGGGCACCTGGAGGATTGGAGCAGCAGGTGGCTGCTTCCCAGCCCTCGAGTGTAGCAGGACCCCAGTGGGAACCCCACAGGTGTTTCACTCTCTTTTCTGTCCTCCCCACCTCCCAGTGTGCGGTACTCCATGGTTGGCACAGCTAGTAATGTCCTCTCTCACAGATGGGGAAACCGAAACCCAAACTGGGGAAAAAACCGGTCACACAGCAACGGAGTGGCAGATCCCTGGAGTCCAGGTCCCACAAGAGACCACCACCGTCTTCGCTTTGAGGAACTGCCCCTCCCCAGGGGTGGGCCCGGTGTGGGGGCAGGAGGGTGTGTGCGGCCAGCGGTGCACTCCCTCCGCTCTGACTTAGCTGTGCTGTTGCTGCCCAGGGAGGGCTTGGGGCAGAGCACCCTATTCTCAGGAGATGGTACCGAGGGGGCTCTGAGGTACTGCAGGGAGAACACAGCTGCGGGGTGCTGTGAGGAGGGGCAGGGGTGAGGCTGGAGAGGCTGGAGACGCACTGAGGCTCTGGAGGAGGGTTCTAGGAGGGGAGGAATGTGACCACATTAGGGATGCTGGCAGCTGCAGGTGGGGACTGGATGGGAAAGTGGGATGGGGTGGGGGCTGAGAAGAGGCCGGCACAGCAGCTGGGATGGTGTGGGGGCGACGTCCAGCCAGCCCTGGACAGTGGGGGCATTCTCGTATTTTTGAGGCAGCCAGGTTGGATGGGACTTGTCTGCAGTTGGTGCAGGACTGCCTGTAGGGAGATCTCTGGATGGGGACCTGGGAAGAGGCCCGGGCGATCCCTTTGGGCCACGTGGAGCCTGAGGGGCCTCTGGGCCATCGGTGAGGAGCTTGGACGGGGGTGGGGGAGCTGAACTGCAGGAGGGGCCAGCTGGGAGGAGACTGGGAGTGAGGGGTGCAGGGAGCAGAGCCGCCCCCGGAAAGCGTGTGAGCTGGGCGCTTGGAGGAGCCCTGGTGCTGGGAGATTGAGCACAGGAGAGGCGTGGGCCTGGGAGGAGCTTCTGAGGCCAGCTGCGCTTCTGGAAGGAGGACAGTCAGTGATCAAAGGTGTCAGGACCGAGGGGACTGTCTGATTTAGTAAGATGGGTCACTCGTGGCCAGGCCCAAAGGCCCCGCCTTCTATTCTTGTGCTGCTCAAACCCAAAGGCCCTCTTGCTGGTGCGGTTTTCCTTCAGCTGTGGTGGAGGGCTGGGGCCAGGTACAGAGACACTCCGGCAGCCCTCAACCCTGGAGATGGATCCAGGGCCAGGTCCGCCCCAGGAGGGATGGCGGAAGAGGCTGGATTGGCTGGCCGTCTGCCGTCCATGCCTCTAGCTGAAGCCAGCGCCGGGAGGGGGCTGCCAGCCCCTGCCTTTTGCTCCCACCATGTTTGAGCTGAGCTTCAATCAGGAGAGAGGTGTTTTGCTTTAGGGAAATCAAAATCAGACTTAACATCCTCCTGGGCTCCTGGGACTGGCTCTCGTGTTCATTCCTGGCAGACAAGGGCTGTGTGGAAGGGAGGAGGAGCTGGAGTAGAGGAGCTGGGGACCTCAGGAGCGCTGCCGGGGTGGAAAGGAGGCTGTGGGCACCGCGGGTGCTTCCTGGCTGTGGGGTACGAGCCTGGAGTCTGTGGGCGTGGGGGTGCGGCGAAGGCTAGGACCCACTCTCTGCTCTGAGACTGCAGCTGCCCTCCCCTTCTGCAGCTCTGGCTCTCTGGGGGTCAGTGAAGGGGAGTAGAGTGGATGCCCAGCCCCCCCTCTCCCAGGGCCCTGTGTCGGCTCTGATTTCTCCATCCACTCCTCAACAACCTTGACAATGGCTCTGCCTGGTAGGAGTTTATACCCCATCCTACAGGTGAGGACTTGGAGGTTCAGAGGGGTTAAGAAACTTGTTTGGAATCACCCAGGCTTCAAGTGGCCCTGACAGGATGGCACCCCAGAACTTTCCCCTGTCTGGCCCCATGGAGAGCATGGCCCATTGCCAGTTTTAAATCCTGGTTTTGGTACGAGCCTGGGCCTGCAGGCCTGGAGGCAGAGTGTGATGGAGAGAGTTCGTTTTAAAAATTGGCCAAAGCCAGATGAAATTGTGAAGGTCAATGCATGAGAAACACGTTTGAGGATGTGTTCTAAACCCAGCCCAGTGGCTGGATGACAAAGGAGGAATCAGCAGGTGTTTTTCTCTGTCCCCTGTGTGCAGGGTGCTGAGCCAGGCTCTGAGGGTGATGCTAGGATGGGCCAGGAGAAGTGTCCTGGCCTCTGCAGGCTTAGTGTCCAGCTAGGAAAATGAGGGGAAGAAGTGCTTCTGTCTCGCACTTGCTGGGTGCTGGACACTGGGCCGAGCACCAGTCCCTCCTCTTCCTGCTAGATGCCTGAGTCCCATTTTACAGATGAGCAAACCAAGGCTCAGAGATGCGGGGTCACTCATCCAAGACCACAGATCAGAGGGAGCCCTGGCCTGAAGTGCTTGCTGGGCTGGCCAAGGCCCTCTCTGGACCGCTGTACTTCACCACTGCTCCCCCAAGCCCAGCCTGTGCCCCCTTGGTCAGACCCCCGTTGGCCCTCTGTCGTGGAACCCATGGGAAGACAGACCTCATGTGAAGGGGGCTTCCCAAGGGGCCAAGGCAGGGTCGGGAGGGCCTCCTAGAAGAGGGCCATCCCAGCTGGGCTTTGTTTTTTTTTTTTTTGAGACAGTCTCTGTCACCCAGGCTGGAGTACAGTGGTGATCTCAGCTCACTACAACCTCTGCCTCCTGGGTTCCAGCAATTCTCATGCTTCAGCCTCCGTGGTAGCTGGGATTATAGGCACGCGCCACCACACCCGGCTAATTTTTGTATTTTTAGTAGAGACAGGGTTTCACCATGTTGGCCAGGCTGGTCTCGAACTCCTGGCCTCGAGTAATCCGCCCACCTTGCCCTCCCAAAGTGTTGGGATTACGGGCATGAGCCACCGCGCTCGGGCGCAGCTAGGCTTTGAAAGATGGATGGGGTTTCCCTGGGTGGAACGGGTGAGGTGAGGAAGTGTTCCTGGCAGAGCACAAAGGCCTGGAGGCTGGAACGGTCAGAGGAACTCCAGTGGGGTCAGGATGCGGGCCAGTGACCCAGGGAACAAGCTGTGCAAGGACTGCCTGCGTTCCTACCCTGCCCTGAACCCTGAGCCCTGAACCCAGAGCCCAGAGCCCAGACCCACCGAGGGAGGCAGAGGCGGAGGCCCTGTTAATTTCACATGCAGTTGGAGGCTCTGGGAGGAGGGGGAAAATGGGCCGGGCTGGGAACCAGAGCCTGGGAAGGTCACTCTGGCATCTGGGTGGAGGCTGAGGCAAAGGGAAGCTGAACCCCCAAATTGTCCCCCATCTCCCTCCCTCCCAGTGCCTGTCTTGGCGGGAACTGCTGGGGGCACAGGACCTTGGGCAGGACCCCCCAGCCCTCCTGGCATTGTGCAGTGGGGAGGGGAGGCAGGCACAGTGGTTATGGGGTGAAGAGGACAAACATTTCCCTCAACTTTTTATTTTGAAAAATCAAGAGGAACATTGATGTGGTGGTGCAGGGATGCCTCTGTGTCCTCGAGTCCCCGGCTCTGCTGCATCTGTCCCCTCTCTTTCTACATACGTGAGTGTGTATATTTCTAAACCATGTCACAAGAGGCTGCAGGCGTCTTGACCCTCACCCCTGAATAGCTCAGAGCATATCTCCAAAGCTGGGCGCGGCGTCTCACGCCTGTAACCCCAGCACTTTGGGAGGCCGAGGCGGATGGAACACTTGAGGTCAGGAGTTCGGGACCAGCCTGGCCAGCATGGTGAAACCCCGTCTCTACCAAAAATACGAAAATTAGCCAGGCGTGGTAGCAGGTGCCTGTAATCTTGGCTACTTGGGAGGCTGAGGCAGGAGAATTGCTTGAACCCTGGAGGCGGAGGTTGCAGTGAGCCCAGATCAACCATTGCACTCTAGCCCCAGCCTGGGTGACAGAGGGAGACTCCTCAAAAAAAAAGAAAAAGAAAAAGGGCATTAGCCTCAGTGCTGTTACCACCCCCACCTCATCCCCATGGCAGCACCTAATTACCAGTCCACAGTGCAGTGGCTTCCCAGCTGGCCCAGCGACAGCCATGATAACAGTTTTTTCCTGCTGATCTGGACCCGATCCAGGCATCTTGAGTTACATTTGGTTGCCTCGTCTGTTTAGACTCTTTTTTTCTGGAACAATCCTCCAACTTGCTTTGCCTTTCCTGGCCCTGACTTGAAGTGTCCTGGTCAGTGGTCTTGTAGAATGTCCCACAGCCCGGATTTGTCTGATTATGTCCTTGTGGTTAGACTCAGGTTAATTATTTTTGGCGGGAGACCTTCACGGATAACGTGCCCTTCCACTGCATCAAATTAAGGGGTACATGATATTGGGCTATTTCACGATCGAAGGCAGGGCAGGTTTGATCAAGGACGGTGGCTTTTTTTTGAATTTGTTATATTTTTTATTGTGTATTAGAAAAGATATGACCAGCACAGTCACTGGTAACTTTATGGATATTATTGCTTAGGCTGAAGCTAGATTAAGCAGGTAAGTAAAAGCAAATTGAGATGATTTCAAGAAAAATCCTGAGTGAATCACTGGACACTGGACAGAGAAAGATCTCGAAGGTGATCTTGGAAGAGTTGAGCTTCTGGGAACCCAGACACAATGGTTGAGAACACAGGCCTTGGTGATGGGCAAACCCAGGCTGAGGATGGGCACGTTCCTCTGGTCGCCTCTCCACCCCGGCTCAGCTTCCTCTCCAGGTTGGGGTGGTAGCTGCTCAGCAGGGGGCTGGGGTTTGGACAAAGGACAGCCTGACCCGTGCCAGAGCTCCCTGGCTGGCGGGAGGGCTGGGGGCAGGTGGCCAGGACCCCAGAGATGTGGGTCCTGCCTGCTGTCCTTCAAGACCCTCTGTGGCTGGGCGTGGTGGCTCACGCCTGTAATCTCAGCACTTTGGGAGGCCAAGGCAGACGTATCACTTGAGATGAGGAGCTTGAGACCAGCCTGGCCAACATGTGAAACCCTGTCTCTACCTAAAAATACAAAAATTAGCTGGCCGTGGTGGTGTATGCCTGTAGTTCCAGCTACTTGGGAGGCTGAGGCACACGAGGATCACTTGAACCCGGGAGGTGGAGGTTGCAGTGAGCCAAGATAGTGCCACTGCACTCCAGCCTGGGTGACAGAGCAAGACTTTGTCTCCAGAAAAAAAAAAAAAAAAAGGCCCTCCAAGGCCCCAGGCAGTGAAGCAGTTAGAATTGCTGGGCCCTGGCTGGGTGCCAGGGGATACCTGCCAGCCTCAACTGTTTCCTAAAGGTCAATTTGCTGCTTAAAGCATGGGCAGGACTTATCTCCCCCACCCTAGCTCCGGTTCCCTGGGGCTCGGCTGCCTGCTGATCACCCAGGGTTCTGTGGGGGGACCTTTCCAATGGGGGGAGCCCTAGTCATATGCCCTTCTCCCACCTCCCTGCTGCATCCTTGGAGTGTAGTTGGGGGTGAGGAAGGACGCAGAGACTGAGGCAGAGCCCTGGGGGAAGGCTGCTGGGAGACATGGGTGGGGGGTGTCAAGGGAGAGTGGGACTTCGGAGCTGGGGGTCCAGGGAAGCCCCGCTCTGGCACTGTGAGGCCCGCCTGAGACAGTGGCCATGCCACCCAGTTCCTGCTGTTTGTGTCGAATGCTGCCACCCCTTGCCAAGGTCATACAAGGTCATGCAGACTCAAGGAGTTGTATCCAATTGGGCCTCCATCCTGATCTCTAGGGGCACCGTCCCAGCTCTGCTGTTTCCTGGCAAAGGGACCTCAGGTGATCTCAGACAAATAAGCAGACCCATTGGAACTTCAATTCCTCATTGGGAAAACGGGGTCACACCTCCCTGTGGGGTTTTTGTGAAGCTGAGGAGCGGCAAGCACTTCAGTTTTCCCAACAATCCCATTTCACAGATGAGAAAACTGAGGCTCAGTCAGGGGAAGCAATTTGCCCAAGGACACACAGTGCCCTGTGGGGCCGGATTTGAACCCAGGCGGTCTGGTCTGGCTTTAGCACCTGTGGCCCTGAGCTCCTGGCGGTACTGTGATGGGTCGCCTGTGTCTCCAGGTTTGGGCTTTCAGCATCCGCCCCACAGCCCCAGCTGCCATCACAGCTGCCATCACAGGCAGCCAGCCTGGATCAGACCAAGGACACCTTCCCTCTCCACCCCCATGCCGAATCCTGAACCCGTTCCTGCCCCATACCCTTTGCCAAAACTTTATCTCAGAAAATTGCTTTCTTTGACTCCAGGCCCGGTGTTTCTGGGTAACTGGCATCTCCCGCTGTTGCCTTCTCTTTCTCTCTTTCTCTTTTTTTTTTTTTGAGACACAGCCTCACTCTGTCACCCAGGCTGGAGTGCAATGGTGTGATCTTGGCTCACTGCAACCTCCGCCTCCCGGGTTCAAGCGATTCTCCTGCCTCAGCCTCTAGAGTAGCTGGGACTACAGGAGCGTGCCACCATGCCTGGCTAATTTTTTGTATTTTTAGTAGAGATGGGGTTTCACCGCTTTAACCAGGATGGTCTCGATCTCCTGACCTTGTGATCTGCCTGCCTCGGCCTCCCAAAGTGCTGGGATTACAGGCGTGAGCCACCGTGCCTGACCTGCCTCCTCTCTTTTTATCTGAGGCCTGCTTGCAGACAGGTCTCTTCCTCCATCTCTGATTTGGGCTTGTGGGAGGAGAGTGCTGACCAGCACGGGGATGGAGGCATCTAGCCTGCCCAGGAATCTGGCTGCCTGGTTCTGAGCCACAGACCTAAGGTCAGGCCCTTGCCTTGCCACTTCCTGATCTCTTTGTGCCTCAGTTTCCACATTTGGAGCTGGGGCAGAGTTGTGCCATCCTCCCTCCATGCTGTCATAAGAGCCGTTGAGCTAAAGCACAGAGGCCCGCCCTGGGCGCAGATTCGGGCTTGCGGCAGGCTCTTGGTATTTGGCAGCTGTTGCGAGCTTGCTTTGAGTGGTTTTTGAAAAGTGGCTTCCTCAAGTCTGGTCAGGCACAAACAATTCAGAGACACCTCTTTGGGCTTCCTTCCCACTTCCCTGGGAATAGATTCTAGTTCCTTTACTCATCTGACCTCCACCTGACACCCCTTTCCTGTCTGTTCATGTGTTCATTCATTCATTCATTCATTCATTCATTCCACAAACCAGTATTGAGCACATTTGAGGGCCCTACGCCGTACCCTTTGCCAAAACTTTCTCTTGGAAAATTCCATTCTTTGACGCCAGGCCTGGCCTTTCCAGGTGTCTGACATCCCCAGGGATCCAGTAGCTTCCATGCCTTTATGAGTGAGTCCCCACAACAGGTCTGTGTGGCAGGTGCTGATAATATGATGCCCACTTTATGGATGAGGCGCCCAAGGCAGGGAGTGCAGGAGGAGCCGTCCCGCGCTCACACAGGCAGGGAGCAAGGGTGGCCTTGGTGGTGGTTTGGTGTTCTTGTTCGGTGACTTTAGAGAGAACATTGATTTGGTTCCAACTTGAAACGATTCTGTACTTTTCAGAAAAAGCATTTTTGTTTGTTTCATGGCTCAGTAAAGAATGGGTATGTGGGCTTGGCTCCAGGCTCAGCCGCTCTCTGTAGCCTCTTTCAGCTTTTGCTTCACGGCTCTGTTCATGTCTTGCCAGTGAAAGAGCCCGGGCTGACCACAGAGAGGGGCTGCAGGGACAGGCTGACAGGGAGGGTGGTCCACCCTTCTGCTGAGAGCTGCCCCTTTTCAGCCTAGCTCCCCCCACCCCCCCACATAGGTGGGGCAGCCGAGTGCCTGGGGAAGCCAGGGCCTTCCCTGACATCCCGTCCCCAGGGATTGAGAGATGGCAACGAGTAAGTCTTAGATGTTGGCCTGGGAGCAAGGGCTGTGGGAGAAGCAAACCCTTGAGTGCCACAGGGCGTTCCTGGGGGCTCTCCCAGCAGCGGCAGTGGCAGTGGCAGGTAGCACTTGGGCACCGGGAAGGGGTGGGGCCAGTGTCCCCTGCTGGGGTGGTGGGTACAGAGCCCCTGGCTAGGACTGCTCACCAAGGGAGCATTTTCTCATCCAGAGCAGGCCGTTGCCCGGGGACATGGCCGTGGGGAGGGGAGGGCTGGAGGGGAGGCCCCCCAGCGAATGTCTGCCCATCTCCCGGGACACCTTCCCTGAGCTAAAAGCCTACTTTTCTGCTTTCTCTTGCAGTTACCGAGAAGGAGGTCCAGCAGTGGTGAGTAGCTGCTTTTTCTCAAACCGTAGAGGGGCTGCGGCTGTGGGCTTTGTGGGCTGTGGGCTGATGGGGACAGCAGTCCAGCTGCTCAGGATGGGGGCATGTGGAGGGGCCCCTGAGCGTGGGGTCCAGACAGCCTTTGTTCAGTGGCCTTTGTCCTTGCGGGACTGACGTGGTTTCAGTGGAACTGGGTTGGGGGTGGCGCTGGGGTGTTTGTTGGTGGTCCTTGCTTTGAGTTGCATCTTTAGGGACCACCAAGGCCTGAAGGGTTGATTCCAGGCCCTGTTCACCAAAGAGAAGGGTTTGGATAAGAAAGTCCTTCTATGACCTTGAGAGGTCCTTTCCCCTCGCTGGGGCTCCGTCACCCCTTCTATAGAATGATCGATTCGATTGGATCAGGGATGGCAAATGGGTTTGCTCTTGGATGCCAGCTCTATTCAATCTGTCGTAGCTGCCTGGAGGGCCGTGATAAGGATTCCGAGGCCGTACGTCATGGAGCAAATGGAAAAGCGGCAGTGAGGGATAAGTGGGGCCTGTAATGGATGAGCAGTGCCAGGGCTGGGCCTGGGGGAGGAGGGCGGTGTATTGTCCGTCTTTGTGGAATGTGGAGCAGACAGGAGGCTCACCATGTAAGGTGGCTGAGCTGTAGGGGTGGCACGTAGGGACATGAGGCAATGAGCTTGGAGATTTTCCAGTCAAGTCTGGCAGGGCCGGGCACCCCCCAGGAGCCTCCAGGGCCACTCCCTACACCTCCCTGCCTCAAGTCCAAGCTGCAGATGGGGCAGGGCTATGCTGGCCCGCCTGGCTCTGCTGAGCCCTTGCTGGGAGGTGCCCCATCCTGGGATTGAGTTTCCGCCCTCACTTTCCACTTCTGCACTTCCCCAGGTGAGTGCCCTAGAAACACCCTCCTTCTAGATCTTCACCCATGTGGCTCTGCTTCCTGGAATGCCCGCCTTCCTTCCTGGGCCATCTGAACTCTGCCCCTCCCAAGGCTCAGCCCAAGTCGCCTCCACCATGAAACCTCCCTAGATTCCCCATCCGTACATGTTCTCCCTGCCTTCACACACGCCAGCCAGAGGGGTCTTTGCTGAACAAAAACCTGACCATGCCAGGCGTCTGCCACCCTCCCCAGACCTCAGGGTGAAGTCCTCACCCTTGACATGGTTATGTGCTTACGAGGCCTGGTTCAGTCTGGCCCTGTTGACCCCTGCAGTCTGGCGTCCTCTGCCTGTTGGCCTTTGCCCTTTACCCTCTGGCCAGCCTGAACTGCTGTTTGTTCCTTGAACTCACCTTTGTCTCCGGGGCTTCCTGATGTTTGCCCAGGCTGCTCCCTCTGCCTGCTGGGCTGTTACCTCCTCGCCCCTCCCCCCCACCCCCTGAAACCCCCCAGGCCTCTGTCAGAGTTCCCACTGCCCTGTGCCTCCCTGGGACAGCCGATGACTTACTGGGCAGCAGGTAAGCATTTTGTCCCTCTCTGCATCCTGTCGGCACTCTGAGGGCTGGCTAGCTTGGCCTTGTCCATGTTGTGTCCCTAGGGCCTGGCCACAGTGGGTGCTTGGCCCCCAACAGGCATCGTCCTTGGTGCTTCAAATCCATGTTTTTTTTTTTTTTTTGAGTTGGAGTCTCTCGCTCTGCCACCCAGGCTAGAGTGCAGTGGCATGATCTCAGCTCACTGCAACCTCCGCCTCCCAGAGTCAAGCGATTCTCTTGTCTCTGCCTCCCGAGTAGCTGGGACTACAGGTGTGTGCCACCATGCCCCACTAATTTTTATATTTTTAGTAGAGACGGGGTTTCACCATCTTGGCCAGGCTGGTCTCGAGCTCCTGACCTCAAGTGATCCACCCACCTCGGCCTCCCAAAGTGCTGGGATTACAGGAGTGAGCCACTGCACGTGGCCTGCCATTGACTTCTGGGAGCAGTACTAGGGGTTAACAGAGCTCATCATTCCACATGGCAGATGAGGAAACTGAGGTTCAGAGAAAGTCCAGTTGGGAGGTGGCAGGGTTGGGATGAACCATAGGCATCGAGACTCCAGAAGCTGAGCTCTTGCCTCCAGGGTAAATATGTGTGTGTGTGTGTGTGTGTGTGTGTGTGTGTGTATACACATACATATATATGTGTGTGTGTGTGCGTGTGTATGTATATATATATATATTTTTTTTTTTTTTTCTTGAGACAGAGTCTCTCTGCTCTGTTGCTCAGGCTGGAGTACAGTGGTGCCATCTCAGCTCAATTACAGTGATTCCCCTGCCTCAGCCTCTCAAGTAGCTGGAACTACAGACATCCACCTGATGCCTGGCTAATTTTTCTATTTGTAGAGACGGGGTTTTGCCATGTTGGCCAGGCTGGTCTTGAACTCCTGGGCTCAAGCCTTGGCCTCCCAAAATGCTGGGATTACAGGCGTAAGCCACCGTGCCCAGCCTCCAGTGTGAATATTTGAATGAGGGATGAATGAGTGGACAGCAAGGAGTCTTCGGGGGACCATGAGAAAGCTCAGCATCTCCCAAGGAGGGCCAGGGCAGGGGAGGGCAGTGGCTAGAGTTGCTGGGTGGCCGGTAAGGGACAGACGTGAGCAGCTGTCCCCCACGCCCATTGCCCTGGCCCCGATTGTGGCTGCTCATGACCAAGGCACCTCCCCAGGGGTCTCAGGGGACTGGGGGCTAAGGAGGGGACACCAGGAGCTGTCTGCCTGGGCCTCTTCCAGGGCAGGGAAGAGGACGAGGTTTGTGTTTGAGAGATGGGGATGCTTCCCAAGCACCGCTGTGAGCCAGCCAGGCTCTCAGACACAGCCTCGTTCATTTCATTCTCACAATGACCCAGAGGAGACGACCCCATCATGGCACCTCAGCATATCATAGATGAAGACACTGAGACCTGCCTGAGTTCCCCCCGGCGTCCTCCCCTTCCCACACCTGGGCCTTCTCCTGGAGCCGCAGACAGCAGAGTGGCTGGGATCTTGGGCTCCAGAACTGGGCAGGCTGAATTCTTTTAATTTTTATTTAAAAAATTTTTTTTCTTTAATTTTTTTGAGACAGAGTCTCGCCTTGTTGCCCAGGCCAGAGTGCAGTGGCGCAATCTCAGCTCACTGCAACCTCTGCCTCCCGGGTTCATGCGAATCTCCTGCCTCAGCCTCCCAAGTAGCTGGGATTACAGGTGCACACCACCATGCCTGGCTAATATTTTTGTATTTTTTTAGGACAGACGGGGTTTCACCATGTTGGCCAGGCTGGTCTTGAACTCCTGAGCTCAAGTGATCTGCCCTCCTCGGCCTCCCAAAATGCTGGGATTACATATATTTAAATTATTATTAATATTATTTTTTCAGAGACAGGGTGTTGCCCTGTCGCCCAGGCTGGAGTGTGGTGGTACTACCAAAGCTCACTGCAGCCTTGACCTCCTGGGCTCAAGTGATCCTCCTGACTCAGCCTCCTGATTAGCTGGGACTACAGGCATTTACCACCATGGCTGGCTAGTTATTTAAAAAATTTTACTGTAGAGCTGGGGCCTCACTATATTGCCCAAGCTTGAGCTTCTGGCCTCAAGCAATCCTCCTGACTCAGCCTCCCGAGTAGCTGAGACGGCAGGTGCGAGCCACTGCGCCCGCCTCTGGGCTTGAATCCTGACTTGCCCACTTCCTGGCTGAGTGACCTTGGACAAATGACTAGACTTTTTAGGACCTCAGTTTCCCCATCTGGAAAAGGAGGGGGATAATAGTAAAACTTTCTAGGAGTAGTGTGAAGAATAAATGTGCTAATTCACATAAGACGTTTGGAACAGAGTCTAGGAAACATTTTCTCTGCTGGTGTCAGTAACCGTAGTAATCATGGTCCTGGCATCATCCGTGGAACCCAAAGAACAGCCCTGAGATTGAGGACTTTCTCCGCATTAGGCGGATGAGGAAACTGAGGCCCAGGGGGGTGAGTGACTTTTGTTTACTCATCAAGCAGCAATAGAGCGTGCTCCCTGTGCCAGGCACCGTCCCACACCCTGGGGAGACACCGAGAACTGGACAAAACCCCAGGCCCCGACATACACATGAGTACAAAGCGGGGTCACTGTGGGCTGAGAAATGTCCTGTGGGGAAACGAAGATGAGAGCACAGCAAGGTGGGGGCCTCGTTAGGAGGGAGAGGTCAGGCAAGGCTGCTCTGGAATTCTGACATTTGAGCTGCAACCTAGAAAATAAGGACTCGGTGGTGGAACTTGGGTCATATCCACCCAGGCGTAGAAAACAGCAAGGACAAGGGCTGGGAGGGGGACACGAGCCTGGCGAATTAGAGGACCAGCAGGGAGCCAAGGAGGCTGGCTTGAGGGGGCGGTGTGGAGGCTCCCGCAGCAAAACAGGGACCCTCAGCTGTGTGAGGCCCAGTGCTCACTGTGGGGGCACTTCCCCTAAAGAGCTTATAAAGAAAAAAGCAACCTGCTTTAGGGATGCACCTATAGTCCCAGCTACTCAGGAGGCTGAGGTGGGAGGATGGCTTGAGCCCAGGAGGTCGAGGCTGCAATGAGCTATGATTGCCCTGCTGCAGGCAATACAGTGAGACCTCGTCTCTTAGAAAAAAAAAAAAAAAAAAGCCTGGGCACGGTGGCCCACACGTGTAATCCCAGCAATTTGGGAGGCCAAGGCAGAGGATCATTTGAGCCCAGGAGTTTGAGACCAGCCTGGGCACATAAGGTGATCTCGTCTCTACAAAAGAAAAAAAAAAAAAAGCTGGACATGGTGGCACATGCCTATGGTCCCAGCTACTTGGCTGAGATGGGAAGATCGCTTGGGCCCCAGAGGTCAAGGCTGCAGTGAGCTATGATTGTGTCACTGTACTCCAGCTTAGGTGACAGAGTGAGACCCTGTCTTAAAAAAAAAAAAAAGATAAGAAAATAGGTGGTCTTTTCTCTGCCCTCTGGCAGAGAAAAGTTCTGTGTGTCTCAAGTAAATATCCTGTGGTTCATTTTGGCAGTACCTTGAAGGCTAGGAGATGGTTGAACCAATGCCTTTCTCTGGCTCTCCTAGGTCAGCCCACTACCCACTTCACTGTTGTATTCTACAATGGTCCCATCCCCTCAGGGCGACGCTAGACCAGGGATGGTTAGACAGTGACACTCTGCCCTCCTGTGCCCATGGCAGACATCAGTAATGGATTACAGAGTATGTTGCTCTGTGCTCTGGGAGCCAGGGGAACTGCTGTTACCATACAAAATAAACCAGTTTGCTATTCCTTGATTGTCTTAAACTTCACTGGTTAACCACGAGCCTGCCTACTCACGGGCTGGATTCGCCAGGCCCACTGTCCCCTCTGTCCTTTGCACAGAAGGCAAATGAGGTGAGCACCTGCATCCCAAACACCCTGGCCCATTTTCAGAGGGCCCTTTCTCACCGTGGCCTCCAGCTGGCACCCATTCTTGTTCTTTTTCTTTTCTTTCTTTCTTTTTTTTTTTTTTTTTTTTCCTGAGATGGAGTCTCACTCGGTCGCCCAGGCTAGAGTGCAGTGGCACGATCTCAACTCACTGCAATCTCTACCTCCTGGGTTCAAGTGATTCTCTTGCCTCAGCTTCTCGAGTAGTTGGGATTACAGGCCCCTGCCACCATGCCCAGCTAATTTTTGTATTTTTAGTAGAGGTGGTGATTTCACCACGCTGGCCAGGCTGGTCTCGAACTCCTGACCTCAGATGATCCGCCCACCTCAGCCTCCCAAAGTGCTGGGATTACATGTGTGAGCCACCGCGCCCGGCCCCGTTCTTGTTCTGAACAACTCTCAGGACACCCGACAGCCAGAGACTCCACCCGTGCCTGCCTCTCTCTTGGGAAAATGCAGGATTCCTGAGCCCCGGCTTTCAGGGCAACAGGCAGTGTAGGGTCCAGCCATCCGGGGTGGGAGCGGCAGTAGGAGGGAGGGACATTCAGGGAGCAGCGGGCCACAGTGGACATGGTTTTCCTCTCCCACCTGAGAAGCGCCAGGTCAGCTTCAGCCGAGGAAGTGGCTTCGACAGCCTCCTGTCTCTCTTTGTTCATCACATGTGTGGGGCTCCCCTTGTCTCTGCACACATGTTACTAGCCCTCTTGTTCCCTTGCCTCATGTCCAGCTCCTCAGCCCAGCCAGCCTGCCTCCCCCAGACAGCAGATCCTGAATCTGATCCCAGCCCCTGGCCACACGGGTCCGAGCCCCTGGTCTGCAGTGGTGCCACAGCCTCGGCCTCACTGGGCTGCTGCCTGCCTATGCTGGCTCTGCTGTTCTTGGCCCCATACAGCCTCTGCTAGAGCTTTGGAAAATGGGACAGCCCCTCTGTGACTTCCCGCTGCACTTAGAATAAAGCCCTAGCACCTTGCCTCGCCCACAGGGCTCCCTGAGGTCTCTGACCTCAACTTTTCCCCTGGGTCACCGTGCACTGGCCACACTTGCTGTCCCTCACCTGTGCCGAGCTCATCCCACCTCAGAGCCTCTGCCCCTGCTGTTCCTTTTGCTAAGGAGACTGTGGCCTCCAGTCTCGGCATGGCTTGTTCTGTCTCGATAGTCACACCTTCACCCCAGTCAGCTGCTCAGAGAGGAGGTCCCTGTCTGTCCTGTACAATCTAGGGTCATCTGGGTTTGTGCTGACATATAGCAGCTGCCATACAGGGTCTTAAGTGATTCTGTGATTTGTCCTGGGCCGCAAAGTCAGTAGAAGCAGAGCCTGGACTAGAACTCGGGCTCCAGTGCCGGTCAGGTCCCAAGTCCCCAGGAGAGCACAGGCCAGGGCACGGCAATAGGAGGCCCGGGCCAGGCCAACTGGGCATGCTCACCCTGCACCAGGCTCCGCACTGGGCATCCCACGGTGCCAGCTCCTTGGTGCCTCCCAGCTCTGAGCTGCTGGTGCCGTTGTCTGTATTTGGCAGAGGGAGGAAGCTGGAGGCTTTGAGAGGTAGAGCCGGCATTGGTGTCCACAGCCAGCTTCCGGGTCTGCAGCCAGCCCAGTATCCCCCGCTTCCCCATCCCTTGTTCTTTTATCTTAGTTCCTGCTCACTTGAGCCCAATTCACCGTCGTGGAAGATCAGGAACCACAATGAGGGCTGCTTAAGAAATGGCAGATCCCAGGCCTGTAAAGGTGACTGTGAGCTCTGTAATCACCTGGAAAGTGATGAGGGCATTATCCTGAGTGGAGACAGCAGGGTACACACCGTCATCGGGCACCAGTCCATGATGGAAAAAATGTAGGCAGAGAAGAAAGATGGGATGGATGCAGGCTGAGGCTGGTCGTGGGTGTGTGAGGTGGGGGTGGGGGGCGGGTGTCCTCTGGTGGATTATGTGTCCTATTTTCCAACTTTTCTGCAACTATTTTTTTTTTTGAGACAGTCTCGCTTGGTTGCCCAGGCTGGAGTGCAGTGGTACAATCTTGGCTCACTGCAACTCTGCCTCCTGGGTTCAAACGATTCTCCTGCCTCAGCCTCCCGAGTAGCTGGGATTACAGGCACCCACCACCACGCCTGGCTAATTTTTGTATTTTTAGTAGAGACGGGGGTTTCACGTTGGCCAGGCTGGTCTCAAACTCCTGACCTCAGGAAATGCCCACCTCGGCCTCCCAAAGTGCTGGGATTATGGGCATGAGCCACTGCGCCTGACTCTACAATGGGTTTTATTACTTTTATAATAACCAAATATCCTAGCAATATGATAGCAAAAGTAGTGGGTGGAAGCCGGAGGAATTCTGTCCTCGCATCAACACGGCCAGCTGTTGATTCTGGGCCGCGCCATGCAGAGTGGGCGCGGAGACAGCCTCTCAGCAACACACTGGGGGCTTTCCTGCGGGCAGGCACAGTGCTGATGAAACGGTGCCGTGCGGAGAATACGAGGAGCGGCCCCATTTTACAGATGAAGAGACTGAGGCTCAGAAGGGTGGAGACCCTTGCCCAGGTCACACAGCTCTGTGTGTGTGTGTGTGTGGAGTCTGGGTCCAGCTCGCTCTGCCTCCGTGGTCCTGAATATTGGGGCTCAGACCCGCCGGCTTCTTGCTTTCTTGCTCTGGGAAACCTGTAAAACCGGAGGCTACTGGGGGGAAGGGAAAGGAAGAGGAACCATCTCATGGCTGTTTGGGACCCTCCTCCAGGTCTCCAGGGAGTGTGGGGAGGGGCATGCCACTGGAGAGAGTTGTTTGAAGAGATAATGGGAGAATAATTTGCCGAGGCTGCCGCTGCGCCCATCCCCGCTGCGCCTGGCTGATTGCAGCTTGGGGTAATGCTTTATGATTTATCCGTCTAGCAATCTCTGTCCCACCTTTTGCACTGCAGAGAGCAGCTGCCGCAGTATCATCAGCATGGCAGGAAATGCAGGGCTGGCCTCCCAGCAGGATCCCAGAGGACATGAGTCTGCAGGAACTGAGAGTGGCAAATTCGGGGGAAGTCCTAGAGGACCGGGGCGTTTGGGAGACTGAGGCCTGGCAGTGCGGGGGCTTGCTCAGGCCCTCAGAGAACTAGAGGCCAAAGTGGAGTTGGACCCGTGTGTCCTGGGAGCATTCAATCATTGGTTCATTTGTTCACTGATTCATTCAGTACATCTTGACTGAGCACCTACTCTATGCCAGGCCAGTGCCGGTTGCGGGCGGGCATCCGGGACTGAGGGGGGCGAGGTGCTTGGAGTCTCCTGGTGGACGAGGGCATTCACCCAGCCTGGCGCCGTGTTGGGGAAGAGAAGGTGGGAGGTGTGGGAGGAGACCCAGCGCTGGCGTGGGAACTGTTTTGCAAGTGGTAGTCAGCTTTCAGGATTTTTATGAAATGAGGTTTCTTTTCTCCCCTGCCCTTTTAAAGAAGTGTAAGAACGCCGTTGTTGAATCTAGGATTTTCTTTTCTCATCTCTACCCTGTCTCGTGGAGCTGGTTCCCAAACACAGTCAACCATATCAGAAACCTCGGCTTCCCGTGGCTGGGGATCGCAGGCCCCGTTCTTCACAGCCTGGGCCTGCCTCTGAGGTCTGGCACCATGGCTCTTCTCTAATCCCCAAAGGGGTCTCTGGACCCCAAAGAGTTAAGACCCTGTTCGCGAACAAGGTTGTGTGAGGTGTGGCCTCTGTATAAACATCTCGGGCTGAGTTACTGGGTGGGGAGGGGCAGTGAGGGGTCTTGGTACGTCCCCGCCCATGTACTAGGAGACTGGGTATTAGGAAGGACTTCCCGGCCAGGCGCGATGGCTCACACCTGTAATCCCAGCATTTTGGGAGGTTGAGGCGGCCAGATCATGAGGTCAGGAGTTCAAGACCAGTCTGGCCAACATGATGAAACCCCGTCTCTACTAAAAATACAAAACTTAGCTGGGCATGGTGGCACGCACCTGTAGTCCCAGCTACTCGGGAGGCTGAGGCAGGAGAATTGCTTGAACCTGGGAGGCGGAAGTTGCAGTGAGTGTAGATCGTGCCCCTGTACTCCAGCCTGGGTGACAGAGTGAGACTCAGTCTTAGAAAAAAAAAAAAAAAGAAAGAAAGGGAAGGACTTCCCATGGGGCCAGAGTGGGGACTCGGGAGGGTATTGTGGAACCTTCCTCTTGGGACAGCTGGTGGGACGAGGTAACGGGGGTTGGGCTGTCCCTGGCCACTGGCTCTGGTGTTTGTGGAGGTCGTAGATCAGGGCTTGGGGCATGGCCAGTGCTCAGGACGTCCTGTGGTGTTAACAATCTCAGCTCATTTGTCCAGGCCCACTCAGGGGTCTGAAAGGAGGGTGTAAGGTTGGCTCTCACCTCACAGATGAGGAAACCGAGACTCTGAGGGGAACCGTCACCTGCCCCAGGTCACACACAGGTCAAGAGTGGGGCAGGATCAAGCCAGGACTGAAGCTTGAGCCCTTCTTTTTCAGTTTCTTAAACTTAAAAAGAAAAAAAATTCAACACCTTTTTCTTTTTCTTTTCTTTTTTTTTTTTTGAGACAGGGTCTGGCTTTGTTGCCCAGGCTGGAGTGTAATGGTGTGATCATAGCTCACTGCAACCTCAAACTTTTGGGCTCAAGGGACCCTCCTCCTTCAGCCTCCCAAACAGCTAGGAGGACAAACACAAGCCACTGTGCCCGGCTCCACTAATTTTTTTTTTTTTTTTTTTTTGTAGAGAGATGGGGTCTTGCTATGTTGCCCGGGGTGGTCTCAAACTCCTGGGCTCAGGTGATCCTCCTGCTTCGGCCTCCCAAAGTGCTGGGATTCCAGGTGTGAGCCACCTGACCCAGCCTCCTGTTTTATATTACAGAGTTCCTGTATGCTCAATGCCACCAGTGAAAATAATCACGGATATTCACAATCATAATGATAATCATAGGGACCCCTCTGCCACCCCTTTCTCCTGCACACATGAAGCACTTATCTGAAATTGGGGGCCTGCATGGTGGACCCCCAGAGCCATCCATCCTCTGGAGCCTGGAGATGCTGGGGCTGGACTCCGAGATCCTGCCCTGAACCCCTGACCATGCTGAGCACCTTGAGTCGCCAGTCTGCAGGGAGACTCGGGATAACGGGTTGTTCCTGGTGCCATCTCTACTCCTCCACCCTGGCCTGGCCTGAGCCAGCAATGATGCTGGGACTCCTGTCCCTTCCACTGTGGGTCTGGAATCAAGCAGAAGATGTGGAAGAAATCAGGTCCGCGGAGGACTTTCGGCTTCCACCTGGCTGTCAGAGAGGTGGGCAGGGCCAGGAGAGCCGGTCCCTCTCTCCCCTTCCTGGTACCGAGCACAGAGGCAGCTCCCATTCTGGAGTATGGGCTCTGGTCCTGGCCACCTCGTTGGCTAGCTGTGTGAGCCTGACGTTAACTGAGTGACTACTATGTTTGCCAGGCACAGGAGTGGGCGGTGCAGGTTTGGAGGTGAACTAGAAGATAGGGCTCCTGCCTCAACAGCCCGTGGCCTGTCACTGCACAAGTCACTCAAATCATTCCCAAGGCACAGCTGCTTGAGGTGCCACCAAGGCCCAGCTGGGGGATGGGGTGCTGGGAGTGTGTCCTGGAGCATGACCCGGCCTGGGGTGGTCAGAGAGGCTTCTCTCAGGGAGATGCTCTGGTGCCGAGAAGGAAGCGGTGAGTGGAGTCAGGCAGGTGGGGAGGAGGGGGAAGGGCAGACCATGTGGAAGACATCCATATGGACGCCCTGAGCCAGGAGGGGCCTTCACCTCCAGAAACCTCAGTTTCTCCATTGGCAAAGTGGGCGGGATTGGCCTCACCTTCTGGATGTTGGGACGATGGGGCAGAATCGTTCCTGGAAAGCACACGGCCGCGTGCCTGCCTCTCAGATCTCCTGAATAGCCGTTAGAATCACAGATGCTTATGGCGGATCCCCTGAGCTTGTGGGGGTCCCCAGAGACCATCTGGTCCAGTGGTTCTCAACCTGGGTGGTTCTGCCCCCGAGGGGATATTTGGCAATGTCTGGAGACACTTGAGGTTGTCCTAACTTGGGGAGGGGGTGCTACTGGCATCTGTCTGGCAGAGGCTGGAGATGCTGCTAAGTGTCTACTATGCACAGGACAGGCCTGCACGACAGCGACCTGGCCCCGAACGTCAGGAGTGCCGGGGTGGGGAAACCCTGATCTAGTATGAGCCACTTACTTTACTCACAGGGAAACCGAGGGGCGTTGTGGGGAAGGGGTTTGCTCAGGGTCCTCCCCCAGCACAACAGGTTAGTGCCAGGCCAGGGGCACAGGCCCGTGTCCCAGCACCAGAGCAGGTCTGGCGGCAGCGTGTCTGAAGGAGAGAGGGAGGGACTGGCAGGAGGGGAGGGAGGAGGTCCGGGCCTGTGGGAACCTGCAGGAGTGGGGGATGGAGTCACGTCTCTCAGGCATCCTGGGGACAAAATTCTTGGGCATGATCTTCATCATATGCCAGCAGCTCACTCGGGTGCCCACTGCAAGAGGGAGTGTGCAGCTGCTTCAGGGGGTCCTGACTCAGCCAGCCGGTGGCAGATGGGTGGCACGTCAGGCTGGGACCATGGTGTGAAATCCCAGCCTCACAGCTGTGATTTGCAGGGTGGTAGAGGCCTGGGGGTGGCTGGGGTGGCTGGGAAGGTTCAGACCCCCCCATCCCGTCTCTCTGCTCCAGTTGAGGCAGGCTCCCTCCTCCACCTTCTGATGATGAGCAGGAGGTTACGTAATGTTTGGGTAGCAGTCGCTTTACCCATGCGCTTACACGGGGGCGGTGCAGCCTGGCTTGCCGGAGGGGCAGGTGAGGCGGGGAGCCTGGGAGGCAGGAGCCCTGGGTCTGAGCCCTGTTTCTGCTGGTGACTTGCTGTGTGACTTTCGGCCTGTCTCTCTCCCTCTCTGGGCCAGTCTTCTCCATACACAGAGGGTGGGAGCACATCACTGGTTTTCTTTTCTTTCTTTTTTTTTCTTTTGAGACGGAGTCTCGCTCTGTCCCCCAGGCTGGAGTGCAGTGGCGTGATCTCGGCTCACTGCAAGCTCCGCCTCCTGGGTTCTCACCATTCTCCTGCCTCAGCCTCCTGAGTAGCTGGGACTTACAGGCGCCCGCCACCACGCCCGGCTAATTTTTTTGTATTTTTAGTAGAGACGGGGTTTCACCGTGTCAGCCAGGATGGTCTCCATCTCCTGACCTTGTGATCCGCCCGTCTCAGCCTCCCAAAGTGCTGGGATTACAGGTGTGAGTCACCACGCCTGGCCCACCGGTTTTCTTTTCTTTTTTTTTGAGATGGAGCCTCACTTTATCGCCCAGGCTGGAGTGCAGTGGCGTGATCTCGGCTCACTGCAACCTCTGACTCCTGGGTTCAAGTGATTCTCCTACCTCAGCCTCCTGAGTAGCTGGGATTAGAGACATGAGGCACGTGCTTATTTTGTATATATAGTAGAGACAGGGTTTCACCATGTTGGCCAGGCTGGTCTCAAACTCCTGACCTCAAATGATCCGCCCACCTCTGCCTCCCAAAGTGCTGGAATTACAGGCGTGAGCCACCATGCCTGGCCACACCTCAGTGGTTTTCTAACTGTGCCCACAGAGCTCTTAGGTCTCAGCCAGGGTCTCTGGAGGTCCCTGTTCCATGGGGCTCAGGAAGAAGGAGCCAGACGCCAACTGGGCTCTTGTTCCCTCTGCCCCTGCCTGGCAATTTGTGTGTTTATTCATTCACCTCACCGGACAAACATGCCCCAGGACCATGTTACATGCCAGGCCTCATGCGGGTCATCAGGGCACAGCGGTGTCAGGGGGCCTACATTCCGGTGGGGGACTGGCGTGGAGGCACATATGGTATAGCGTGGTACAGGCTCTGCTGGGACAGACAAGTGGGCAGGGGCACAGAGGAGGCCCGGAGGCCTCAGACCTGGGGCTGGGCCGACTTCCTGAAAGCAGCAGCATCTAAGCTGGGGCCTGGCGGGAGAGTGGGTGGGCCCATGTTAAAGAAAGCGATATTCTCACGCTTCTTAAAATGGTCAGGAAGGCTTCACTGGGGACTCTTGCAATAGGTGTCAGGACTATCACAACCTGGGAGAGAGAGGGGAATCAACTCCGAATGCAAGGAAGTGAGGCTTCACAGCCAATGAACAGGGTGAGGGGTCAGCAGATGGAAACTAAGAGGAGGCCTCCAGGGCAGGGGATTCCTGCTGAACTGACTGGGCAGGCTGATGCTGGAGGCGGGACGAGGACTCACACGTGAAGCGAACTGGGGAGGAGGCACTTGATCAGATATCGTGGGGGTGGGGATTCTGGCTACAGCTGGGCCAGGCAGGCTGAAGAGCAGGGGAGGGGCCAGGGGACAGGTCGAGGCCAAGTGAGAAGAGGGCTCAGAGGAGCCTGTCTGAAGTCTGGGTGTGGAGTATGGGGGGTTTGGCAGGAGGAAGCTGGAACATCAGGCTGGGCACCCTCTCATGGACATCACCTCATGGGGGGCTTCTTGGGGCCCCTGCTATTGGCACAGAAGGGAGCTGGGGCCCCACAGTAATAACCTCTGCAGGGGTAACTGGATAGGCCCCCAAAGGCTCCCCACTGAAGCCAGTTTCCCTCTGCAAAGACCTTCACTGCCAGCCTTTCACAGCTGCTCACTGTGCTGGCGCTGTGCACAGCCTCCATCTCCTTAGAGCAGCCCCTGTGAGCCATCTGCAGGGAGGCCTTTGGGTGCCTTTTGTTTTGTCTTTATTGTTTTTAATAACCTTTTAGAATCACTCAAGTAACACAAAGTCATTGTGGATAAGTTAGAAGGTTTGCACGAAGAAGAAGTAACCATCTGACATCCAGAGATGTCTGGTGACAGTTGGGTGTGCCCCCACATGGGTCATTAAGTCCTGGTGCCAGGCATGTTCCCTCCTCTGCCCAGGGGCCCATCCTGGCCTGGGAGTCTGGAGTCATGGGCCAGGCTGAAACAGAAGAAACTCAAAAGAAGCAGGGAGAAGGCAGGTTTAAGGGCCAGGACGGGGGTGGCTGTGTCCCTTCCTCCTGCTGTGGGAAGGGACTTGAGATCCGTGTGCTTTGCTTCCTTCTTGCTTGGCCAATCCAAGCAGGGGCTCAGAACAGACCTCAGGGCTGAGCAGAGGCCAGTAGACCCTGAGAGTCCTGCCAGGCTGCAGGGATTCTGGGTGGGCCTGCGGACATCACATGCACGGGAGGGACGGATGCTGGGGTCGCACACTGGCCGGCAGGGCAGAGGACAGGAGAGGCAGGGCGGGCTCCGAGTCTCACGCATTGCTGTGGATGAATCTCCTGATCTCTCTGTGCCTCAGTGCCTCATCTGTGAAATGGGATGGTTGGGCCGACCTGCCGAGGGAACCACCCTCTCAGCACAGTGCCTGGGTTTGGGCTGCTATTATGGGCTGTTACAAAGGCCTGTGGTTCCTGAGCCAGGACCTACCTCCCTGGGCCTCTGGCACCCTTCAAGGTGTTCTGGGGTGGGGACAGGGAAAGGTGCAGAGGGCTGGCCTATTCACAGCCTCCTGCTTGCTGTGGGCACTGCTGGGACGGTCATGTGCCCGCTATGGTCTGACTCAAGAAGAACTGCCCTCCCTCCCACATCCTGCTCCCTCTTCTCTGCCCTCCCCCATCCTCCTCCTCCCCTCAACCGCCCTCACTCCGGCAGCAGCAGCCACAGTACTGGCAGGAGGCTGGGTGCCTGAGCTTCACCTTCCAGGCCGCAGAATTTTCAGGGTGCCACCCCTGGGTGCCCCACATGTCCCTTCACATGTGCCCAGGATCCATTCCAGCCCCTTAGATTCCTCTTCATTGGGGAGGGGGACGGTGGCTTTTCCATGTGCGTCCTCTCTGTATGGACCCTAATCAGAGTGCCGCGCGCACCATGCGCGGTACTCCCATAACCCTCTCCGATGTTCGAGGGGAGGGTGGAGGCTTTGTGTGGATCACATTAGAATGGGGGACAGTGGGACGTGTGAAAGTCTTCGGTGATCTGGCTTCTCTGAGCGTCGGCCTCTTCAGCATTCACCTTCGATCCCACCTCAGCTGTAGTCCGGGCTTCGAGGACTTGCAAATGTCTTCCTCTCTCTGAGCCTGTTTCTTCATCTGTAAAATGGGCTTCCTCGGCCGGGCACTGTGGCTCACGCCTGTAATCCCAGCACTTTGGGAGGCCGAGGCGGGCAGATCTCCTGAGGTCAGGGGTTCGACACCAGCCTGGCCAACATGGCAAAACCCTGTCTCTACTAAAAATACAAAAATTAGCTGGGTGTGGTGGTACATGCCTGTAATCCCAGCTACTCGGGAGGCTGAGGCAGGAGAATCGCTTGAACCCGGGAGGTGGAGGTTGCAGTGAGCCGTGATCCTGCCACTGCACTCCAGCCTGGGCGACACAGTGAGACTCTGTCTCAAAAAAAAAAAAAAAAGGCTTCCTCGTAGTACCTTCTCAGGGCCATTAGGGGCATCCTGGGAGAGTAAGGTGTGCAGAGTTCCCAGTCGCGTCAGGCCCTGCAAAGCTAATAGCCGGTGTTGGTGATAGATGACCTCTCTCTCTGGCTTCCCGATGTGGAAGGAATCGTCCTCTGAGGAGTGCGTGTCCTCCTGGGGGTGGGGCGGGAGGGGTGGTTAAACTGCCTACAGGAGCCAGTTTGTGAATTGGGTTTAGAACAACACATATTTAAGTTCACAATTCTAAAGATCACACTCTCGACTCATTTTTGTGCTAAGCCCTGTGGTTACATGCACCATGTCCCCTGATACCAACAAGAGGGGTATGAGAACCATCCCTTGTTATGGATGAGGAAACTGAGGCTCAGACAGGTGAGGGCGTTTGCTTGAGGCTGTACAGGCAGTGAATGGCAGAGATCTGTCCTGGGATTGGGAGTGCAAAGCCATTCCGGCGTCAGCCACGTAGGGATCTGGAGGGTTTTGTGCTGGGCACTGGGACTGCAGGGTGGACAAGTCCAGTTGGAACAGCCAGGATCCCCCCATGCTGTTTACCCAGTTCCCTGGGAACAGAGACTGAGGGGCAGGGTGTGGGCATGTGGGAGGAGCCACCTGCTGGCTCCATATGGTGGTCTACCCACCAGCACCAGCAGCAGCCCACCCAGCCTGATGCCAGGAGGGGCTCAGCAGAGAAGGTGGGGAGGTGGGAGGGTCTTGTGCAGGCATGCGGCTTTGGGGAGGCCATTCATGTGACTCTTGTTTTAGCCCCCTTGGGTGGAGCACAGGGCTGGGTGGCCAAGTGCTCACTCTGTGTGCAGTATCTGGGTTAATTCCTATGTCAGTTCGTAACCCCCTTATGCAGACGAGGCTAGGAGAGGTGAAGTCTGTATCCAAGGTCACACTGCTAGTGAGAGGCAGAGGTGGGACTGCGCCTGTGCCTATCAAGTCCATGGCCCCATGGGGCACCATCTCTTTGAACAAGGAGCCACAGCTTTCCTGGGCCCCGGGCAGGCGATGTTGGTGGTGGGTGGGTGATGTTGGCGTCTCCTTTACCCTCTCTGGCCCGGTCTGCTGCCTCCAGGTACAAAGGCTTCATCAAGGACTGCCCCAGTGGGCAGCTGGATGCGGCAGGCTTCCAGAAGATCTACAAGCAATTCTTCCCGTTCGGAGACCCCACCAAGTTTGCCACATTTGTTTTCAACGTCTTTGATGAAAACAAGGTGAGCTGGGGATTGATGGGGCCTGCGGCAGCTGGCTCAGCTCCTGTGGGTACCCGCAGCGTCTCCACACCCACTCTCTCCTGCCGATGTTCCCTTCTAGAGAAGGAACACACACACGAGTGCATACTGACATGCACAGATACATAGTCGCACATAAATGCATGCACATGTACACATGCAGACACACAATAAACACAGATGCATCCAAATGCATGCACATGTGTGCACACATATGTACACCCACACATGTACTGACATGCACATCCAAGCTCTCACACAGACGTGTATGTGCACATGCAGGCGAATACCATGCACACATGTGGGCACACATACATGGAGATGCAGCCACACACGTGAACATACATGTATATTCATACAGTGCACAGAAATGCACACATATGCACACAATGCATGGACTTGCAGGTGCACACACGTGTACACACAGAGAGACATATACACATATGCATATGTATACAGTGCACAACACACATGCATGTATACACATGTACACCCTGACACTTCTCTTACAAGCATAAAATGCAAATACCTCCCATGATAATAACAGGATTAATAATAATAACCAATATTTCCTGAACATTTACTATGTTTAAGCTCTTTACATGGATTTTTTTTTTTTTTGAGACAGAGTCTTGCTCTGTTGCCGAGGCTGGAGTGCAGTGGTGCAGTCTCAATTCACTGCAACCTCTGCCTCCCAGATTCAAGCAATTCCCCTGCCTCAGCCTCCTGAGAAGCTGGGATTACAGGCGCCGTCACCACACCTGGCTAATTTTTGTATTTTTAGTAGAGATGGGGTTTCACCGTATTGCCCAGGCTGGTCTTGAACTCCTGACCTCAGATGATCCACCCACCTTGGTCTCCCAAAGTGCTGGGATTTCAGGTGTAAGCCCCCTTGCCCGGCCATACATGGATTATTTTTAATGAGGCCTTACAAGCACCTGGGAGCTGGGTATTTTAATACCCATTTTGTAGGTCAGGAAACTGAGGCTCTGAGAATCGTAGGCTATAGGATCTTTTGTTCCTGGCGTTTTCCACTGAGCATCATGTTTTCAAGACTTACCATGTGGTAGCTTGTGTCACCTCCGGGCAGTGGCTGCACGGATAGCTGTTGGGTTATCTGCGATGACCCTGATTCTGTCCTGCAGTAGCATTTGAGGGTGGATTTACTGCCACTTGTCTCTGTACCCCCTGCTGCTGGCACCGTGGAGGTTTCTATTCTATCCCATCCCCAGCTTCTCCCAGGTGCCCCCAGGCTGGGAGTCACATGCCTGACCCTGGGAAGGGCTCTTCCCTTCTTGGGCCTCGGTTTCTTCATTTGCAAATAAGAGGTGGAATTAAACAACCTGCAGCGGCCTTTCCTCTGCAAAAGCCCATGAGCCCACAGCTCTAGGCCGAGGGGCTTCCGGGCTGTTGCTGAGAGGAGCTCAGGCATTGGTGCTTCTGGCACCTTCTCCCATCAAGAGTGGAGTAAGCCTCTCCGTTCAGCCTCAGTCCTTCTTCCTGTGCCTCCCTCCTGGCCTCTCCCACTTCTAACCCCCCACACAGTCCCCCAGCCTCTGCTCCCCACCCTCTCCTTGCCTCTCGCCCCCCATTCCTTCGAGCCTGCCCTCTCCACCTGAGTGTCCATTGGCCACAGTGTCTGGAGCCTGCGACTGCCCCTCGCCCGTCCCGAGGTTCAGCCTGACCCGGTGGCCTGGCCGGCACTGACTGAGGCAATCCCCTCTCTCTCCTGTCAGGACGGGCGAATTGAGTTCTCCGAGTTCATCCAGGCGCTGTCGGTGACCTCACGGGGAACCCTGGATGAGAAGCTACGGTGTAAGTCCTGCCCCCTTGGCCCTGTGTGGCAGCAGCTGGAGGGCCCAGGTCAGAGGGAGGCAGCCCTCGGCCCTCACCAGGCAGGGGTGCCAGACACCCACTGCAGTGACCACAGATGGCGTCCCAGCTGTGTCTGCAGAGGGCAGGCCTGGGCCCTGGGCAGGTGGCCCTCACACGGCCACGTAACTAGGCCAGGCTGACTGTCCAGGGTTCAGAGAGCAGCGCAGACATCTGTGCTTCCAGGTGGGAGGGTTTCCTGGAGGCACCGGCAGCAGGAAGGAGCTCGCTGAGGCAGGTGGACAGGGAGGGCTGGGGGCAGAGGCTGGCAGGAGCCTTGGCTGCACTCGGGCAGGTGCAGACTTGGGCCGCAGGAGGGTCGGTGGGGACCCAAGACCCAGGTTCAGTGCCGGACCCACCTCTTTCATAGCCATTGCTTTGATTCTTGCTTTCAGTCATTCACTTACTCACTCATTCATTGACCAAATAACGACTGAATGCAGCCACGTGTTGGTACCAGGGATCCACTGGGGGATAAGATAGATGGGTCCCTGCTCTCAGGGCGATCAGTCTAGAGTGGCAGCAGGATTTAAAAAAAAACCTCAGGAAACTGCAGGCAAGGAGGAGAGAGGGAGTTGTGAGCAGGAGAGGACCTGCCTGGTAGGCGCAGAGCTGGGGATGAGAGGAGCTGGGGATGAGAGGAGCTGGGGAGGGGGCGTTAAGGGCTCCAGCCAGGGGGCCCGCGTGTGCGAGGCCCAGTGGAGGGAGGCTGAGAGGGAGTTGGGAGGGGAAGCTGTGCAGGCCCCTGGCGGCATTAGGAGGAATGCAGGGTGCGTGGAGGGGAGGGAAGATGGAAACCAGCTGGCCAGAACTCCCTGCTCAGTAAGACTTTCACACTTCAGTCCATCGGCAGCAAGAAGACCCTGCAGTTTCTTTTTCTTTTTCTTTCTTTCTTTTTTTTTTTTTTAAGAAATAAAAGAGAACTTTATTTATGCAAAAGCTCCTCCTCTCAATGCACTATTTTATTTTCTAATGTTGACTGTAGCAGGCCACACCATAATTGTGGGAGCAGAGTGGACTGTGGGGAGGAGGTGGGGGCTGGAGTTGGGGGAAGGAGAGGGGTGCTCCTCTGGGTAACATCCCAGGCCCCGGGCTCTCCCACGCACTCAGCTCCAGCCACTGATACCTCGGCCCTGGCAGCCCAATGCCCCATCCCTTTATTTTATTTGTTTATTTATTTATAGACAGAGTCTCGCTCTGTTGCTCAGGCTGGAGTGCAGTGGCACAATCTCGGCCCACTACAATCTCTGCCTCCTGGGTTCAAGCAATTCTCCTGCTTCAGCCTCCCAAGTAGCTGGGATTACAGGCATGTGCCACCACACCTGGCTAATTTTTGTGTTTTTAGTAGAAATGGGGTTTCGCCATGTTGGCCAGGCTGGTCTCGAACTCCTGACCTCAGATGATCCACCCACCTTGGCCTTCCAAAGTGCTGGAATTACAGGTGTGAGCCACCGTGCCTGGCCCTGTTATTTTTAATATATATATATATAAAATATTTAATATATATATAAAATATCATATATATATATATATATATATATATATATATATATAGAGAGAGAGAGAGAGAGAGAGAGAGAGAGAGAGAGAGAAAGAGAGAGTCTTGCTCTGTCACCCAGGCTAGAGTGCAGTAGTTCGATCTCGGCTTATTGCAACCTTCGCCTCCTGGGCTCAAGCCATCCTCTCACCTCCTCCCAAGTAGCTGGAACTACAGGCGCCCGCCACCACACCTGGCTAATTTTTGTATTTTTAGTAGAGAAGGGGTTTCATCCTGTTGGCCAGGCTGTTCTCCAACTCCTGACCTCAGGTGATCTGCCCGCCTCGGCCTCCCAAAGTGCTGGGATTATAGGGGTGAGTCACTGTGCCTGGCCCTGTTATTTTTAATTTATAAATAAATAAATATATATATACACATAAATATAAATTATGTATATATAAATATATATACATAAATATAAATTATGTATATATAAATATATATACATAAATATAAATTATGTATATATAAATATATATACATAATACATAAATATAAATTATGTATATATAAATATATATACATAAATATAAATTATGTATATATAAATATATATACATAAATATAAATTATGTATATAAATATATATACATAAATATAAATTATGTATATAAATATATATACATAAATATAAATTATGTATCTATAAATATATATACATAAATATAAATTATGTATCTATAAATATATATATGTGTGTGTGTATATATATATACGTATATATATATGTGTATATATATATACGTATATATATATGTATATACAGAGAGAGAGAGGGAGAGAGACTTGCTCTGTCACCCAGGCTGGAGTGCAGTGGCTTGATCTCGGCTTATTGCAAACTTCGCCTCCTGGGCTCAAGCCATCCTCCCACCTCAACCTCCCAAGTAGCTGGAACTACAGGCACCGCCACCAGGCCTGGCTAATTTTTGTATTTTTGTAGAGACGGGGTTTTGCCATGTTGTCCAGGCTGGTCTCGAACTCCTGGGCTCAAGCAGTCTGCTCACCTCAGCCTCCCAAAGTCCTGGGATTACAGGTGTGAGCCACCATGCCCAGCCTTATTTTTTTTAACCCTAGTTGCAATGGTGTGTGTGTGTCTGTCCCTGTCTATCCTGATGTAAATATTAGTTGACCTGATGAGGAATGGGCCATCCGGTCGCTGACTTCATGTTGGGGTACAGAGAGGAGGGGCGAGTTGAAGACCCCTCCCCACTGCCCCAGCCCAGGATCACTCAGCAGTGCTGCTTGCTTACAGGGGCCTTCAAGCTCTACGACTTGGACAATGATGGCTACATCACCAGGAATGAGATGCTGGACATTGTGGATGCCATTTACCAGATGGTGGTGAGAAGCCGGGTCTCGTGTGGTTAGGGGTGGCAGGAGGGGCAAAGCCAGTGACTGAGAGACAGAGAGAGAGCACTTGTGCAGCCATGCTCCTGCCCAGGGTGGAAGCAGGGGTCACTGGCTGAGCCGTTCTGTACATCTCTGCCTGGGCAGGCAGGCACAAGCTGGTAGATAGTGGGGCTGGGGTGTGGGATGTTCCAGGGCACAATGGCAGGGATGGGGAGGGGAAAGAAGAGGGGGGCGGCCCTCATCTGGAAACTGCCAGGTCTGGGGGGCAAATGCGTGGCCAAGAGCCCAAAGCCCAGAGTGCCAGGGCCCACCCCCGCCTTGTCCGTCCCTGCAGGGGAATACCGTGGAGCTCCCAGAGGAGGAGAACACTCCTGAGAAGAGGGTGGACCGGATCTTTGCCATGATGGATAAGGTGAGGTGGGGGGGCGGGGCTGGTCCTGGACCAGGGAGGCAAGGTGTCGGGGGCAGGAATTGGAGTCCCTGGATCCTGGGCCTGGCTTTGCTGCCAACCTCCTCCATGGCTCACGGCAGGCGGCACGGTGTCCTATCCCTGCTCAGCAGCTAGCCCCATCCAGTGTCCAGAGTCTTAAGTCAGTTTGCTCAGCATGTTTTCTTTAATCAACCAGAGTCCTTAGCCTTTTTTTTTTGTTTGCCATGGACCCCTTTGGCATTCTGGAGAAGCCTACAGACTTCTCAGCATAATGGCTTTAAGCGCATAAAATAAAATCCATAAGATCAAAAAGGAAGCTGATTATTTTAGAAAACAGCTGTCAGAGTATTTTAAAAAAAGAATCTGTGATGTAGCGTTCTGTGAGCTGCTTTCTTAACGCATTCACTAAGATGTAGTGGTGGGTCCAGCAACCCCCGAAATTGCGAGCTGTAATATCTGCAGCAACTAGGGTGTGTTATGAAAATACCTGTGATCCCTACTGTCGACAGATCACAGGTACTGCAGGTCCTGTTGGGGACCGTCGCCTAGGTTTCCATCAAAGGAAAAGCTACATTTCAGTTAGAGGTTAGTAAAAAAAGGCTGATTTTTTTTCCCCCAAGTTCATAGACCTGCTGACTTCTATCCACAGGCCCAAGGTTAAGAAACCCTTCTCTTTTTTTTTGAGACAGAATCTTCGCCCTGTCACCCAGGCTGGAGTGCAGTGGCGGGCGCGATCTCGGCTCACTGCAAGCTCTGCCGCCTGGGTTCACGCAACTCTCCTGCCTCAGCCTCCCGAGTAGCTGGGACTACAGGCGCATGCCACCATACCTGGCTAATTTTTTGTATTTTTAGTAGAGACGGGATTTCACCGTGTTAGCCAGGATGGTCTCGATCTCCTGACTTCGTGATCCACCAGCCTCGGCCTCCCAAAGTGCTGGGATTATAGGCGTGAGCCACCGTGCCTGGCCAAGAAACCCTTCTTTAAAGGGAACCAAAGCCAGGTGTGGTGGCTCACACCTGTAATCCCAGCATTTTGGGAGGCCGAGGCGGGTGAATCACCTGAGGTCAGGAGTTCGAGACCAGCCTGGCCAACATGGTGAATCCCTTTCTCTACTAAAAAAAAAAAAAAAAAAAAATCCGGGAGGCAGCAGTTGCAGTGAGTGGAGATCGCGCCATTGCACTCCAGCCTGGGCAACAGAGTGAGACGCAGTCTCAAAAAAAAAAAAAAAAATTATCCAGGCATGATGGCACATGCCTGTAATCCCAGCTACTCGGGAGGCTGAGGGAGGAGAATTGCTTGAACCTGGGAGGCAGAGGTTGCAGTGAGCCGAGATCACACCACTGCACTCCAGCCTGGGCAATAAGAGTGAGACTGTCTCAAAAGAAAAAAAATAAAATAAAAGGAACCATAGACACTGGAGCCTACTTGAGGGTGGAGGGTGAGAGGAGGGTGAGGATCGAAACCCACCTATTATCAGGTACTATGCTTATCACCTGAGTGACAAAATAGTCTGTACAGCAAACCCCCACAACACAGGATTTACCTATATAACAAACCTGCACATGTATCCTTGAGCCTAAAATAAAAGCCTAAAAAAAGGGACTCCAAAGAAATAAGGAATCCTTCTTTAAATCAAACTTACTTAAAACTAAAATAACTTAAATGTAAATTTGAAATAATGACGTTAGGGAAATCCAGGTGTTACGTGCCTTCAGCAAAATAACATAAAATGGTCAGGTGCGGTGGCTCACACCTGTCATCCCAGCACTTTGGGAGGCCAAGGCGAGTGGATCACTTGAGCTCAGGAGTTTGAGACCAGCCTGGGCAACGTGATGAAACCCCGACTCTACAAAAAATACAAAAATTAGCCGGGTGTGGTGGTGTGCACCTGTGGTCCCAGCTACTCGGGAGGCTGAAGTGGGAGGATGGCTGGAGCCTGAGAAACCAAGTCTGCTGTGAGCCGTGATGGTGCCATTGCACTCCAGCCTGGGTGACAGAGTGAGACCCTGTCTCAATCAATCAATCGATCAGTCAATCATAGAAATTCCTGTAACGCAGGGCTGCTTATTAGATTCTGGCTGGAGACAGCTGTTTGCCCTAAAAGCTTTGACCTGAGGCCTGTACTTTCTTAATTAAAAAAGGGAGATTAGCCCATGTTAGAGGAGTGGTAGAGACGTGCTGGCCTCAGACCCAGCTGGCGTCTTGGTAATGATCAAAAGATTTATCGACAGAGTGTGGAGCACGGAATAATAAGTTTCTCGTGGTGTGCGTCCACGTGGCTTAAGGCCAAGGCCGCACATTCCTTACTGTCCCCCTGTCTGCACTTCCGTCATTTTGGGAAACAGCACAGACCCTGTAGTCACACTGACTGGGGTGTGAATCTGACTTCTCCGTTTCCCAGCCCTGGGGCCTGGGTAGGTGACGGAGCCTCAGCTTCCTCACTGGTAAAATGGGGATGAGAGCAGCACCCCCTTCTTGGCTTGGCCGTGAGGGTTCCATACACTGAGGGTTGCGCCGAGCTTGGCATATGTCGTGTACGCAGCGAGCGATCCCTGAGCACAGCTCGGTTGTGCTCATCGGCGCTGTTTTCGGCACTTACCCTCTCTGGATACCCGAGATCGAGTAGGTGCTCTCCGTGGCCTTTTCCTTGTGGTCCGCCGGCTTCCTTGAGAGATGCTCCGGGGAAGGGATTCTGGCCCAAACATCCCCTCCCCGAGAGACCCACTAAAATTCCTCTTTCTGAGCCATGTCCAGCCCCCTGCCGGGTCTCCCAGGGTCCAGTGTGGGCTGCTCCAGGAGCAGTTTAAATGCCCTTCCAAGAGTGACCCCAGAGAACTGCACGAGGCTCTCAGCCTTGTCAGTTACTCACATTGATGGGGTTTAATAGCATTAACCATGACACGTGTGGAGTTACAGGGCACTTCCAGTTGGTCAAGCACAGAGCTGTCACCCGAGTGCCTGGAGGAAGCCAGGTAATTACCCTCCATCCCCAGGTGAAGAAACATGCCCAGAGAGGTGGGCCACGGCCCAAGGCCACCCTGCCATGAGTGCCGAGGTCTGTCTGGTGCTGGCTGCTTGTAGGCCCTGAGCCACGTTGCCTCCCTCCTGATCTAACCTTGGAAGGGCTCTTGGGACCGGCCCTGGGCTGGGCTTGTCTAGAGCCCTCTCCTGGGAGGCCCTGCACCCTCAGCCGCCTCTCTCTGCTCACAGAATGCCGACGGGAAGCTGACCCTGCAGGAGTTCCAGGAGGGTTCCAAGGCAGACCCGTCCATTGTGCAGGCGCTGTCCCTCTACGACGGGCTGGTATAGTCCCAGGCTGGAGCTGGGTGAGTGCAGACTCGGGGCCTGGGGTGGGTCTGGGATGGGTCAGGGGTGAAAACCCAGCAGCAGGACACCTACGGTTGGCAGGTAATTACCTGGGTCTCTGGGGGTGTTGTGGTCAGCCTAGCAGGGACATAGCTGGGAGGAGGAGGCTGGAAGGGGGGCCTTCAAATTGGTCAGAGCTCCTCTGTTTTGATCATTTTTATAGACCCAGATCAGCCTGCGAGTTTGCTTGAACAGAATTTTTCTGGGCGCGGTGGCTCACGCCTGTAATCCCAGCACTTTGGGAAGCTGAAGCAGGCGGATCACCAGGTCAGGAGTTCAAGACCAGCCTGACCAACATGGTGAAACCCCGTCTCTACTAAAAATACAAAAATCAGGCGGGCGTGGTGGTGCGCACCTAGTCTCAGCTACTTGGGAGGCTGAGGCAGGAGAACCGCTTGAACCCAGGAGGTGGAGATTGCAGTGAGCCGAGATCGTGCCACTGCACTCCAGCCTGGGTAACAGAGTGAGACTCCATCTCAAAAAAAAAAAAAAAAAGAAAAGAAAAAAAAAAAAAGAAAAGAATTGTCCTGGGTGGAAGACACTTTGAAAATTAGTTCCCAACCAGGGCCAGGGACCTGGGAGAGCAATTTCTTATCCCCTCTCTGAGCAGCCGGTTGAAGACCTAACTAAGCTCCTAGCTGTCACAGAATGATAGCACGCCTGGCAGAGGCCCCTGTTGCTGGTAGAGAGCTGTCTCCCTTCTTTCCTTCTCCTCTCCTCCCTTCTCCCCTTTTTTCCTGCCTCTTCTTTGTGGAGTGTTCAATGTAGTCTGCGGGGAGTGGGTGTGAATAACGTCCAAGGTATTGTCCAGAGATCAGCGTTCTTGTCCACGTCCTGGTGAACCAGTGGATGCCTGCTGTTGGTGTATATGTAAGGGTAGAATTGCTGGGACATAGGATATGTGTAATATTTAGCTTTGGTAGTTACTAGAAAACAGTTTCCAAAGTGGTTGTGCTGTTTTGCGGTCCCACTAGTAGTGTATGAGAGTTCCAGTTGCTCCACATCCTTGCCAACACTGGGTATTTTCTGTCTTTTCAAATTTTAGCCATTTTTGTGAGTATGGAGTAATAACTTGTTCTAAGTTTACTTTGCATTTCTCTGATAAGCAGTGACGTTGAATGCCTTGTTATAAGTGTATCACCCATTTTAATGTGCTCATTTGTGATGTGCTAGGTTAGTTATCCATTGCTACATATTACATTACCACAAACAGCAGCTTAAGAACAAACATTAGGAATTTGGCACAGTTAAGCTGGGTGCCTCTGGCTCAAGGACTCTCAGGAGTATGCAGTTCAGCTGTCAATAGGGTTTGCCCAGGTCTATCCTGGATTTAGCAGTGCAAGTTCCCTGTTCTAGGAAACTTCTCAGTCCCGGGAAAATTGGGATACTTGTCAGCCATTGGCCAGGGCTGTGGTCTCATCTGAAGGTTTGGCTGGTGATGACCTGCTTCCAAGCTCACTCATGTGGTTTGGCAGCCTTGTTCCCTTGCCATGTAGACACCTGCACAGGGCTGCCTCACAATATGGCTGCCGGCTTCCCTCAGAGCTTTCCAAGAGAGAAGGAGAGAAAGAGAGCCAGGATGAAAGCCAGTGTCTTTTTATAGCATAATCTTGGAAGTGATATCCATCACTTTTTCTTTTTCTTTCTTTTTTTTTTCTGCGACTGGGTCTCACTCTGTTACCCAGCCACCAGGTCATGGCTCACTGCAGCCTCAACCTCCCAGACTCAGACGAGCCTCCCACCTCAGCCCTCAGCTTTCCAAGTAGCTGGGACTACAGACATTTGCCACCATATCTGGCTAATTTAAAAAAAAAAGTGTTTTTTTTGTTTGTTTGTTTTGTTTTGTTTTTTTTCTGTAGTGTAGAGATAGAGTCTCACTATGTTGCCCAGGCTGGTCTGGAACTCTTGACCTCAAGTGATCCTCCTACCTCGGCCTCCCAAAGTGCTGAGATTACAGGTGTGAGCCACTGCACCCAGCCATAGATTGGTTTTTGAATGCTAAGTCACCTTGCATTCTTAGAATAAACTCCACTTTGCTGTGATGTGTTATTTTTTTATGTATCATAAAATTTGATTTGTTGGCATTTTGTTTAGGAGGTCTACACTGTTTTTTTCTTTCTTTCTTTCTTTTTTTTTTTTTGAGACAGGGTCTCACTCCATCACCTAGGCTGGAGTGCAGTGACATGATTTCAGCTCACTGCAGCCTCTGCCTCCTGGGTTCAAACAATTCTCCTGCCTCAGCTTCCCGAGTAGCTGGGACTATAGGCACCTGCCACCATGGCGCCTGGCTAATTTTTCCATTTTTAGTAAAGATGGGGTTTCACCATCTTGGCTAGGCTGGTCTCGAACTCCTGACCTCAGGTGATCCACCCACCTCAGCCTCCCAAAGTGCTGGAACTGCAGGCGTGAGCCACCATGCCTGGCCAGGCCTACACTGTTTTGAAGCGTCTGTTATTATTATTATTATTTTTCACAAGAAATCCTTTTTCATTGAAGAGACATTGAAAATATGTTTAATGAGAAAACCTCAATTAAAAAGTTTATTTTAAAAAAAACCCCTTATGTATGACTCAGATATAATCACAGTGAACATTTTAGTGTCCAGAGTGATTTTAAAAGAATTGAACACTTACAAAACTTAACACTCAGTAAACTGAGTCACACAGAAATTATATAATTAAAACCAATTTATAAAGGAACTATCACTGTTATTAATATTTCTTTTTTTTTTTTTTTCCAAGATGGAGTCTCCCAGGCTGGAGTGCAGTGGCGTGATCTTAGCTCACTGCAACCTCTGCCTCCTGGGTTCAGACAATTCTCATGCCTCAGCCTCCCAAGTAGCTGGGATTACAGGTGCTTGCCACCACGCCCGGCTAATTTTTGTACTTTTAGTAGAGATGGGGTTTCAGCATGTTGGACAGGCTGGTCTCGAACTCCTGACCTTGTGATCCACCCACCTCAGCCTCTCAAAGTGCTGGGATTACAGGTGTGGGCCATCGCGCCTGGCCAATATTTCCATCATAGAAATGTTTGACGTGTACCTTGACATGTCCCATGGTGAATGCTGATCCGTTGTCTAATTTTTCACAGTCCTCTTTTGCAAATCACCATGTCATATTATTTCCATGACAAGCTTGTCAAAGTGACAAGAGCCCTCGCATGATATGATCCCCCTTTCTATTAGCTCTGCTGGGAAATGGCCTTCTTTCTTCTATAGGGCTGTTCCTTGTGCCTACGCGGTAGTGATTATATCCAATTTGTGTTCTATCATTTTAATGATTTATTTGCCTCCTCAGGTTCCTGATAGCTCATAATTCCTAGATCACTTGCAGTGATGTAAGTCATTGACTTATTCAGAAACTGAGATGAGGCTTATTTTCCACATCATTAAATGTTGAGCCATCATTTTTCATAGCTGCATAATGCTCCATCACATGGCTGGGCCATAATTTAACCAGTTCCACAGTGTTGGACACTCAGGTTGTTGGGAATTTGGGGAAGGGATTAAAAAGTTATCTATTATGGGCCAGGCGCACTGGCTCATGCCAGTAACCCCAGCACTTTGGGAGGCTGAGGCAAGTGGATCACTTGAGGTTAGGAGTTCAAGACCAGCCTGGGCAACATGGTGAAACCCCGTCTCTACAAAAAATACAAAAATCAGCCAGGTGTGGTGGCGGGCACCTGTAATCCCAGCTATTTGGGAGGCCGAGGCAGGAGAATTGCTTGAACCTGGGAGGCGGAGGTTGCAGTGAGCCAAAACCACTCCACTGCACTCCAGCCTGGGTGACAGAGTGAGACTCTGTCTGAAAAACAAAACAAAACAAATTATCTGTTATGGAAACATTCATACACAGTGGCAGAGAGAATAGTGTAATGCTGAGTGGGCGCCTGTGGTCACTCACACCTATCATCCCAGTGCTTTGGGAGGCCGAAGTGGGAGGACTGCTTTAGGCCAGAAGTTTGAGTCCAGCCTAGGCAACATAGAGAGACTCTGTCTCTACAAAAAATATGAAAATTAGCCAGGTGTGGTGGCACATGCCTGTAGTCCCAGCTACTCAGGAAGCTGAGGCAGGAGGATCCCTTGAGCCCAGGAGTTAAAGGCTACAGTGAACTAGGATTGTACCACTACACTCCTGCCTAGGTGACAGTGTAAGACTCTGTCTCTTTAAAAAAAAAAAAAAGTGTAATGTTTTGTACTCATCACTCAGCTTCCGAATCCCCAGTTCCCTGCCAATCTTGTACCATCTGTGCCCTCCCCCCCCACCCCCACTCTTGTGATTTTGAAGCAAATTCAAGACATCATCATACTTAATCCATTTCAAAATGTATTTCTAAAAGATAAAGATTCTTTGAAAAATTCATAAAGCAAAAGCAATCAATAATTCCTTAATATCCTCTGATCTCTAGTTGCTATTCTAGTTTCCTGTTATCTTACTCTTTTTTTTTTAACTTTGTTTACTGAAATCAGAATCAGAATAAAGTCTACCCATTGTAATAGGTTGATAGGTCTCTTAAATTTATTTAGACCATGTGCAGTGGCTGACGCCTGTAATCCCAGCACTTTGGGAGGTCGAGCTGTGTGGATCACTTGAGCCAAAGAGTTCAAGACCAGCCTGGGCAACATGGTGAAACCCTGTCTCTACCAAAAATACAAAAATTAGCTGGGTGTGGTGGCGGGTGCCTGTAGTCCCACCTACTTAGGGGTGCTGAGGCAGGAGGATTGCTTGAACCAGGGAGGGTGAGGCTGCAGTAAGCTGAGATTGCACCACCGCACTCCAGCCTGGGTGATAAAGTGAGATTTTATCTCAAAAAAAAAAAACTTTAATTTTGTTTATTTTTTATGTATTTATTTTTTTGAGGTGGAGTCTCACTCTTTTTGCCCAGGCTGGAGTGCAATGACGTGATCTTGGCTCACTGCAACCTCTGCCTCCTGGATTCAAGCGATTCTCCTGCCTCAGTCTCCTGAGTAGCTGGGATTACAGGCACACACCACCACGCCCAGCTAATTTTTGTATTTTTAGTAGAGATGGGGTTTCACCATGTTGGCCAGGCTAGTCTCGAACTCTTGAACTCAGGTGATCCGCGTACCTTGGCTTCCTAAAGGGTTGGGATTACAGACATGAGCCACCTCACCTGGCCTGAGTATGGATTTTTGGTTCTTTGGGTATATACCTAGGAGTGGAGTTGCTGGGTCATATGGTTAACTCTATGTTTAACTTTTTGAGGAACCACCAAACTGATCTCCAAACTAGTGACAGCATTTTGCATTCCCACCAGCAAAGGACAGAGGTTCCAGTTTCCCACATCCTTGCCAACGCTTGTTATTTTCCATGAAAAAAAAAAAAAAGGTAGCCATCCTAGTGGGTGTGAAGTGGTTGCCTCACTGTGGTTTTTTGTTGTTGTTGTGGTTTTTGTTTTTTGAGACAGGGTCCCACTCTGTCTCCCAGGCTGGAGTGCAGTGATGCAATCTCGGCTCACTGCAACCTCTGCCTCCCAGGTTCAAGTCATTCTCCTGTCTGAGCCTCCCAAGCAGCTGGAATTATAGGTGTGCGCAGCCACGTCCGGCTAATTTTTGTATTTTTGGTAGAGACCGGGTTTCACTGTGTTGGCCAAGCTGGTCTTGAACTCCTGGCCTCAAGCGATCCTCCTGCCTTGGCCTCCCAAAGTGCTAGATTTACAGGTTTGACCCACCACTCCTGGCCCTCCCTGTGGCTTTGATGTGTGTTTCCCTAATGACTAGGGATGTTGGGCATCTTTTCATGTGTTTATCGACTGTTCTATGTGTTGTTTTTAATGGTTTGTAAACTGTTTTATCCTGTGGGTGTGTCCTAATGTATCCCACCACTCCTCTGATACTGGACACTTAGATTGTTTTCTCTGCTTCCATTTTTGTTTTCTGTTTTCTGCTATTACAGATGGTGCAGTGGTAAACATTTATTTATTAAGGATAAATATAGGCTGGGCACGGTGGCTCACGCCTGTAATCCCAGCACTTTGGGAGGCCGAGGCGGGTCTATCATGAGGTCAGGAGTTCGAGACCAGCCTGGCCAAGATGGTGAAACCCTGTCTCTACTAAAAAATGCAAAAAGAAATTAGCCAGGCATGGTGGCGGGCGCCTGTAATCCCAGCTACTTGGGAGGCTGAGGCAGGAGAATCGCTTGAACCCAAGAGGTGGAGGTTGCAGTGAGCCGAGATTATGCCACTGCACTGCAGCCCAGGTGACAGAGCAAGACTCCAACTCAAAAAAAAGCAAACAAAAAAAAACCAAAAAACCCAAAGGGTGCCTCAGAGGTTATGCACATTTTTAGGACTTCTGACATAGAATGCCAGCTTGCCATCTATCGACCTTCCTGCCAGCTCTCTGTGCCTATCCTCCGTGGCCAGACCTTAACCCCTATCCGCTGTGGCTGGATCTTAACCCATCTTGCCTCCTTGTGTCTTCCAGATGCCTGGGAACCACTCACCTCCTTCTGTGCCATGAGGCCACCTCAGCCCTGACACCAACCCCGTGCGTCCACCCAGCCTTCTTCCGCATCCACACACAGCCGGCTGCCCTTGACCCGGGAGGCCCCGGCTCTCCTCTCCCCTGTCCTGCACCCATCCCCCGCCTGAAGCCACCGGCTCCAATTGCCAGCAACCTCTGCTTGTCCGGAAAACGACAACACGAAATGGAAAAGGCTACAGCCCTCTGCATAAACCAAGGACTTGGCTGCCTCGCAGGCAGCCTCCGTTCCTCCCGCTCTCTTGCGCGTGTGCTTTTGTTTTTTATTTTGAACAGACGTTTTAAAAGAAAAAAAAACAACTACCTTCTGTCCTAGAAGACACAGACTGACAGATGGGGTGAAGGCCTGGGGACCTCAGAGAACTCTGCCTTGCCCTCGTCCCTCGTCCTTCGGCAGCCGGAGAGGCTGTGGGTGGGCCGAGGGTGTCTAGGGGTTCTGCCTGGTCAACGTTATTTGTCGTCCCATCTTTTGGCAGCAAAACCACCTGCGTGGCTAGGATGATTAATTATGAGGATGATGATTTTTTTTGTGATAACAGTATTGTGCTTTTTGTGGGGAAAGTGAGGTTTTTTTTTATATACATATATAATTGATATCTTTAATTTATTGGTTGTTAACTGTTGCTGCTGCCTGGTGTGTCCTCAGCTCCCAGGGCTGCGGGCCCACCGTTTACATGTGCACGCCCTGACCCACCTGCCCACGCCGACTTGGGAGGATGGTGGCCTGCAGCGGCCAAGAAGCCAAAAAAAATTTTTTTTTTTTCAGATACTGTGCTTGATTTTTGGAGAGGGGAGAGGTGGAAATTCCTAAATGGCTAATGCACTGTTCCCTCCAGCCCGAATGCCTCCTGCCAAACCCCTTTTCCCTGCTGCCTCTGTCCCCGCATCCTTGTTCTCCCCTGGGTCCGTAACATTTTTTCCGAGGATGAACAGGGGACATCTTTAGGTTTCTCAACTCTTGCTTTGGTGTTTGCCGCAGCATGGAAAACAGGGCGCCTAAGGCTGGGAGCTGGAAGAAGGGGCATTGGGTACCCAGGCAGAGTCAGGAGAGGTGGTCTTTGAAGTAAGTTAGCAGAAATCAAGGGGACCCCCGCCTCCTTGGGCTGGGGAGGGGATTTCAAGATAGTTCATGACTCTCTCCCGCTCTGCCTTCCCTCCTTCCTATCTGCTTTTTCCAGTAAACTGCATGGTGTCCTTCCCTGGCCTTCTCTTGGCTCAAAGGCTGGGAGGGAGGGAAGGAGAGAAGAGTTCCAGGCAATCCCATCAATATAGTCCCTACACCTGGGGCTGCGGCCCACATGTCTTCACGGAGGCTTCCAGCGGTGCCTGCCACTGAGGCAGGTGCGGCCCCAGGACCATCACCAGGAATGCGAGGCCACCCTGGACCAGAGGTAGGAGCCCAAGGTCCGGCCCTTGCTCTTTGATTGTGGGCAGCCTCCTGCCCTCTCTGGGTCTCAGTTGCCCCATCTGCAGAGCGAGGAGGCCCGGGCTGGTTGGTCTTGAAGGCCCTTTTCCATGCCGACATCATGTCACTCTAGGCCTGGGGTTCAGTTTCCTGTGGCTGGTGATGCTGTGGTTAAGTTTGCTTGACCCCAGCAGCCCGAGGGACTGTCTGAGTCACAGCACAGCCCCTATTGCGTGGCTGCTGGTGTGTGGGGTCAGTTCCAGCAGATGAATGTGTCATGTGGCACACCTTGTCCCTTCCCGCAGCATTTCCTGGTTCCCCCCAGACCCTTGAGCGCTCTTTGGGACCCAGAAGGAGTCCTTGCACAGGGAAGGCTTGAGGTGAGAAGCCGCTTCCCAGACTGTCAGGGCCAGGCCTGGGTCTAGAATTCTTGCTGCTGCTTTGCAGAGTCAACAGCCCATCAGCCCATGTTTTAGAGGGGACACTTTGGTCCTCGGTTCCCACCCTCAGCAAGCAGGCCTCCAGCCCGAGGAAGGCCTCTGCCGTAGTGACGTTGCCGTGTGGGGCTGCGTGGCTGTTCCCCTTGGCTGGAGCATTCAGCCAACCCCAGCGTCCCCCCTGAGGCGTTCATTGGCAGCCCCCTAGGACTGCACGCTGGCCCCACGGTAACCCCCCCTCCCCCACCAACATCCTGCAGGGATGGGGTCAGTGGTTCCACCTTCACAGGCCACTTTGAAGGGTGGATTCTTTGAGGCCCCTGCCAGTCGGCTCCCTGCTCAGCTGCTGGCCCGGGCGACCTGGGACTCAGCACCAACGGCTGAAGTTTCTCAGCTGGGCTCTGACCTGGGGTCTGGGGCAGGGAACGAACATGGTGGCTTTGGGCTGAGAGGATGAGGGAGGTCTTTCCCAGGTCAAATTACTTTCCTTTGGCCTCTGCCTGAGGCTCGATTTGCCTCTCTGGTCCAATGGGACTGACACTGTTGTACAACCTGACCTGTGGCTGAGGGTGTCTGGGCTTAAGCATGTGGACCCCTTCGGTGTGTCCGGCCTTCCTCCATCGTCCTGCCCTTTGGCCTTTTGGTTTGAAGCCACAGGTGTGGCTTCTGGCCTTAGCAGATGGTATGCTTGCGGACCGCAGCCCAGCATGCCGGTGGGCCCACAGCCCGAGCCAGCCCAGAGCTGCCGGAAGGGCCGCCCTTCCCGGCCCTGGCGGGGTGCTGGACACTGGCCATTTTCACTAGAGTTTGCCTGGCAGGGACCGATCTCTGCCCCCTCCTCTCCCCAGGCCTCTGGCTGCAGTGATGCCGCAGAATCCTGAGCCAGGTGCCTCCTGAGCAGCCCGTGCGCCTCTCCACAGCGGCGTTTGCCACCCAATGCGGCTCGCTTCAGATGCTCTGATGCAGAGGGCACGCCCATAGTCCCTCTGCAGAGCCTCGCACTGGGGCCAGGGCAGGCACCAGCCCCAGGCGGCCAGTCGGCCACGGCCTGTCCTCTTCCTCGTAGCGTCTGCTCCTCACTTTGTGTTGATGGTGACTTAGGAGAATGTTCCGATTTTCCATGATCTAAGCAGGCCACGTTTAAAATAACATCAAGGCAAGCGTACGTGTCACCCTCTGTACTGACATCTCTTCCCCTGAAATGCTTTTCAGTTTGACAGCCCGTTTCCTAGACAAGTGCACCTGGGGTTTCAGGAACTTTGTGTTTTTTCGGAGGGGGTTGGTGGGGAGGTCGGGATGCCTGGGATCCCTTCCTGGAGAGGCAGGCTGTCTCTGGAAAAAGCCTCCATTGCCCACCCGCCAGGCGGAAAGTCACCCTGTTCCCAGCGCGGTTTCAGCATTTAATTTTAAGGGAGCTAAGGAAGCGCGGCGCGCCCCCTGGTGGTGGTAAGCCGCCAACGCACCTGGGGGCTGCAACCCCACCGGACGGGTGGTCCGGAGGGAGGCTGGAGCGGGGAGGCGAGGAGGGGGCTGTGAGTCCTCAGAGGCCCTGGGCCACCACATTTCTGGCAGCGTTTCCCAGACACCCCTCTGCTAGGCCATCCCTGGATAGCAAGTGAATTAACTTAAGGGCACTGTGATGGGAAGCCTTGCCCCCCTCTTTTTTTTTTTTTTTTAATATCTGCGGAATAAACCCAATGGTTAATTTTTGAATGAATAAAAGGCTTTTGTTGAATAAACAGCTGGTCCCATCTTCTGTCTTGGCATCTTAGCATCCAGGCTCAGGCTCTGCCCCTTCTCCAGGATGGGGTAGCCCCGAGTCGCCCTCCCCAGTCTGCACATTCCCTGTTGTCCCTGTTCCTGCAGTGGCTCCCGGCCCCAGGGAGGCCCACCTCACTCCCAGCCTGACTCGGTGGCTGGCTTCCTTCAGGACTTTGCGCAAGTCAGTTCTGCTCATTGGGTCTCAATTTCCCCATCCCTTGGATGGGAGCAAGAGTCTCTGCTGGGCCTGCCTCGCAGGGGCCTGGTGAGACCCAAATGTGAGTGTCATCATCAAAGCCCCTCACAGAAGTGGAGGACGGTGCCCAAGAGTAGCGGTTTGGACTGCTGCTGCCTCCCACCCGGAGCCTGCCACTTGGGGGAGAAATTGGTATAATGCTTGCAAAAACAAACAAACAAAAGGCAATGTCTTCTGGTTGTGGTTATTTCCTTTCCTGCTTGCCTCCCCAGCCCCCTTTGAGTCTCTTTTTGGGGTGCCGTCCTGTCTGAACCTGCCGGTGTGTGTCTCTGGGGCCAGGGTCAGGGCGAGGCCCAGGGGTGGACAGGGGCCGTGTAGCATGCCCCAGCCTCCCCAAGCTCCTGCTGTATGTCGTCCATGTCACGCCAATTAAACACGCTTCCTGGACTTGTCCTCGCCTCCCTGTGTGGGCCTGTTGCTTTGTCTGTTTACATTCTTCTCCGTTTCGTTTTAGGTTTCTTCCCTTTGTGACACCCTTTCTCTGGCTTTGGGTGTTGTCTTCCCAGTTTCCTGAAGAGAAAGAATGTGTAGGCCGGGTGCAGTGGCTCATGCCTATAATCCCAGCACTTTGGGAGGCCGAGTTGGGCGGATCACCTGAGGTCTGGAGTTCGAGACCAGCCTGGCCAACATGGTGAAACCCCGTCTCTACTAAAATACAAAAATTAGCTGGGTGTGGTGGCAGGCGCCTGTAATCCCACCTACATGGGAGCCTGAGGCAGGAGAATCACTTGAACCCGGGAGGCGGCGATTGGAGTGAGCTGAGACCACACCATGGCACTCCAGCCTGGGTGACAAGAGCGAGACTCCATCTCAAAAAAAAAAAAAAAAAAAAGAGAGAGAAAGAATGTGCAAAGTGAGAACCTTGAGTATACTTTTAAACCAGAAAAATCTGCAGGAGTGTTTCTGCGAGGCCTAGAGTTGAGTGGTGTGAGGCCCCGCCCACTGCCTCACCCACGACATCCCCTGACCTGCCTGTTTCATCTGGAGAGGGCGGCTGCTGCTTTAAAAATGTCTGAAAACCATTGGCCTAGATCAGTGGCTCTCAAAGTCAAGTGTGTCTCAGAATCACCTGGATTGGAGGCTGCTTCAAACCCAGCTTGCCAGCCCAGCCGCCGAGTTTCTGATTAGGAGGGTCTGGGCAGGGGCCTGGGAATCTGAGTTCCTAACAAGTTCCTGGGCTGCGCTGCTGCTGCGGGTCTGTGAATCACACTTTGAGGACCCCTGGGAGGTGTGTGCGCTGCAGCATGTCCGGTTGGGTCCCTACCTCCATTGGCTCAGGGATTCAGGCAAATGATTCATTCACCTCATCTGACTTTTGCACCTGTGATGGGCCAGGCGCAGGGGGCCTAGAGATTGGTTGCTGACCACATGGAGGGTTGCGTCGGGAGGGAAGGTGGGGAGATGAGTAGCTCTTGTGCAAGCTCCCAGCAGGCACCCCGAGAGGTGGCAGTCTGTGTGGCTGCCCTCCCCCGAGTCACCCTTGGCCTGGAGCCTGGGATAGAGGAGAGCCCTCCTCTTCCCCCTCTGGTCAAGTAACCCCGTGTTTGCTCAGTATGCATGGGCCCTGCCATGTTGGGGAGAGGGGGATCAGAGGAGGTGGTGGTTTTCACTTTCGTAGCTTGTTAAAGGAACACGAATTCAGAGAGCAACAAAAGCCAGCGCGGACTCAGGAACATAACTGTCAGTTAGAATTCATTGCTCTTGGCCAAAAGCTCTTGAAAGACGCATGAAGCGTGTAGATTGATAAGATCAAGCAGCCCATGTTAGAATGAACCACCACCTGCAAACACAGGCCACGTTTCAGACATGTTTCAGAGTGAAAGGAATCATCAGATCGCCACCACCTTCCAGGCAAAGCTGAAGGCCCAATGTGACTTCCGCTTTGGGGTTGAAGCAACCGTTGAGAAGTGGATGCAGCGATGTCACCCTCTGTGGCCACGCTGGGCATCCAGCATTGTGCGTTGCTCTGGCGGGTCCTAGAGTGAAGATGCCAGAACTCCCCAGACCCTCAAGAGGGTTCCAAAGGCAGCATGGAAAGGCAGTGTGGGACGGTGATTGGGGCCACAGGTTGTGGAATCTGACCTGGTTCCCAGCCAGGCTCTACCACTTGACGCTGGGCATGTGTTCTGACAGACAGGGTTTTCTGGTAAAAAAGTGGACCCTCGGCCGGGCGCGGTGGCTCACGCCTGTAATCCCAGCACTTTGGGAGGCCGAGTCAGGCGGATCATGAGGTCAGAAGATTGAGACCATCCTGGCTAACATGGTGAAAGCCCGTCTCTACTAAAACTACAAAAAATTAGCCAGGCGTGGTGGCAGGTGCCTGTGGGAGGCTGAGGCAGGAGAATGCCGTGAACCCGGGAGGCGGAGCTTGCAGTGAGCCGAGATCGCGCCACTGAACTCCAGCCTGGCAACAGAGCGAGACTCCGAGACTCCGTCTCAAAACAAACAGACAAAAACCCCATGGACCCTCAATGAGAGGCAGGCGATGGCTCGACAGCCCCTGCCCCACAACCTCGCCAGAGGTGGAATGTTGCAATGAAGGCAGGTATTAGATCAAATTCTGCCAGAAGTCCAGATATTCACTGTCAAGTAAGTACAAAGACAGGCAGGCACCTGTACCTGTCCATCCAGGGGGTGGGGGCCCCAGGACCCCAGGAGCCCTGCCCCTGAGCACAGTCCTGAAGCACCAGGCTGCTTGCTGCTCTTCCCTTGTGGTGCACAGTGCTGAGCTCTGAAAATCTTTGTAGCCAAGCATGTATCTTCACCACATTACACTTCTATGAAAAGGGACTTCTAACATCCTTTGTGTGGATAAAATCTGTGGTGTAGGTTTTAATAAAAGTACATATTTAAAATGCTAATATGACACCCTCTGGAGGGCTGATTCCTGACTAGACTGTTTCACACACTTGGGGACTGTCCCTGAGGCAGAGATTGGAGGTAATTTACATACCCACACAATGTGCTGTTTCCACCGAAGCACTGAAAGTAAATCTGTGCACGGGCGCCTGTCTTTGGAAATACCAAGCTCTGGTTCAGAAGGCCGTTGTGAGGGCAGCTGGGGCAATGTTTCCAGCAGAGGGTGAGCTTGAACGGGGGTGAGCTGTTGGTGGAGGAAGCTCAGGTCTTTTCCAGCAGCCTTGGGCGTGGTGCCTACAGGGACCACGGTTCAGAAATGGTGTTGCTGAGGGCACATGATGGGTCATGGTCCCTTGCTCTGCTCGAGTCAGGCTAAAGCCTGTGCTGACTCACCCCCTGGCCCAGCCTGCGCTGGATGGCTTACTGTGGGCTGAAGCTCAGTAGAGGCACAGACCTGGCCACCTGCTTTATCAGGATGGCTCAGATTGGCTGCTATTCCCTGGGTGTGATAGCACCAGTGAGTCCTCCTAGAGGGACCATCCTAGAGGTCCCATTTCTCCCCACCTCGGGCCTTCCACCCTGTCCCCACTGACCCTGCCAAGCCCCAAACTCACATCTGCATATTAGAAAGTATCTCTCTAAATTGTACTCCCCAAAGCCCAGCTCAGGGCATCCCCAGGCATACAGAGGAGATGACAAGGAGAAGAGTAGGGAGTCGGGCTGGGAGTGGGAATGCAATGTGGATCCCTGCCCTACAGTGGCCCCCTCCTCCCTGCCATCTTCCTGCCCAGGGAGTACAGAGGCAGAAACTTACCCTCCAGGTTCATTGGTCTGGAGGAACTGGTTCAGGACAGTGGGCATGGAAAGGGGCTGGGAAGGCCCCCTGAACTTAGGCAAAATGAGCTTGTGTAGGTATGGAAAAGCTTTCTACTTCTTCCCCTTATCTCTTTTTAGCTGGGCACAGGGCCATGTGGAACAAAGGACTACATTTCCCAGCCTCCCTTGTGGCTGAGTGCGGCCATGTGACCCAGTTCTATCCAATAGGATGAGAACAATGAGCATAACTTTCCCTCTTCCCTCTTCCTGCTGACTGGATGGAGGACTCTGAAACAAGCCTTCCTAGAACTGGGTCTTTGACCCCATGGAGCTGCCACACCAGCTTTGGACCATTTACACTGGAGCTCTTAGGAGGAAGAGAGACACACATTTATCTTGATTAAGCCATCCTGAGTCTCTGTGTCAACAGCCCAATTTATATTCTCCCTAATGTACCCAGTGATCTGCTGGGTCGCTTTCAATGACCTGATGCCACCTGCAAATGTTTGCATCGAAACTCTCAATGTTTGCCAAAGTGACTTAATAAACAACCATACAGTGCCATGTGCTGGTGTAACTACTGCTTGCTCATGCCTTTCCCACCCGTCTTCTGCCTTTTCCCTCTTCCTGTCCCAATATGCCCTCCTCCTCCAAGGGCTCAGGGGACTGAGGGTCCCAGCCAGAGGGACTCCTGTGGGAAAGACTTTCTTTTGCAGAAGCACTAGGGACCTAGAGGCTCTAGGTTATTGGGGAGCCCAGGGCAGCCCCTGAGGACCGGGCCAGTTGGGTTTTCACTGGGTAACCACAGGAAGGGGACTGGGCAGGCTGGCCTAGGGTTGAGCTCAGGAAGGATTCTGCCAGGGGTTTCAAGACTTGGGGACCAGACCTTTTCTTGTCTCTACAATTTCCTTCCTCAGAAATTGCTCCCTTCCTCCCAGAAACCTAAAATAAGCCATCCACATGAGCAGATCTTGGGGATAAAAAAATATGATAAAGAGTAAAACAAGCTTTTTTCTGACAGTCAGGGAGAAGGGTGGGAAGAGTCCCTTTGGTATCATTGTCAGATGACTGAGAGTAGGTCCCGTTTTAGTCACTGGACTGTTGGTTGCCCCCAGAGGTGAGGGGAAGTCTTTGTGATATTGTGGAGTGCCCACTTTATTCTTTGAGGATTCTGAAGACCCAATTCCTATGTTGGGCATCAAGAGGCCCTTCCTGCCTTAGAAGGGGCAGATCTGTGGAATGCCAGGGGCCCGAGCTGGGACCTGCAGGGGAAGGTGCAAGTGCTGGCCTGGAAGGAGGGAGAAAGGGAGCTCCCAGGCCAGACGTGGTGGCTCACGCCTGTAATCCCAGCACTTTGGGAGGCTGAGACAGGCGGATCACTTGAAGCCAGGAGTTCGAGACCAGCCTGGTCAACATGGTGAAACTCCACCTCTACCAAAAATACAAAAATTAGCTGGGCATGGTGGCGTGTGCCTGTAATCTCAGGTAGTCGGGAGGCTGAGGCAGGAGAACCGCTTGAACCCAGGAGGTGGAGGTTGCAGTGGGCCGAGATCACACCACTGCACTCCAGCCCGGGTGACAGAACGAGACTCCATCTCAAAAAAAACAAAAAGCAAAAAACAAAGGGAGCTCCCAGTCATGGGAAGGGAATCAGAGGGAACCCTGAGGTTCGGATTCTACCCCCATGCTCGTCCATCAGATCAACTAATACAAGCTGGATGCTGCTTAAGTGATTTCTAGGCAGAAGCCTAAAGCTAACCAGAATCCTTCACCCATTTCCACAGGGATGAATGAGAGCCTGGAGTGTATATGCTGGGCAGCCACAGTGCCAGGCTTCTGCCACAGCCTGTGATGAATGCTAGCCTGGTTCAAGAAGGAAGGCCGGGGGCGGTGGCTCATGCCTGCAATTCCTGCACTTTGGGAGGCCGAGGTGGGTGGATCACTTGAGGTCAGGAGTTCGAGACCAGCCTGGGCAACATGGCAAAACCCCATCTCTACAAAATACAAAAAAATTAGCCAGGCATGGTGGCACTCACCTGCAGTCCCAGCTACTCAGGAGGCTGAGATGAGAGAATTGCTTGGGCATAGTGAGGTCGAGGCTGCAGTGAGCCGTCATAGTGCCACTGCACTCCAGCCTGGGTGACAGAGAATGAGACTCTGTCCAAAAAAAAAAAAAAAAAAAAAAACAACAGCAGTAGCACACACAGGAAGGTTATGGACACCAGCCACAGATGGGCAGTGCCAGGCCAGTGACGCAGTATCGGGCGGGGATTGGGCTACTCTCCCTACCTCACTCCCCAGGGGCCTCCCTGGACAAGGGGAAACTTCAGCTACCCTTAAAGGATGGCAGGATGTACATGGGCAAGGAGGAGAGGCAAGGGCATTCCAGGCAGTGTACAGTAGGTGCAGAGGAAGGACTGCAGGAAATCGACACACAGGGGAAGAGAGGAATGCAAAGGAGTTAACGGCAGGTGCCTCCATGGCAATGAGACAGTAGATTTTTCCAGTGGATGACTCCGCACAGAAAGAAGAGGCACGAGGTCACCTTTTAAGAATTGATGCTGACTGGTACAGGCCTGGGCGCTCTGAGCACACAGCACCGAGGTCCGCCTTTCTGAGCTTCTTGGGAAGCCCCGCGGAACGGCTGTTCTCTGTAACTCCGCCCATTTTAACGATTAGCAAAGTGATAACAGGGACGAGCCAGGTCATAGCAACGGAAGCGGAGTGCTTGCCCTGTGCTGGGTTCACCCGCATTATCGCATTTAATCCTTGCAGCAGCGCCCCTTGAGGCCGGTGCTGGTATTACCATCCCACATTTTACAGACGAGGTCGCTGAGGCCCAGGGTGAAGGGGCTCCTCCAGTCTGACAGTTCGTGGGGGGCTTCCAGGCTCCGACGACATTGTCTTTGGTCAGACACAGGGAGCTGGGGGAGACTGCTTCTATTAAGTTCAGATCCGGCAGCGGCTTATTGCCCTGGTCCCTCCCAGATGCCTGTCGCGTGGGGAGGCGAGGTCTGCAGGGGAAGGCGCATGCCCCACTGAGATCCGTCAGTGCGGGCCCCGTGTCTGGAGGGAGAAGCAGCTCGGAGGTGGGTTGGAGGAGGCAGGGAGACTGAGGCAGGGGCAGGGGTCTGGGCCCACGAAGGAGGTCCCTCCCACAGCCTGCCAAGCACTGGGGGCACTGGATCCCAAGAGTGCCCCAGGGCCCCATTCCCAGGGGGGTGGCCACTCAGGTAAGCACTGTGGGCAAAGGTTGGGGGTGCTGAGTCTGGGGGCAGGACGGGGTGTGCCCCAGGGAGGGGTCCCCAGGGCACAGGAATGGAAATGGCAAGTGTGGGTAGGCAGGGTCTCAGGCACCCCTCCCAGCCCGGGCACACCCAGAGCTGCAGGTGGGGTTACCCGTGGGACTCCCTGTGCACCGTGTTACCTGGCAGATGGTACCCGGACCCATGGCTTGCATGCTGCTGCTGCCACCATTGTGGTCACTGCTATGCTCATGACCGGCTCTCAGCCCCTCCTGGCCCGTGGCTCTGCCACCACCGCTCCTGTGTGCTGTTCCTCTTATGCCCCATGAGGTAGCTACAGTTGTCCCCAGTTCCAGATGAGGAAACAGCTTCAGAGAGGCTCACTGACTTGCCTGGGGTCACACAGCTGATAAATGGCAGAGAGGGGGCCAGGCACGGTAGCTCACGCCTGTAATCCCAGCACTTTGGGAGGCCGAGGCGGGTGGATCCTGAGGTCAGGAGTTTGAGACCAGCCTGGCCAACATGGTGAAACCCTGTCTCTACTAAAAATACAAAAATTAGCCGGGCGTGGTGGCAGGTGCCTGTAATCCCAGCTACTCAGGAGGCTGAGGCAGGGAATTGCTTGAACCTGGGAGGTGGAGGTTGCAGTGAGCTGAGATCACGCCACTGCACTCCAGCCTGGGCGACAGAGTGAGACTCTGTCTCAAAAAAAAAAAAAAAAAAAAAAAGGCAGAGGGGATTTGAGGCCAACTGGACCCCAAACTGTGACCACCACCGTGACGCATCACCTTTGGCCTGATGTCCTCTCCCTTGGGTCACCTAGAACCAGCACTTCCCAGAATCTGAAATTTTCCACGAGGCCACAGGGCTGAGCCCTCGTGTGAGGAGAAGCCACCTTCCTGGTGCAAGCACAAGTCAGATCCGTGGCTCCTCGGAACCACCCAGCCCCAGTGGCCACAGGGCAGCAGGTGTCCTTGGCTGACTTCTGGCCTCTCCCTGCCAGGGGCTCTCCCAGAAGTAAAGGAAGGTGATGAACCGGCCACTCCCATAAGCCCTGAGACCCCCGAGGCCTCGGCCCCATCCTCACCCTCCTAACCAGTCTTGCGACAGGGCTGGAGAAAGGGTTTCCCCCATAAGAGGGACTCTGATTGGCCAGTGGGGGACCTAGGGAGGCCTGGGATATGACGGGCAGGTGGGGCTGGAGAAAGCCGGCTCTCTTTGGTGCTCTTGGCTGGTTTTCAAATGTCTTGAAGCTACTGTGGTTGCCATACCCATCTGGCTGTAAATTAAATTTGGGGCGAAGGGACCTCTTGTCCCAAAGTTTCTCATCTCATCCAGCATGACTGGCAGTTAAGGTTCCTTCTCTGGGTTCCAGTGCTGGCTGCATCCCCACCAGCAGTTGGCTTTGGAGATAGACTGAATCTGAACTTCTCTGAGCTTCAGTTTCCTCCTCTTTAAAGTGAGGATAATAGAAGCACGTTTCTCATAGGGCTGCTGGGGAGCATCTGTGTGATGCTCAGATGATCTGTCTGAGGGCCTTTCCTACGTGAAAACAGTGAATGTCATTGATATTATCCAATTCTCTCCACCCCAAAGTTGTTGCCCCTTCATTTTGGTCCATCGATTTGGCTATCAGCTTTTATTTCTTGCCACTTGGGCCATGGGTGAAGCTGCACTCAAGATCTGGGTCCAAGTCCAAAATTTCAGAGAGGAAAATACCTTGAAACAGGAGCCTGTCATGAACTAGTCGATAGCAGAGGGAGGCTCCCCACTGCCAACATGACCTCTGCCCCACCAACCCCAAGGGGCCCCCCACAACCACCCAGGGAGCTATCTCTGGGGCACCTGGCCCGGGCGCAGTGGCGCACGCCTGTAATTCCTCCCTTGGGAGGCCGAGGCGCGTGGATCACTTGAGGTAAGGAGTTCGAGACCAGCCTGGCCAATATGGTGAAATCCTGTCACTATTAAAAATACAAAATTTAGCCAGAAATCTCTTAAACCTGGGAGGTGGAGGTTGCAGTGAGCTGAGATCGCACCGCTGTACTCCAGCCTGAGTGACAGAGTGAGACTTTATCTGAAAAAAAAAAAAAAAAAAAAATTGGTCTGGCCCTTGCCCCCGCTTTTTCTGGAGCCACGAGGACCCATATAGCCAGATAAATAGGAAAACTGGAGCCCCAGGGCCTGTGATGAGTTTACATCAAATAGAGCCCTGCTATATGCAATCACTGTCACTAGAATCACTACTTGGAAATTCCCCAGCTCAATCCCCAGCACAAAGTGGGCTAAGCTTTTGCTCAGTGCCAGAGAAAAACTGAGAGGTTAGAAAGATGCAGGTGACAGAGAAGGATGATAAAATGATGTTTCCCATCAAGTGAAATGAAAGGTTTTGCAATGTGTTCCTCTGTTTCCTTACAAGTAGGAACAGCCTCTCCAGGGAGCACCAGCTTGGAGGACACATAGCCACTCCCAGAGCCCCGGTCCCTGCTGTCCATAGGGGTAGCACGTCACCAGCACCATGTCCTGGCCTCTGAGTCAACAAGACCAGGCTGAGACCCAGTGGAAGCACCAGCTGGTGACTCTGAGCAGCTTCTTTTCCCTAATCTCTCTTTTTTTCTTTTCTTTTTTTTGAAACAGGGCCTTACTCTTTTATCCAGGCTGGAGTACAGTGGTGTGATCATAGCTCACTGCAGTCTCGAACTCTTGGCCTTAGGTGATCCTCCCATGTCAGCCTCCCAAGTAGCTGAGACTACAGTCACATGCCATCACACCCGGCCTGTTCCCTAATCCTTTGTGTATGTGTGTATTAAGTTGATAATTATAAAAAATAATATACTTTGCACCTTAATGCTATGAGTGAGTGCTCTTCAACTATGAAGAACAAGATTAAATTATATCCAACGGAATGAGCTTGAAATGTTTAACAAATCCATACCAAAAAACACAGAAGAAAAAGCCTTTTTATTCCAATGAAGCTTGGGTGTTACTTCCATGAATGTTCCTTCCAAAACACGTGTTTGAAATGTAATTGCCATTGTGACAGTATTACGAGCTGGTGCTTTAGGAAGTGGTTAGGCCATGACAGTTCTGCCCTCATGAGTGGGTTAATGCCTTGGTTGGGTACGGTGGCTTACACCTGTAATCCCAGCACTCCGGGAGGCTGAGGCAGACAGATCACTTGAAGTCAGGAGTTAGAGACCAGCCTGGCCAGCATGGTGAAACCCCGTCTCTACCAAAAAATACAAAAATTAGCCAGGTGTGGTAGCACATGCCTGTAATCCCAGCTACTCAGGAGGCTGAGGTGGGATAGTCACTTGAACCTGGGAGGCAGAGGTTGCAGTGAGCCGAGATCAAACCACTGCACTCCAGTCTGGGTGACAGAGTGAGACCCTGTCTCAAAAAAATTTTAAAAAGGCGGGCTTTGAGGAGTGGGTTCTTTCTTTCTCACGCTCACTTGCCCTTCCACCTTCTGCCATGGGATGACACACCATGAAGGCCCTTACAAGGTGCTGGCACCTTGATATTGAACTTCTCAGTCTCCAGAACTGTGAGAAATAAATTTCTTTTTTCTTTTCTTTTCTTTTCTTTTTTTTTTTTTTTTTGAGACGGAGTTTTGCTCTTGTTGCCCAGGCTGGAGTGCCATGGCACAATCTTGGTTCACCGCAACCTCCACTTCCCACGTTCAAGCGATTCTTTTGCCTCAGCCTCCCGAGTAGCTAAGATTACAGGTACGTGCCACCATGCCCGGCTAAATGTGTACTTTTAGTAGAGACAGGGTTTCACCATATTGGTCAGGTTGGTCTCAAACTCCTGACCTCAGGTGATCCACCTGCCTCAGCCTCCCAAAGTGTTGGGATTACAGGCGTTGAGTCACAATGCCAGGCCACATTATGAATTTTGATAAAGTCAGCTTCTCAAGTTTTCCTGTCATAGACTGTGCTTTTGGTGTCATGTGTAAGAACTCTCTGCCTATCCTCAGGTGGTGAATATTTGTTCTCCTGTGTTTCTTCTAAAAGTTTGAAAGTTTTGGCCAGGCGCGGTGGCTCATGCCTATAATCCCAGCACTTTGGGAGACTCAGGCGGGCGGATCACGAGGTCAGGAGATCGAGACCATCCTGGCTAACACGGTGAAACCCCGTCTCTACTAAAAACACAAAAAATTAGCCGGGCGTGATGGCGGGTGCCTGTAGTCCCAGCTACTCGGGAGGCTGAGGCAGGAGAATGGCGTGAACCCGGGAGGCGGAGCTTGCAGTGAGCTGAGATCGCGCCACTGCACTCCAACCTGGGCGACAGACCGAGACTCCGTCTCAAAAAAAAAAAAAAGTTTGAGAGTTTTATGTTTTTTCTATTTAGACCTATGACTTATTTTGAATTAATTTTTGTATAAGGTGTGAGGTTTAGGTCAAGGTTCATTTTTTGTTTATTATTATTTGTTTTTTCTTTTGCATACGGACGTCCAATTGTTCTAAGGCCATATGTGGGAAAGAATATCCTGTCTCCACAGAATTGCCTTCGCACCTTTATCAAAAATCAATTGGCCAGGCCGGGTGCGGTGGCTCACGCCTGTAATCCCACACTTTTGGAGGCGGAGGCGGGTGGTCAGGAGTTAGAGACCAGCCTGGCCAACACGGTGAAACCCCGTTTCTACTAAAAAATACAAAAAATTAGCTGGGCGTGGTGGCGCACTTCTGTAGTCCCAGCTACTCGGGAGGCTGAGGCAGGAGAATCGCTTGAACCCAGGAGGCAGAGGTTGCAGTGAGCCAAGATCGCGCCACTGCACTCCAGCCTGGCAACAGAGTGAGACTCCATCTAAAAAAAAAAAAAAAAAAAAAATCAATTGGCCATAATTGTGTGGTCTATTTCTGGACTTCCGATTCTGTTCCACTGATCTATGCATCCCTTTGCCAATATCACACTGTCTTAATAACTGCTGCTGTACAGTAAGTCTTATAATTCAGTAGTGAAATTCCTCCCACTTTGTTTTCATTTTTCAAAATTGTCTTGGGTATTTCTTTTGCCATTTCAGTATAAATTTCAGAATCAGCTTGTTTATACCTTCAAAAAAACCTGCTGCAATTTTCACTGGAATTGCATTACGTCTACAGATCAATTACTGTGTTTAGCCTTCCAGTCCATACACGAGTATGTATTTCCATTTCTTTAGGTTTCTTTGCTCGCTTTCATCAGCATTTGTATTAGTTTTCAGCACATGAATCCTGTGTACAGTTTGTTAGATTTATACCTAATATTTTATTTTGGGGAGCGATTGTAAATTATAAATTATAATTATAATAAATTATTAATTATATTATTAATATAATTAATATAATACAATTAACAATTGTATTATTTAAAAATTTTTGATTTCCAATGGTTCCTTACTAGTGTATACAAATAAGATTAATTTTTGCATGTTGACCTTGATCCTACCACTTGCTAAACTCACTTATTAGCTGTGAGATTTTTGAGGGGTAAATTCACTGGAATTTTCTATTCTGATAATCATTCACCTGAAAACATGAACAGTTTTACTTCTTCCTTTTCAATCTATATGCCTTTTATTTTTCTTGCCTTACTGAGCTGAATAGAACATCCTGTATAATGTTAAACAGGAGTGGGGAGTGTAGACATCCTTGTCTTGTTCCCAATTTTAGGGGGAAAGTGTTCTCTCACCAGCAGGTATGATGTTAGCTGTAGTTTTGTGGGGTTTTTTTGTTTTTTGTTTTTTGTTTTTTTGTAGATGCCATTTATCAAATTAAGTAAATTCCATTCCTTTCTTATTTGCTGAGAGTTTTTTCATGAATGGATATTGAATTTTGTCAAATGCTTTCTCTGAATCAATTGATATGATTGTATGGTTTTCTTCTTCAGGCTGTTCATATGGTGAATTACCCATCGATTGTTTTTGAAAATGGAGCTAGTCTTTCATTCCTGGGAAAAGCCCTACTTAGTCTTGGGTAGTATTCTTTTTATGTGTTTCTGAATTTGATTTTGATTTGCTAAGATTTTGTTGAGGATTTTTGCATCTATGTTCATCTGAAATATTGGTTTGTAGTTTTTGCTTATTATAGGTCTTTAGTTTTGGTGTCAAAATGAGTTAGAAAGTGTTCCCTTCTCCTTTATTGAGTAGAATTGATTTTTTTTTTCTTTAAACGTTTGGTATAATTCAGCAATAATCCATCTTGGCATGAAACCTTCCTTTTTAAAAAGTTTTACAAATTCAATTCCTTTTCTCTCTTGTTCCTCCCTTCTTCCCTCCCTCCTTCCCTCCCTCCCTTCCTCTTCCCTTCCCCTTCCCCTTCTTTCTTTTTTGAGACAGGTCTCACTCTGTTGCTCAGGCTGGAGTACAGTGGCAGCATCATGGCTCACTGCAGTCTCGATCTCCCTGGACTCAGGTGATCCTCCCACTTCAGCCTCCCGAGTAGCTGGGACTACAGGTGCATGCCACTGCACCCAGTTAATTTTTTTGTATTTTTTGTAGAGACAGGGTTTCACCATGTTGCCAAGGCTGGACTCGAATTCCTGACCTCAAACAATCTGACCACCTTGGCCTCCCAAAGTGCTAAGATTACAGGTGTGAGCCGTTGTGCCTGGCCACAAATCCAATTTCTTTAGTAGTTATAGTATAATTCAGATGATCTGTTTCATCTTGGGAGAGTTTTGGTACTTTGTAGTTTTGGAGGAATTTATCCATTTCATCTAACCTGTTGGGTGTATGTTCATAGTTGTTCAGACTATTCCCTTATTGTCCTTTTAATGTCTGTGGGGCCTGTAGTTTTATGCCTTCTTTCATTCCTAGTATTGATAATTTTTCTCTTTTTCTCTGTCAGTCTTTCTGGAAGTTTATCAATTTTAATGATTTTTCAAAGAACCAGCTTTTGGTTTCATCAATTTTTTCTAATTTCTACATTATTGATTTCAGCTCTTTATTTCCTTCCTTCAGGTTTATATTTTGTGTTTCTTTAGTTTATTAAAGTGGAAGGTTAGATTGATTTGAGGCTTCTTCTTTTCTAATGCGAGCTTTTAATGCTATAAATTTTCCCCAAACCCTGCCTTACCTGCATCGTGAATATTTTGATATTGTATTTTATTTTCCTTATTGATTTCCAGTCTAATTCCATGATAGTCGAAGAACATACTTTATATATCTTAATTCTTTTGAATTTCTTAAGGTTTGTTATGACCCAGGATTTGTTCTATCTTGGTGACTGTTCCAGTTGCAATAAAAAAGAATGTGTATTCTGATATTGTTGGGTGGAGTATTCTCTAAATGTCAACGAGATACAGGTGGTTGATGGTAAGGTCATTCTGTATCCTTGCTGATTTTCTATCTACTAGTTTTATCAATCTACTGAGAGAAGTTGAGCCACCATATGCAGAAATTGGTCAAGTAGAGGACAAAATGCTACTTCTGAAGGACAAGATGACTTGGTCACCCAGTAGTCTGAGTCAGAGCATCGTGCTGGGTCTTCATGGCAACACTGGGGTCATTAACTGCACCATCTTGGGAGAGAGACACACATTGGTTTGAATCTTGCTAGTCCTCTTGCTCCAATGCTTGAGTTTCAGGCATCACCTGTGTATATCCAAACACATGTACGCTTTGCTTTTCTGTTGTTTTTCGTTTGTTTTATTTTTGAGGTGGAGTCTCACTCTGTCACTCAGGCTAGAGTGCAGTGGTGCGATCTTGGCTCACTGCAACCTCCGTCTCCCAGGTTCAAGTGATTCTCCTGCCTCAGCCTCCTGAGTAGCTGGGAGTACAGGTGCACGCCACCACACCCAGCTAATTTTTGTATTTTTAGTAGAGACGGGGTTTCACTATGTTGGCCAGGCTGGTCTCGAGCCCCTGACCTCAGGTGATCCACCCGCCTTGGCCTCCCAAAGTGTTGGGATTACAGGCCCACCGCGCCCAGCCTGTTTTGTTTTTTGATGAGGGCTGGCTGCAGTCTGGGTAATCATTGCCTTTTCCTCCTGATCTCCTAATGAACATTTTGTTGTTTTCTTTGAAGCTTTGTGGGCTGAAGGAGGTAATGGGTGGAGAAGTTAGGGGGGTGTCTAAAGGGGCTAAATTTATTTGCATTTTAAAAACAGCTCATTACTATTAGAAGGAGACAATTATACTTGATTTATTTATTTTTTTAGAGACAGGATCTTGCTCTGTCACCCAGGCTGGAATGCAATGGTGTGATCATGGCTCACCATAATCTTGAACTCCTGGCCTTAAGCAATCCTCCCACCTCAGCCTCCCAAGTAGCTGGGACCACAGGTGCACACCACTATGCCTAGCTGATTTTTAAATTTTTTTGTAGAAACAGGGTCTCACTGTGTTGTTCAGGGTGGTTTTAAACTCCTGGCCTCATGTGATCCTCCCACCTCAACCTCCCAAAGTGCTAAGATTATAGGTATGAGCCACTGCGCCTGGCTGGGGAAATCACAGATTTGGAAGGGAGAGGAGAGCTGAAGCAAGAGAAGAAGAGAATTTAGAGGAGCAGCTGTAAGGATGACAGGCATTGCGGGGAGACGTGTTGACAGGCGGTTTTTGGGAGGTTGAGCGGGTGCTTTTGAGGTGTGATTCTGCCTTTGCTAAGACTCCAAGAGTCTTCGGTAGGGAACTACTTAACTCTGATGCCTTTGAGTCTCACTTGTGTTTCTTTTGGCTATTATGCCTCACTGAGTGAGGCCTGAAGGTCAGACGGAGGCCAAGCCATCATGCTCAATGTGTTGATTTGAGGAATATCCTGCAGAAGCTTTGGGTGGGGGTAAGGGGGTCGGGGGTTAGTCTTTCTCTCATTCCAGTCCCAAAAGGTACAGATTTGAGCTCCCCAAGCCAGGAGGGGAGATTTGGCAAGAATGTTACAAGCTGGAATTCAGGGAACTCTTTAATTATTAAAGCACTGTATTTAAAGTGGATTGCTTTCTCCAAGAGCAGATTACCAACTCCCTCAGTGAGCACAGTTTTCTGGTTACATCAAAAAATATGGCCGGGCACGGTGGCTCACAGCTGTAATCCCAGCACTTTGGGAGGCTGAGGCGGGTGGATCACCTGAGGTCAGGAGTTCGAGACCAGCCTGGCCAACATGGCGAAACCCTGTCTCTACTAAAAATACAAAAATTAGCTGGGCGTGATGGTGGGCGCGTGTAATCCCAGCTACTGGGAGGCTGAGGCAGGAGAATCACTTGAACCGGGGAGGCGGATGTTGCAGTGAGCTGAGATTGCACCATTGAACTCTAGCCTGGGTGACAAGAGCGAAACTCTGTCTCAAAACAAAAAAACAACACAAAAATACATCTTTCCCTTCTTGAAGTTCACAGAGCTAGGAGGAACGACTTGGGGTGGGGCCTTAGAGATGTTTGGAAAAAAAAGGGGCCCAAACCCATCCCAAATCCTGAACCCACCCTTTCCATCCCCTTGTGCCTGACCTGTAAATGGAAACGAACTGTTAGCACCAATGCTAATCATAGCTTGTTGTACCCAGCAATTACTGAACATTTGCTTGATGCCAGATTATTTTTCATACGGTGCAAGGGCTTAGGCCAGGACCACTACTTAGGAAGATGTTCAGTTAATGTTTGCTGGCTGAGTGATGTTGGCCTCTGCTCTGCCAAAGATGTTTTTGTTCCCAGGGACTTCGTTTCGTTTAACTGTAAGTCACTTGTCATCTCAAGAGAAAGGCCCATGAGGCCATGTCCTGAATAAAGCAACATTTCTCCACCTCCATTACTTAGGACTTTTGTTACAAATGGCAAAAATCCAATCTAAATGAGCCTAAGCAAGAAAAGGGAATTTATAGGGCCAAGTGCAGTGGCTTATGCCTGTAATTCCAGCACTTTGGGAGGTCGAGGCGGGTGGATCACTTGAGGCCAGGAATTCGAGACCAGCCTGGGCAACATAGTGAGACCCCCCCCCGCCCCCCACCAACTCTACAAAATAAAAAATAAAAAAAAAATTAGCTGGGTGTGGCGGTGTGTATGTGGTCCCAGGTACTCAGGAGGCCAAGGTGGGAGAATTGCTTGAGCCCAGGAGCTCAAGGCTGCAGTGAACCTTTTTTTTTTTTTCTTTGAGATGGTGTCTCGCTCTGTTGTCCAGGCTGCAGTGCAATGGCACGATCTTGGCTCACTGCAACCTCTGCCTCCCCTGGGCTCAAGTGATTTTCCTGCCTCAGCTTCCTGAGTAGCTGGGATTACAGATGCCCACCACCACGCCCGGTTAATTTTTTGTGTTTTTAGTAGAGACGGGGTTTGTCCATGTTGGCCAGGTTGGTCTCGAAATCATGACCTCAAGTGATCCGCCCGCCTCGGCCTCCCAAAGTGCTGGTATTACAGACGTGAGCCACCGCGCCCGGCCTGCAGTGAAGCATTAGCACCACTGTACTCCAGCCTGGGTGGTGACAGAGGGAGACCTTGTCTCAAAAAAAAAAAAAAAGGAACTTATAGATTTGCATAATCATACTACAGACAGTATGGTGGGAGCGGGGACTCAAAGGATACCAGGCTTCTCTTCCTCTCTCTGCCTTCCTGTCTCTGTTGGCTTCACTCTCTCCTACTGTAGATGATCTCCTCCCTGAGGGTGGGGAACATAGCTGCTGGCCCCCGCGTGCACCACCCCGCCCCCGCCCCGCTTCCCCGTTTTATAGTCTTTGAGTTCCATGACCCCAGAAGGAAAGGGATTCTTCCACAGTAGAAGTAGAAACATCCCAGGGAAAGATATTGATTGGCTCTGTGTGGGTCACATGCCCAACTTTAGACCAATCACTGTAACTGGAGGGATGAGACACTATGATTGGTTCAGGTTGGGTCACATGACTACTCCAGCAGGGGTTTGTTGGAAGCCAGTACCAGAAGGAATGAGACGTTTTTTTTCTTTTTCTTTTTTGAGATAGGGTCTTGTTTTGTCACCCAGGCTGGAGTGCAGTCTCAACTCACTGCAACCTCGACATCCCGGGCTCAGGCAATTCTCCCATCTCAGCCCCTGAGTAGCTGGGACTACAGGCCTGCGCCACCACCAGCGGCTAATTTTTGTATTTTTTGTAGCGATGGGGTTTCGCCATGCTGCCCAAGCTTGTCTCAAATTTCCGGGCTCAAGTGATCCGCCCGCTTCCACCTCCGAAAGTGCTGAGATAACAGGCCTGAGCTAGTGCACCTGGGAACTGTGTTCTTAATTGCAGGCAACAGAAGCCAACTTTTGCTGATTTAAGCAGCACTATTAAGTGCTCACAGGTGAGCTACAGAATTCTGCTTGGCGCTACCGAGGCGGAAACAAGCCCTTGAAGGCATCGGAGCCCTAGTCTGACGACTAGAGGCTGTGGCTCACTCAACTGCCCCTACCACGCCAGGAACTTTTGCTGCTGCTGCCACTAAGGGGCCACCAGCTTCTTTGTGTCTCTGGTTCCAAATCCAAAGGCCAGCTCGAGTGTATTTGGTGGGCAGAGATTATGACAAGCCCCTGCCTCAGCTGCAGGAGAGGATGGGAAAGCGACTAGCTGGCAGCTTAGCATCTGCAGTAGCAAGCAAGTTCTGCATTCCACTCAGCCTCATAAGCAGGGGCATTCCCAAACTCGATGTTTGGGTGGCTCAAACTCAAGACAAATGTATATGTTGTATGTGTCTGTGCAGCCGCCACTAACCACTTTGTTCTTGATGCTTTCGTTCCTGGGATGTAGGCCTGTTTCCACTAAATGTCAAGCGAGATGTGATTACATCTCCTTTGCGAATGGAGTCCACCCCATAAATCTTGGCCCTTGGCAAGCAGCTCCTCTTCAGGCTATAAGAAGGTCATGGCTTGCTGTCTGGGCTGGGGAACATTTCTCTCCTTCAGATTTTCCAAATGGCGTTTCTTGGGAAGCAGCTCCAGACACCATTAATTAAACATCTTTAATCTGATTCCTTTTGCAATTCTCTGCTTTCATCAAAGGTCAACTGTCATGGCCCAATAGTTAGGATTGATCTTTTTCCTTGATGGACATCATCTTGGTGACACTGTGGATTCCTTAGTGGAGACTTCACAAGGCTAAATTGAATTGACAGGTACTTAAAGGAGACGAGTGGGGAGGGGTCCAAGGAGGTAAGAGAGCTCTGGCCTGGGCCAGAATCTATCACTCCCACTGCAGGAGCTGAGCTCAGCCTCACTTAAACGCAGAGGGTGGCCCCAGCTGGCCTCCCCAGGTCCCCTGGTCCTTTGAGATCCCCTTACTCTGGTTTTCTAGCCACCCTTCCCAGGCAGCCATACTGTTTTTTTAACGTGATAATTATAATCCCAGTGCTTTGGGAGGCTGAGGCAGGGGGATCGTTTCAGACCAGGAGTTCAAGACCAGCTTGGGCAATATAGTGAGATTCCTGTCTTTACAATTTTTTTTTTTTTAATTAGCTGAGGCTGGGTGCAGTGGCTCATGCCTGTAATCCCAGCACTTTGGGGGGCTGAGGTGGATGGATCATTTTAGGTCAGGAGTCCAAGACCAGCCTGGCCAACATGGCGAAACCCCATCTCTACTAAAAATACAAAAATGAGCCAGGCGTGATGGTGCATGCCTGTAGTCCCAGCTACTTGGGAGGCTGAGGCAAGAGAATCACTTGAGCCTGGTAGATGGAGGCTGCTGTAAGCTGTGATTGTGCCACTGCCCTCCAGCCTGGGCGACAGGCTGAACCTCTGTCTCATAAAAAACAAAACAAAACAAAAAAATTAGCTGAGCATGGTGGTGCATGCCTGTAGTCCCAGCTACTCAGGAGGTTGAAGTGGGAGGATCACTTGAGCCCAGGAGTTTGAGCCTGCAGTGAACCATGATCGTGCCACTGCACTCTAGCCTGGGTGACAGAGTGAGACCCTGTCTTAAAAAAAAAAAAAAAAAAAAAAAGATGAAATACACATAACATAAAATTCATCATTTTAATTATTTTAAAGTGTACAATTCAGCAGCATTGAGTACATTCACGATGTCTTGTGGTCATTACCACTATCTAGTTCCAGAACATTTCATCACCCCAAGAAGAAACCCTGTACCCATTTAGCAGTCACTCCTTATCTCTCCTATCTCCATCCCCTAGCAACCACTAAACTGTTTTCTGTCTTTGTGGAATTGCCTATTCTGGGTTCTTCCAGATTTCATTATATGATTCTGGAATCATAAAATACGTGATTTTATGATAAATATGATAAATTGAATCATAAAATATGTGGCCTTTTACATCTGGCTTATTGTATTTAGCATAATGTTTTAAAGGTTCACCCATGTTGTAGCATGGATCAGTTCATCATTCCTTTTTATTGCTGAATCATATTCTGTTGTATGGTTACTACTACATTTTGTTTATCCCTTTGTTCGTTAATGGACATTTGGGTTGTTTCCACCTTTTGGCTATTGTGAATAGTGTTGCTATGAACACTGTTGTACACATTTTTGTTTGAACACCTGTTTTCGATGCTTTTGGCTATATACCTAGTGGTGGAATTGCTGGGTCATATAATAATTCCACGTTTAATTTTCTTGATGAACCGCCAAACTGTTTTGCGCAGCGGCTGCACCATCTTTCATTTCCAGTGCCCTCTCTCTTGACCTGGCATCTTTAAGTGCTTTGAAATGATTTTTCTTGGCTGTCATGCTTCCCTTCTACTCCCTCGAAGACAGCTTTCAGAATCTTCTGGTTGACAAGAACTTATCTGTTGAACAGCCCCAGCTAATGTGCTGATGGGAAAAGGGAAGGGATGTCTTGTCTGAGCCCAGTGCAGTATCACAGGGGCTTCTGGGGCAAATCTCTCCATCTTTGCTGTTTAATACAGAGGAAATGGTGCTAATGGTGGAAATGTAGGTGGAGGGGGACCGTGGCTGTGACAGGAGGGGTCCTGATTTGGGAGCAGGTCAGGCTGTATAGAAATGCCTGCTTTGGCCAGGCACAGTGGCTCACATCTGTAATCCCAGCACTTTGGGAGGCAAAAGCAGGAGGATGCTTGAGCCCAGGAGTACAAGAAAAGCCTGGGCAACATAGTGAGACCCTGATATGGTTTGGCTATGTCCCCACCCAAATCTCATCGTGAATTGTAGCTACCATAATTCCCACATGTTGTGGGAGGGACCCGGTGGGAGGTAATTGAATCATAGGGGTGGTTTACCCCATACTGTTCACATGGTAGTGAATAAGTCTCATGAGATCTGATGGTTTTATTTATTTATTTATCTATTTACTTATTTTTGAGACAGAGTTTCACTCTGTCACCCAGGCTGGAGTGCAGTGGCGCCATCTCAGCTTAGCTCACCGCAACCTCTGCCTCCCAGGTTCAAGTGATTCTCCTGCCTCAGCCTCCCAAGTAGCTGGGATTACAGGCACCCGCCACCACGCCTGGCTAATTTTTGTATTTTTAATAGAGATGGGGTTTTACCACATTGGCCAGGTTGGTCTTGAACTCCAGACCTCAGGTGATCTGCGCACCTCAGCCTCCCAAAGTGCTGAGAATACATGCATGAGCCACCACGCCTGGCCAAGATCTCGTGATTTTATAAATGGGAGTTCCGCTGCACCAAGTTCTCTTTCCTGCCACCATGTAAGACGTGCCTTTGCTTCTCCTTTGCCTTCCATCATGATTTTGAGGCTTCCCCAGCCATGTGGAACTGTGAGTCCACTAAACTTCTTTCCTTTATAAATCACCCAGTCTTGGGTATATCTTTATTAGCAGTTTGAGAATGGACTAATACAGACCCTGTATCAAAAAAAAAAAAAAAAAAAAAAAAAAAAAAAGCTAGGCATGGTGGTGTGTCCCAGCTACTTAGGAGGCTGAGGCAGGAGGATCGCTTAAGCCTAGGAGGTTGAGGCTGCAGTGAGCCATGATCATGCAACAGCACTCCACCCTGGGGACAGAACAAGACCCCATCTTGGAGAAAAAAAAAAAGAAAGGAAGGGAGGAAGGAAGGGAAGGGAGAAGAAATACCAGCTTCAATGGCCCTGTCTCCAACACAGGGACTGTCCAATTCTAATAACATTCTTCAAACACCTGGGGAACTTACTCAAATAAAGAGAGCGTGTAAATTAAGGGGAATTATTAAAGAAACTAAGATATTGCTTATGTATTTTAATTGTACTAATTAAGCTTGCAAGCTTATAATACAATGAATGAAAGGGCCTGGACTTTTCTTGTTCTATCCATCCATTCATACAACACTTATTTATTGAGCTCCTGCTGTGTTCCAGATGCTGTACTTGGGTTCAAGGGTATGAATGAGAATGAGTCAATTGTGGTCTCTGTCCTTTGGAGACACTTTGCTTTGTGGGTCACTTTTGGCACTGGACAATCACAGCCCTTTCCTCAGGGTGCCTCAGCGCCTGCCCCAGGAGTTGGATTCCAAAATCAACACAGGAGAAATCTAGGTACAGAAAAAAGTTTAGCAATCCTTAAATTCCACATGAAGGTCAATGTTCATGGTTTTGTGTTTATTGCCTGAACGTAAATAGTTATGCAAAACCCTACACCATAGGAGGGAAAAACAAAAGGACAGGCATGTCTCAGTGGGAATGCTTTTGGCTGCAAGTAATGGAGAATGCAATGCAGTTAGCTTAACAATGAAGGAAAATGCATCATTTCACATAGCAAGAAAGCCACACGGAGGGCAACTCTGAAGCTCGTTTCTCTTTCCATGCTGTCCATGGGCTGTGTCCTCATGGTTCCAGGATGGCTGTACAGTTCCTCCCCTCCTATGCAGACATCACATCACTAAGTGGAAGAAGAGGGGCTCCACTTCTTTCTTCCTTGTGTCTTTTTTTTTTTTTTCCTAGATGCCTTCTAGTTTCACTTTTCCATGGAGACCTGTAAATCATCTGCAATTAGTCTTTGTGTCTGGTGTGAGGCAGGGACCCAGGTTCATTGTTTTACCATACAGATATTCAACACCATTCGTTGAAAAAGACTTTCCTTTCCTCCTTGGCACTTTCCTCAAAAATCAATTGGCTGGGCCAGGCACGGTGGCTCACGCTTGTAATTGCAGTACTTTGGGAGGCTGAGGTGGGTGGATCACCTGAGGTTAGGAGTTCAAGACCAGCCTGGCCAACGTGGTGAAACCCCGTCTCCACTAAAAATACAAAATTAGCTGGGCATGTGGCAGGAACCTGTAATCCCAGCTACTCAGGAGGCTGAGGCAGGAGAATCACTTGAACCCTGGAAGCAGAGGTTGCAATGAGCTGCGATCATGCCACTGCACTCCAGCCTGGGCAACAGAGTGAGACTCCATCTCAAAAAAAAAAAAAAAAAATCAATTGGCTGTAGTATTTGATAGCACAACAGGGTGGCTGTAGTCAATAATAGCTGTATATTCAAAAATAACTAAAAGTATAATTGGATTGTTTGTAACACAAAAGATAAATGCTTGAAGCTTGAGGGGATGGATACTCCATTTTCCATGATGTGATTATTACGTATTGCATGCTTGTATCAAAACATCTCATGTACCCCATAAATATATACACCTACTATGTACCCACAAAAATTTAAAAAAAAAGTCAATTGGTTATCTATGTATAGATCTATTTCTGGACTCTGTCCTGTTCTATTGACTTATTTGTCTTTCCTCTTGCCTTTCCCATGCTGTCTTAATTACTGTTGCTTTGGAATAAGACTTCAAGACTTGCAGGCAGTAGAAGTCCTCTGACCTGGTTCTTTTGTGTCTCTTGAAGACACATGAGTACACACTCTTTCATGGCCCGTTGGCCAAAATTGCATCAAATGCCCATTCCCAGCCCAGTCACTGGCAAGGGGAATGGGATTACAGGGTGACCTAGTCCATCAGGGTTTCCTTTGGGGAGAGAAAAGGGTTACCCTTCCTCAAGTTGTGTGGAGGAAGAATAGTCACCTGAACCAGAAAGCCAGAGGGAAAGCCAGGCTTTCCAGGAAGAAGGTAGGGAAGAATTTAGGATAGGAAGCCAACAGTGTCTGCCAAAATACACAAAACAGTTAAATGGAATTTTTAATTATGAGATAGAGAAAGAGGACAGAAGAATAAAAGGACAGACAGTAAACTTCAACTCACGTGGATATTCTTGCCAGCCACTGATGACAATGGTAAAGGTGACAAAATAGCCATAAATGACAAGAAGGCTTAGTTTACTGCCTGAACAGTGAGGAATGACCCCTGCCAATGAGGCGGGCTCCTTCTCCCCTGACTTCAGCATCAGGGGCTCAGCAGGGCATGAGCCCTGTCCAGGGGACACTGGGCTAGGGCTGGGTGGCGGGGAGCGAGTCTCAGAGCGCTTGGCCCTGGTTTAGCTTTTACTTGTTTGTTCTTGAAACATGGGGATGGGCAACAGTTTCTGCATCTCTTGAGCTGCCCAAATATTTCTTGGGATGGTCTCAAACCATTCCTTACGGTCCATGTGACTTGGAGGCTGGTCCATAGAGGGGCTGGATTCAGCAGTAAATCATCTAGTGCTGGCTGACTGGAGCACTCGGCGCAGGCTTGCAGATTCTAACTTCTTGGCTCCTGCAGCCCATCCTCGGTAGCTTCATCTTCCCAGTTGTTTGTCAGTTCCTCCGACTTCCTGCTAGCCTTGTTTTCCAGGCCCTCGCTTAATTCTTTAATTTTTCCTAGAGGAACGAAACAAGGATTTGAAACAGTTTTTAATTCTCAGGCCCTGGGAGGGCAGAACCCCTGCTTCATTCCCGGGGTTATTTCTCTACCTCCTTTTTTTGCCCAGGCCTTCTGGTGACATATGAGTAGACTGTGACTTTCCAGCCTTTCAAAGGTGCTTAATGTCTGAAGCTTGAGTCAGAGTCCAGCCTGGGGAATTGCTCGAGAGGACTATGAGTGTCTGAGGAAGACACCGAGCTCCTGGTTAGTTCTAGAAGAAGCTCTGCTTGCTGGGATTCCTGTACAAATCATTGCCCCATGTTTCTGGGGCAGCATGGAGTGGTGAGGTGGGTCACAGGATTTGTGGGAAGGCACACGCCAACACACAGCCCAGTCCAGACACAGGACTTCACCTCTCGGAGCCTCAGTTGTCTCATCTGTTCCATGAAGAGGAGATGTTGACGTTAGAGGTTGCTGAGGGAGCACCTGAGGAGGGGGTCAGTACGGGGTCTGGCCTTCCCCGAGGCTCTGGCCAATCCTCTCCACCCTTAGTATTTTTACTCTCTCAGAGGAACAGAGAAGATTCCCTGAGGATGAGGGCTGGGGTGGGATGAAGTGAGTGGGGGATGTTAGAATTGCAGATTTATTTATTTTTATTTTTTGAGACAGAGTCTCGCTTTGTCGCCCAGGCTGGAGTACAGTGGTGCGATCTTCGCTCACTGCAACCTCCGTCTTCCAGGTTCAAGCAATTCTCCTGCCTCAGCCTCCCAAGAAGCTGGGATTATGGATGCCTGCCACCATGCCTGGCTAATTTTTGTATTTTTAGTAGAGACGGAGTTTCACCATGTTGGCCAGGTTGGTCTCAAACTCCTGACCTCAGCTGGTCTGCCCATCTCGGCCTCCCAAAGTGCTGGGATTGCAGGCGTGAGCCACCACGCCCAGCCTAGAATCACAGATTTAATGCGGCCAAGACTAGAAGGCATTTGGGGAGCAGGGAATAGGAAAGAGTAAGGAAGGGCGATTGGTAGGGAGAAGTCATTTCTCGTGCACTGACCATGTATTCAGAGTCCGGGGTTTTGATCTGGCCCCTCTGCACATGGATCCCCAGTGCAGACGCAGTGCATGGAACTGAGTTCATGAGCCAGGGCTGAACTCGGCAGGTTGAGCAATACCCGTGCCTGTTTCCTTTAAGTGGATGGCCCATAGCATATTTTTGCTCTCTGTAGCTGTCTGCAACAAATGTGCTACGTTAGGAAACAACTCCGCTGAGACCGCTTCTTCTGGAAAGAGAGGAGAAGTGTGGGGTTCCCAGGCAGCCTGCAGTCAAGTCAAGGTGGTGGGATGGAAATTGATTGATGAGGTTCAGTTGTGTTTTCTCTGGGCTGCTGCACTGCAGCCTTGCTCACTTTTGCTATGCGACCATAGTTACATTCTTGGGAAGCCCCGAGCACTCGGAGAGGATGGTGCTTGGGGCAGCACCTCCAGTCATCCTGGATGGGCATTGGGGTCAGGCCAGACATTACTCTTTGATGGAGCTATGGCAGACAGATGACAGGTGCCTGCTCAAGCCTCTCTTCCCTGGCAGTTGGGGGAAGCAGTGCCAAGATGAGCCTAGACTTCCCCTCGCATCCTTCCTCTGTCTCTGAGGGACCGGGGTGGTGGTTCCAGAGTGGTAAGGCTGCAAGAAACATCAGAGGTTATCTTGTTAGCCTCCCTTCCGTCTCAGAATCATTTTATGAATGAAGAGACCAAGCTCCCGGGAGGGGAGGGCTTTGCTCCAGGTAGCCAGGCTGTTTCAGGACTGAAATCCATGATTCCTTTTGCCCCCGGTGACCAGCTCGGGGAAAGGTATCTTGCTTTTTTTCTTTGGGGCCAGCTTTGCCCTTACATCCTTGATGGGTAGATTTGTGGCTTCCTGGCATCTACAAGGTCTACCCTCCAAACTTCTCTGCTGTGACCTGTCTGAAATGCACATCAAATCAGATGGCTTTCTGGCCTGCATTCTTCAATAGCTCCCCAATGTCCTCAGAAAAACCCCAAGTGCATTTGCAAGATACCAGAGGTCCTTTGTGATCTAGTCTTTGTTCTCAGCTTGCCATCCCCTGGCTGGTTACATAGGGCTACCTGTCAGTGGGTGTCTCAGATCTCCCTGCCTTCGCACATGCTGTTCCTGCTCCTCAAATACCCTTCCCTGCTTGTTCCTTAAGACTTCTCAGGCTCATTCTGTGGCCTCCTCTGACCTCTTAGGCTCAGTCACTCCTTCCTCTGAGTTCCCAGAGTGCTTGGTAATTCCTCTATTAGCACTTACCTCATTGACTTAGAATTATTTGTTTACATGTCTCTTCTCCCCAGAGTGGGAAGCATGTCTTCTGCATCTTCATCCCCCCACCCCCCGCTGCTGCTCTCGCTGCCTAGCAGAGTGCCTGACCACAGCTTGGGCTCAGCAAATGTTTGTGGTGTGAATGACCGAAGGACCTTTGTCCCCAAATGTTCCCTGCACTGTGCCTGAAATGTCACCATTTATGAGTCCTGCCTGGTTCCTGGCTCCTGTTGGCTTTTGCCTTCCCACAGCTGGGACCTCTTTCTCCAACAGCTGGCCCAGCCCTGCCCAGACTCTGGGGGTTATCACAGACTTAGCCCAGGGAGATTTAAAGAGCCAGCATTAAGAAGTGCAGGTGACTCAACTTCCTGTGAACTTGGCTGCAAGTTCCACTCCCTTGCTGGGTCTGGGCACCTGGTGGCACTATATTCCACGAGACTGGTAGCTCCGTGGGAGACCATTTCCCTCGGACCCCAGCTCTGGGCTAGAACAGAGTCCCTGCGGATGTGTGCTACCTCCCGCTGTGGCCAATGCCCAGCTGCCAAGCTTCTCTGATGCCTGCTGCCCCATTCAGGTGGCACACCTTCCTTGGGCACCTAGCATGTGCCGGGCACAGGATCTCTGCCATAGAACTCACAGCCAGAGTGGGAGAGGCAGGGCCCCAGACATGACATGGGCTGTACGGTGTGGTCAGAGCCAGGACAGGGCTCAGAGAAATGTGGGTTGCAGGGCAAGGGTTCAGAAGCAGCCTCAGAGGTGGGGTCTGAGCTGAGACCGAAGAGGAAAGGAAGAGCGTGGCGGAGGGGTGGCTTCCTGGCTGACGACTCTGCAGGGACAGGGGCTCAAGAAAGCGCCCCCCATCACTCACAGACCTAGAGCCCTCAGCCATGTCTCTGGGAGCATGGTGTTCTCGGAGGAGGGATTGAGGGGATTAGCTACCTTCTCGCACATGACTCAAAACCCGGCATTTCCACAAAAGCTGCGGTTTATTTATTCAGACAACATTAGTGCCTCCCCACCATGTGCTTGGATATGGGCTGGGAACTAGGGGCTCATCCAGTGTAGACCAAGGCCTAGCCGTGCCCTCAAGGGGCTTATAGGCCAGCGGGGAGAGAGGCCTGGAAACAGGTCCCGAGAGCACAGCCTGAGATAAGCAGCCGTGCCTGAGCCCATCTGGATCTGCCCGGAGCAGGAGGCTGAACCCAGTCCCAGGCAGCACCTCACGTGGGATGCAGCATCCACACATGCAGCCCATGGGGCTGGGGAGGTGGATGGGCAGGAGGATAGCCCTCATCCTCTGGAGTCACCAGGTGACCGTGTGACAATGTCTTTTAACACAAGGGAGGCAGCAGAGCCCTGGGCCTTTGGAGTCTTTCTAGATCTGGCCTCTGATCTTGTCTTCATTGTTTGATAATTGAGTGACCTGGAGCAAATGCCTTCACCTCTCTGAGCCTCAGTTTGCTCCTCTGTAAAATGGGCTTAGGGTTAGTATTTCATTCTAGGGTTGCAGCCAGTCTTCAAGCAAATAACTGAAAATGCTTAGAACATGGTTAACAACAAGACTTCTTGTTGATTATAATAGCAGTAGTGCTTGCAATAACCGGGAAGCACAGAGCCCACCTGGCAGAAGGAAAACGAATGGCAAAGTTTGTGTGTGTGTTGGGGGGCGGGGGTGGGGGGATTTGTCGCAGCACTGGGTGGAGGGAGCTGCAGAAGCCAGGGTCCGCTTTGGCCAGGCAGGGGTGGGGGGAGTTGGGGCTGGAGGGAGACTGGGGCCGTTGCGCCTCCCCCTCCCTCTCTCCCGCCCCCGGCGCGCCATCGGCGGGAGGCGCAGGTGTCCACTGCATCCTGCGCGTCCCCATCCCTCGCTGCCCTGGCCGGGGCCCCAGCTCCTTTCTGCCTTCCGCCCCGCGTCCTCCCCTAACCTCGGATCTGGACGGGCGAACAGTGGGGCTGGGAAAGTTTGAGTCACGATTGGGGGAGGGGAGGAGGCGGGCCGTGACCCTGAACGGGGTGGGCTCTAGGACCCGCCTCGGGCGCCCAGCAGGCGGACCCGCCGCGCGCCCCTATCCCTCGCGCACTGGCCGCGGCCCGACGGAGCAAGGCACTGCCTGCAGCCGCCGTGTGCACCGGGGCGGCCGGCTAGCTCCGACCTGCGCCTCCACCGCAGCACCCGCAGCCAGAGCCGCGCTCGGCATGATGCCCGGGGCGCCGCTCCTGCGGCTGCTGACCGCGGTCTCTGCGGCAGTGGCAGTGGCAGTGGCCGGGGCGCCCGGGACGGTAATGCCCCCCACCACGGGGGACGCCACCCTGGCCTTCGTCTTCGACGTCACCGGCTCCATGTGGGACGAACTGATGCAGGTGATCGATGGCGCCTCGCGCATTCTGGAACGCAGTCTGAGCCGCCGCAGCCAGGCCATCGCCAACTACGCGCTGGTGCCCTTCCACGACCCAGGTAGCGCCCCCGCACCCCCGCCCGCCGGGCGCCCCCTTCGAGGTGCTCTCACCTGCCTGACCCCCTCAGTTGGCCCCGAACGCACCTGGACGTCGTGGGCTGCGCCGCGGCTTGGCGGGCGCGCCTTCTCGGCATATCCGCGCTGCGGGTACCCTGGCCACCTGGGCAGTCCTTGCAGCTGTCCCTTCCCTCCCACCCCCCTGGAACATTCCCTCGCTCAAGGAACCTGCTCTCCCTGCTCTCCCGCGCCGTTGTGAGACTTCAGCAAGTGACCTCACCTTCCCGCGCCTTACCGGCCCCACCTATGAAATGGTGAGGATGGCCTCCCAGACTTGCTGAGATGTTGAAATGAGGCATTCCTCTCGAGGACTTGGGACGCTACGAGCCTTTGCAGGGCTTTTCCTTTGGCCAATTCTTAGAATTCGCTCCCAGCGGAGGCTTGGAGACCGGAATGGCTCCCAGAGGCAGGCCTTGAGACGAAATGGGGTCCACCACGGACCCTGCAGTGGGGAGCGGACTCACCCTTGCTGGTCTTGTCCCCTCGCCTGTCTTCCCTGGGGAAAGGGCAGCGCCTCTCGTGTGCTGGCCCCGTGGCCTCCACCTGCTGTGTTCTCACAGCTGAGTTCCGCCCTAACTCCTTCTTCCCTGCACGCTGCACCTCTGCTTCCCCTTTAACCCCCTGCCTTGCAGCTCAGTGTTAGGGGCGCCCTTGAAAGGGTCCCTGGGCGCTCCACTGTAGAGAGTCCCAGGGACAGCGGTTGCTGAGTGAGCTGCAGGTTCCCAGCGGCGAGGAGCAGGACTGCTTTCCACACTTCTTTTTTTTTTTGAGACAAGGTCTGGCTCTGTCACCCAGGCTGGAGTGCAGTGGCGTGATCACAGCTCGCTGCAGCCTCGAACTCCTGGGCTCAGGTGACCCTCCTGCTTCAGCCTCCCAAGTAGCTGGGACTACAAGCATACGCCACCATGCCTGGCTGATTTTTAAATTTTTTATAGACATGGAGTCTCTCTGTATTGCCCAGGCTAGTCTCAAACTCCTGGCCTCAGTGATCCTCCCACTTAGGCCTCCCAAAGTGCTGAAATTACAAGCATGAGCCACTGCACCCAGCCTCCCCAGCGTTTTTTAATGGAAAATTTCAAACTTACAGTAAAATGGGGAGAAACATACATGGAACCGCCTATGCCCACCGAGAGCCTCTGAGTCATATTTTGCTTTATCACATCTCTCTATCATTCACCCCTCTGTCAAGGATAGCTTTATAAAGCAACAAACAAACAAACAAACAACCCCCCCAAATAAAACACACACACACACACACACACACACACACACACACACACACGCACAGATTCCTTGCTAAATTGTACTGCAGAGTGTTCTTGTGCTGAAGAAATAGACGGTGGCCATTGGCTGTATGAGCCAGCAAGTCCTTGCAGAGGGATTTGCATTTATTAATCACAATACCATTACAGGTTCTTAGAAAATGGACAAAACAGTGGGAAGACATAGTTCTACGTAGGCTTCAGGCTGAGTTTGTGGTCTAGGGGCTTGGAGGCCCCTCTGCTTCCAGGAGTTCTGGGCACCACAGGGTTTTGCAGCTCAAAGCTCAGAAGCCAAGGCTCTAGACAAAGATTTCTAGGAACATCAGATGGACAGCTTCTATCTTGGAGTCAGGGGGCAACCAAGCTGGGGGTTGTGAGGAGGTGGGCTGTGAAGTGTGTTCTGGCACTTAAGCTGGAACACAGGTCACCCTCCGTCTCCCCAGCTCTCTCACCCACTTTCTGAATTGTTCTGGGGCTTCCGAAGACATCACACTGAAGGAGCTTAGAGATCGTTGAATCTACCCCTTTATCTTACAGTTGGAAAAACTGAGGCTCAGGACACTGATGAGACTTTCCCAAGGCCACCTGCCAGGGTGGCGTCATTCCTGAATCATAACCCACATTTGTCTCTGAAATATGTGGCTCCAGTGGCCCAGCAGGATAGCAGCCTTTCAGAGCCAGATGTCGTGTCCTGAAGCCCAGACCAGGGTTCCTGAGACTGTCCTCGCTGCCCCATTTGTGGCCATGAGCCTCAGGAAGCCCACCTCCCACCCCTGCTCTTCCCTCTCCTCTCTGGGCACTGAGCTGGTGGGCAGTTCTCCAGCCTTCACCAGGCTCAGCCCCCTCACTCCATCCTCTATGAAACAAAAATCCAGTTCTCCATCCTGGTTCCCCAAATTAGCTTCCGAGTGACACCCCCAGGTTCAGACGTCGGGGAGACTTCAGCACCATGGAGCCCTTGATCTGTGTAGAGCCCAGGGAGGCTCACAGTGTAAAGGGGCATGGTTCATTCCACGGGGCTGGTAGCCCTCTGGGACAGGCCAGGTGGGGAGTAGAAAGTGACATGTGGTGGCTCAGGTGCCAACTCCTGGCCATGGGCCAGTAAGCAAGGAAGGGGGCTAAGGAAAGACCCCCCCCTGAGGAAGCAGCCTGTGAGTAGGGCCTGAAGAACATCAGTGAATGTTTACTGGGTTTTGGCCGTTTGCCTGGCAGATGCCAGGTGCTGGGAACACAGCAGGGAGAGAGGACTCCCTGGGGCATGTGGAGCTGGCTGGGTAAGGACCGGGGGATGGACAGGAGGGCTGATGTGGAGGGACAGGTGTGTGTGGGAGCTGGGTGTGCACGGGAGGAGTGGAGCGGGAAAGTGGGGAAGGGCAAGATTGGACACAGCCGTGAGTGCAGGGCCGATTGATGCCTTGGCGGACTTGGATTTCCTTTTCCTTCTATGGGCTGTGAACAGCCACCGAGGGCTTCTGAGCAGCAGTTTGGAACTGTGATTTAGGCCTGGCTGTGCCTTTTGAATCAGCAAATAGAATCCCCTTTGGTGGAAGAGGAACTTGAGAAACGGGTTGTAGCTGTTTGTTCCAGCTCCCAGAGCTGCACAGCGGGAGGGTTTTCTTAAAGTAAGCCCCTCTCCTAAACCCCAAGAGGCGGGTGCGGGGCAAATCGTGGCGGTTCTAGACTGTTCCTGCTTGGAGACAAACTAAGATCCGTGCTTCGGAAATTTTACAGTTTCTAAATTAAAAATTGTATGTTCCCAGAGTAGAAAAGTTAGAAATTTGCTAATCATTGCAAAAGAGCCCTGGTTCCTTTTTTTTTTTTTTTTTTTTGAAATTAGTAGTAGAAACCAAGATCTAGTGCTAAAATTTAGGTTGTTTTCAGTGTTTCTATATTAAAATGTTACTAAGAAACTCTCTTGTAAAAATCTTTGTCTGCATCTTTGATTGGTTTTTACGTAGGCTTAAGTTCCTTGAAGTGGAATTCTAGGCCATTTTTAACACACCGAGTGGGGGGACGACTCTTCAGGTTGTTTTCCAGAATGTTTCAGGAGATTGAACTTCCACCAGAACTGTTTCAGGGGCCCGTTTCAGCACAGCCACCCCCAACACTGGAAATTAATATAAAAACCTTTCTTTTCTAATTCAAAAATGGAAAATGATATCTTCTTGTTTCAATTGCTAGTGAGGTTCAATATGTCTTTCAAGCGTTCACTAGATATTTTTGGTATGAATTTCTTATTTTGTAAACTGTCAGTTTCTTTGCAAATTTTTTCATGGGAGTTTTAGTGCTTTTATTTTTAGTTGGAATGAGGACCTTATGTTGATGATGTTATCTGTTTTTTTTTTTGTTGTTGTTTGTTTGTTTGTTTTTTGAGATGGAGTCTCGCTCTGTTGCCCAGGCTGGAGTGCAGTGGCGTGATCTCTGCTCACTGCAACCTCCACCTCCCAGGTTCAAGTGATTCTCCTGCCTCAGCCTCCTGAGTAGCTGGGACTACAGATGCGTGCCACCACGTCCGGCTAATTTTTGTATTTTTAGTAGAGACAGGGTTTCACCATGTTGGCCAGGCTGGTCTTAAACTCCTGACCTCAAGTGATCCACTCACCTCAGCCTCCCAAAATGCTGGGATTACAGGCATGAGCTACCATGCCTGGCCTTAACTGTTTCTTTTTTTTTTTAAGTGTACTTAGTATTTTTCCTGGTTGCTTGTCTTTTAGTATTTGTAATTCTTAGAAGTTTTGAAGTTTTAAATGTTTATGTAGAGAAATCTATTGTTTTTTTTCTTTGTGATTTCTTCACTTAGGTGCTTATAAAGGTTTTTTTTGTTTGTTTGTTTGTTTGTTTTTTTTTTTCCCTATCACAAAACCAGTTAGGCAGATTTTCTAGGGTTTGTGTATGTGTGTGTTTTGTTTTATTTTCCTCTCTTCACATTTAATTCTTCAACTTGAAATTTTAAAAATTGGTAGGCTGGGCTCAGTGGCTCACACTTGTAATGCCAGTACTTTGGGAGGCTGGGGTGTGAGGATTGCTTGAGCCCAGGAGGTCAAGGTTGCAGGGAGCTATGATTGTGCCACTGCCCTCCAGCCTGGGCGACAGAGCAAGACCCTGTCTCAAAAAGAAAACAACAACAACAAAAAGAAAAACAGAAAATCTCAATAAAGTGTGGACTTGGGTTAATAATTATGTATCAATATTTATTTATTAGTTGTGATAAATGTAGCATAGTAATGTAAGATGTTAATAACATCAGCCTTCTGAGTAGCTGGGACTACAGGTGCACACCACCACACCTGGCTAACTTTTTGTAGAGATGGGGTCTTGCTATGTTGCCTAGGCCGATGTCAAACTCCTGGCCTCAAGTGGTCTTCCTGCCTCTGCCTCCCAAAGCAGGGGAATTACATACATGAGCCACGGTGCCCAGCCTTCCTCAGTTTTTCTTTAATGCCCTTTTTCTGCTCCAGGATCCCATCCAGGATACATTAATTGTGTCTTCTTCAGCTCCTCAGGTTGTGAGTTTCTCAGGCTTACTTTCGTTTTGGTGAAATTGACAGTTTTGAGGAATACTGGTCAGCTCTTTTCCCTCAGTCATTATTTGTCTAATGTTTTTTTTCCAGTTAGACTGGGTAATGTTTTGGGAGGAAGACCCAGCATTAAAATACCATTCTCATCGTCTCATATCAAGAGCACACGCTATCACGGTGATGGAACGCTGTTGATGTTAAGCTTGATTGCCTGACTCGGATAGTATTTTTCAGATTTCTCCACTATAGAGTTACTCTTTTTCCCCTCTCTCTTTCCATACTGGGCTCTCTGGAAGAGAGTCACTTACTGTGTGCAGCCCACGTTTAAAAAGCGGGGAGCCATGATCCACGTCCTTGGTGGGGGAGTATCTATCTACATGGATTATTTGGAATTATTCTGCATGAGAGTTGTCTCTTCTGCTCCATTTATTAATTAATTCAATCACTTGTCTACATCAGCATAGAATCATGGCTAGCTATTTTATACTTTGTGTTATGATCCTAAACCACTTTATTTTGCTCCTCAAATGTTTCTGACTGTGGTCATCGGGAGCTCGTTCAGTTGGTTTCTGTGTCCCTTGGACACCCCTCTTGTTGTGCACGTGTGTTTTTTGTTTTTGTTTTTGTTTTCGTTTTTCCCACATTCCTACTTTTTGGCACTGGTAGTGGCTCCAGGCTCATCTTAGGTATTTCCTGCCTCAGTCCTTGAATTCGCTATTTCTCCAAGGAGCCCTGCTTCCTGTGATTGGAAACCAGGATATCCGTGCTAAGTGTGTTTGTTGGTACTGAGGTGCTGTTACTTCTAAAACCTCCCTTAGCTGACAGGGCAAGGAGTTGTATGTTGTATATATAACCTGTGTTTGTACTTGTATCTATACATAGTTTTATATGTAATCATCCGTGTCTATATTAAGCTAAACATGAGTTCATGCTGATATCTTCAACTCTAATTTATATTCGATATTGGATTAGATGTATTAGGTATATGGAGAGTCAAACCTCTTCCTGTTCCTTATCTAGAACCTCCACGTCTAACAGTCAGAAATCTGTCTCCTGCCACCCACCATCCCTTTACTTTACTGTTTAGTTCCAGTATACATTTAAAGTGGTTTCAGAATTGTTGAGTGGGACCCCCACGGGAAACAGCTTTATTAACTAGAATACAGTTCTTTTGCTTTTAGTCTTAACAGACTCCATTCATTTCCAAAATTACTTAGGCCAACACCTTCTTCAGCTTCTTCTTCTTTTTTAAAAAAAATAAATTTTTTTGTTTTTGTTTTTTTGAGATGGAATCTCACCTTGTCTCCCAGGCTGGAATACAGTGGCGCAATCTTGGCCCACTGCAACCTCCACCTCCTGGGTTTAAGGAATTCTCCTGCCTCAGCCTTCTTAGTAGCTGGGATTACAGATGTGTGCCACCATGCCTAGCTAATTTTTGTATTTTTAGTAGAGATGGGGTTTCACTATGTTGGCCAGGCTGGTCTTGAACTCCTGACCTCAAAGGATCCTCCTGCCTTGGCCTCCCAAAGTCCTGGGATTACAGGTGTGAGTCACCATGCCTGGCCTCTTCTTCTTCTTCTTTTAAACTTTGAGACAGGGTCTCATTCTGTTGCCCAGGCTGGGTGGCAGTGGCTCGATCATGGCTCACTGCTTCCTCCATCTCCCCAAGCTCAGGTGATCCTCCCACTTCACCCCCAGAGTAGCTGGGACCACAGGCACATGCCACCACACCTGGCTAATTTTTGTGTGTGTATATATATTTGGTAGAGACAGGGTCTTGCCATATTGCCCAGGTTGGTCTTGAACTCCTGGGCTCAAGCGGTCCACCCACCTTGGCCTCCCAAAGTGCTGGGATTACAGGCCTGAACCACTGCGCCTGGCCGAGCATCTTCTTTTTATTCATATTCTTCATTTGCAAAAGCTTCTTGAGAATTTTATCTTTTAGATGACATGTAGAAAAACTTGTCAACTTCCAAAAATTTTTTTCTACTGTGATTTTTCTTGGAATTGTGTTAAATCTTGATTTTGGGGAAGAGTTATCATTTTCAAAAAACTCTATTGTTCTCATCCATCAGACATGCCTCTTGTTCTGTTCACATTTATTTCTTTTAGTAAAGATTCATAGTTTTTCTTTGTAAAGATTCAGGTTTTTTTTCTCATAGGTTCCACCCTTTTTTTTTTAAAGATTATTTTAAGATAGTTTTGGTTTTGTTACTATTTTGCCCAGAATTTTTTTCCATTACATTTTTTACAAATGAGTATTGCTAGTATGTTGGAAAGGAATTCATTTCATATATTAATTTTCTTTCCAGCTTCTTTTACTAAAGTTTTTTTTAACTACTTCTAATTTTTTGTTAATGTCTTCAGTTTTCTAGGTTGAGAGTCACAGCTTGTCCAAATTATAATACTGTCGCTTCTTTTCCAATCAAATATTTCACGTTTTAAGTGTTTTGTATTATTTATCAGCAAAAACTGTCAGAACAATACCACATAATGGTGATGGCTGCAGTTATCTTGTCTTGCTTTTTTTTTTTATTTTTGAGACTGAGTCTCACTCTCTTGCCCAGGCTGGAGTGCAGTGGTGCAGTCTCAGCTCACTGCAACCTCCGTCCCCCAGGCTCAAGCGATTCTCTCACCTCAGCCTCCTGAGTAGCTGGTATTATAGGCATGCGCCACCATGCCCAGCTAATTTTCGTATCTTTAGTAGAGACAGGGTTTCACCATGTTGGCCAGGCTGGTCCCAAACTCCTGACCTCAGGTGATTCGCCTGCCTCAGCCTCCCAAAGTGCTGGGATTACAGGCGTGCGCCTCCGCGCCCGGCCATCTTGTCTTGCTTTTGATTTTGCACCACTCATTGTATGATATTGATTCTTGGTTTGAGTTTTTGTCATCAAGTGAAAGAAGATGCATTCATTCCTAATTTTACTAAAAAAAAATAAACTCAAAAAACAAGAAAAAGCAAAAACAAAACAAAAAATCCAAACAGGGATGGGTGTTGAATTTTAGCAAGTGATTTTCTGCTTTGTTGCAATGTTTATAAGATCCTTCTCCTGTTGACCTATTAATGTGATACATTAATTTTTTTTTTTTTTTGAGAGACGGAGTCTCACTCTGTCGCCCAGGCTGGAGTGCAGTGGTGTGATCTTGACTCACTGCAGCTTCCACCTCCCTGGTTCAAGCAATTCTCCTGTCTCAGCTTCCCAAGTAGCTGGGACTACAGGTGTGCACCACCATGCCCAGCTAATTTTTGTATTTTTTAGTAGAGACAGGGTTTCACTATATGTTGGCTAGGCTGGTCTCGAACTCCTGACCTCAGGTGATCTGCCCACCTCAGCCTCCCAAAGTACTGGGATTGCAGGTGTGAGCCACCGCGCCTGGCCAATGCGTTAATTTTCAACTATTTTTGCATTTCTTGCATAAGTCCTGCTTGGTCACGGTGGATTATTCTTTAATATACAGCTGGATGATAGTTTCCAGCATTTTGCTTAGAGGTTTTGCCTTTTTCCATTTCATGTGTGCAATCAGTAAGTGGTGTTTTTCCTTTGTGTTTTTTGTCAAGTTTTACCATCAGGGTTTAGCTTTTTCAGTTAATAATCCATTCCCTTCAAGAATCTCAAAATTAATACATGCTTGTAAAATATTCTACTACTACTCTCAAGAGGTGAAAACACTTTTAACACTCTGGTGTCCTTCCAGATCTTGTGTGCATGTATGTGTATACATTCACTCGTGTTAAACATACCTACGTTAAAAAATTATAGTACGTAAAGCATTTTACAACTTGCTTTCTTCCCCCCACATAATATGGCATGAATATCTCTTCCTGTCAGGAAACAGAGATCCTCCCCATTGTTTTTAATGACTCTATAAGATGCCATTGGAGGAATTAGCCTAATTTACCCACCCATCCCCCTACTGTGGAAAATAGGCTGCTTTCAGTTTCTTCACAATAAACACACACATATTTGCAAACATATCTACAGAATAGATTCCCAGAGATAAAATTGCTTTGTTAAAGTATAGGAGCATTTTCCATTTGGAAAGACACCATCCAACTGCCCTCAAACACACTGCGCCATCTTGCGCCTGGACCCACGGAAGATGAGACTGTGTTTCCCCACACCGCCGCCAGCATCCGGGACATCACTCTGCCATTTTTTCCTTGTTTTTTTGCTAGTTTCCTAGGTGGGAGATGGTGTCCTGCCTTAATCAGCATTCATTGATCGTTGGTGACCTTCCAGTCTTCTGGAGTTTCTCCCTGGGTGTCTCTGGGGCTCCTGCGGCTCCATCATCTTTCCCAAGGGAGGAAGTGGCTTTCGCCGGTCAGAGGTGAGGATGCAGGCGTGCAGAGCAGATGTGTTTGGGCCACACACTTGCCTGGGAGCTGGAACGGCTGGGACTCTGGTTGCATGTTCCGGGTTGTGTGTGTGTACCTGTGATTTTTATTGTCACCCTGAGTGACATTGCTATTTTTATTTTTTAATTTATTTTTGAGATGGAGTCTTGCTCTGTCACCTAGGCTGGAGTGCAGTGGCACGATATTGTCTCATTGCAACCCCTGCTTCCTGGGTTCAAGCGATTCTCCTGCCTCAGCCTCCTGAGTAGCTGGGATTACAGGTGCCTGCCACCATGCCTGGCTAATTTTTGTGTTTTTAGTAGAGATGGAGTTTCACTATGTTGGCCAGACTGGTCACGAACTCCTGACCTCAAGTGATCCCCCTGCCTCGGCTTCCCAAAGTGCTGGGATTACAGGCGTGAGCCACCACGCCCGGCCGTGACATTGCTATTAACCAGCCTTGCCTCATGAAATAGAAACCATCAGTCCTTCTTCTGAGGGGAAAATTCACTCTCTTAACCTGGCCCTGGGCACGTCCCTCCTTGGAGGCCTGGAGGCCTGGAGGTCTGAGCGGCCCGTGAGGTGTGAGCTGGACTAGGCACGTCCCTGTCATTCCCAGGGTGCCTGATGGGTTGGCGGGGAGTGGCCTGGCTGGGCCAAATAACACCTCATCAAAGGGCTTTCCAGGCGAGGAACTGTGCAGGGGAGGGGTGCTAGAAAGAGATGGCCCAGGGTGCCTGCAGGGGGAGGACCAGAAAGGTGAGGAAGCCATGGGTCTGAGGGCAGGAGGTCCCTGGAGGGGCAGGGGTGGGTGGGTGGGTGTGTCAGGTCAGCCTGTACAGCCTGACCTGGTCTGGTTCCTGGGGATCCCCCTGCACCCATTAATCACTTACTCCATCTTCAATTCTCAAGGGTCCCCTGGGGGCCAGGCAGGGTGCTGGCTTGCCTTGGCACCTGCAGTCCAGCCAGAAAGGCCCATGGTGAATAGCCAAGTTCCTAGGCATCTCATCACAGCTGTGGCTGCCCGCAATGACATTCCTGAGGGAGTGACGTTGAAGCTGAGGTGGAGAGAAGCTGGGTGGGTGGGGGAGGGTCAGAGCAGGACGGGGAACAGCACTCCAGGCAGAGGGAACAGCAGAAACAATGGCTGTGAGGTTGGCAGAAATATCTCCTTGATTGAACATTAGCAGGTGGAGTTGACAGGGACACTCAGGGTGGAGCTGGGCTCCATCACTGGGTGTTCAGGGAGAGGCCCTGGGGAGGAGGCCCCGAGGAGAGTTGCTTGCTGGACTCCTGGACACTGAAGAGGAGGCAGATAAAGGTTCTGGAGCCATTTTGGCTCTTTGGGCAGAACCACCCACCCAGTTGGCTCTTGTGCCATTGTGTCTGTCCCTTGAGGGTGTCTTTGAGGGAATCACGTTTGCCCAGACGGGCTCAGGGGCTGTCTGAATTCTAGCAGGCTTGACATCACTTTCTCCAACCCCTGCCCTTTAGAGATGGGATAGCTGAGTCTTGGGGAGGGGAGGTGGTTTGATGATGGTGGTGGCTGAGTGCGGGACCTACCTGGGGTCACTGCAGCTGGAGGAGGGGGATATGTGGATCCAGGGCTGGCTCCAAAATTCCAGCCCCACTTGGAGAGAGAAGCAGGGGCAAGACAGGCCCCAGGAAGAGGCCTCGGCCTGAGATATTTCTGAGACTGGGTTCTGAGTGCCTGACTGCAGCCTTGACCGTGTCCACCGGGACACATGAAGCTGGGCGAGGAAGTGGGGCACCACGTGGGTGAGGGGTTAGGCCGTTCCACCCATGCGTGCTCCTCACATGTCTGAGACAGTTCATGGGGCTGGCCCCACACCCTCCTCTTGCCCAGTGGAAAAAACCCCGCCTGTGGCTTGGTGGTTCCAGGCCAGGCTTCTGGGGCTCACATGCTGGAAGAGGGCTTGAGTGGAGCCAAGGTCACGGGTTTAATCATCCCTGCAGCCAGCAGGCCTGCTCGGAGGGACTGCACGCCACATCTGCCCAGCTGTTTGGCAAATGCCCACCCTCAGTCCTGAATCTCCCTCCCTCTGCAGGCACAGGACAAGGGTCTGGGGAATGAGTTCTGAGTGTCTACAGCTTCATGGGTGGTTGACAGCTTGCAACTGGGGTCAGACTGACCTAGACTGGACTCTCATTTCTACTGCTTCCTGGTTGTAATTCCTTGGGCAGCTCACTTTACTTCCCCAAGCCTCCATTTTCTCATCTATAAAATGAGGATAATAAATAGTAGACCTCATAGGTTGTTGTAAGGCTTTTATGAGCAAATGCACGTCAAATGCTTAGAACAAAACTTGGTGCTTAGTAAACATCAAAACAATGGTAACATCACTATTACCACCATCATCATCACCACCACCACCATCATCATCACCACCACCACCACCATCATCATCACCACCACCACCATCATCATCATCACCACCACCATCATCATCACCACCACCATCATCATCACCACCACCACCATCATCATCATCACCACCACCATCATCATCATCACCACCACCACCACCATCATCATCATCACCACCACCATCATCATCACCACCACCATCATCATCACCACCACCACCATCATCATCATCACCACCACCATCATCATCATCACCACCACCACCACCATCATCATCACCACCACCACGATCATCACCACCACCACCATCATCATCACCACCACCACGATCATCACCACCACCATCATCATTACCACCACCACCACCACCATCATCATCATCACCACCACCACTATCATCATTGTTTTTTTGTTTGTTTGGTTGGTTGGTTGGTTTTTTTTTGAGACGCAGTCTCGCTCTGTCACCCAGGGTGGAGTGCAGTGGCGCGATCTCAGCTCACTGCAAGCTCCGCCTCCCAGGTTCACGCCATTCTCCTGCCTCAGCCTCCCGAGTAGCTGGGACTACAGGCGCCCACCACCACGCCCGGCTAATTTTTTGTATTTTTAGTAGAGACGGGGTTTCACCGTGTTAGCCAGGTTGGTCTTGATCTCCTGACCTCGTGATCCGCCCGTCTCGGCCTCCCAAAGTGCTGGGATTACAGGCGTGAGCCACCGCGCCCGGCCGCCATCATTGTTTTTGGAGGCAGTATAGTCAGTGGCAAAGGGAACAGGCATTGGAATGAAACGTTTGTGGATCTGGACATTGTACAAGGTTGAAAAGTGTTCTTCCAAAATTCATGTCCTTCCTGGGACTGCAGAATGAGACCCTATTTTCTTTTCTTTTCTTTTTCTTTTTTTTTGAGACGGAGTTTTGCTCTTGTTGCCCAGGCTGGAGTACAATGGCACGATCTCGGCTCACTGCAACCTCTGCCTCCTGGGTTCAAGCGATTCTTCTGACTCAGCCTCCCAAGTAGCTGGGATTACAGGCATGCACCACCACACCCGGCTAATTTTGTATTTTAGTAGAGACGGGGTTTCTCCATGTTGGTCAGGCTGGTCTTGAGCTCCCAACCTCAGGTGATCCACCCGCCTCGGCTTCCCAAAGTGCTGGGATTACAGGCGTGAGCCACCTCACCCAGCCTGAGACCCTATTTTCTTTTTCTTTTTTTTTTTTTTTGAGACGGAGTCTCACTCTGTTGCTCAGGCTGGAGTGCAATGGCGTGATCCTGGCTCCTGCAACCTCCACCCCCTGGGTTCAAGTGATTCTCCTGTCTCAGCCTCCCGAGTAGCTGGGATTACAGGCATGCGTCACCAGGCCCAGCTAATTTTTGTATTTTTAGTAGAGACAGGGTTTCACCATGTTGGTCAGGCTGATGGTCTCGAACTCCTGACCTCGTGATCCACCCACCTCGGCCTCCCAAAGTGCTGGGATTACAGGCATGAGCCACCTGCCGTGGTGAAGGACAGAGACAGGGTCACTGCATGCGTGATGTATCCAGTCAACTCTTGCCCCAGATCTTCCCCCCTGACATGGAGGGGCTGTCTTCTCTTGGGGCCTCAGTTTCCACATCTTTAGAAAGGTGGGGGTCTTCAGATCTCTTCCTCCTCAACATTGTTGTTTTGTTTTTTTTGAGATGGAGTCTCGCTCTATCACCCAGGCTGGAGTGCGGTGTCACAGTCTCGGCTTCCTGCAACCTCTGCCTCCCAGGTTCAAGCAACTCTCCTGCCTCAGCCTTTTGAGTAGCTGGGATTACAAGCATGTGCCACCACGCCCAGCTAAGTTTTGTGTTTTTAGTAGAGATGAGGTTTCACCATGTTGGCCAGGCTGGTCTCAAACTCCTGACCTCAATTCATCCGCCTGCCTGGGCCTCCCAGAGTGCTGATATTACAGGCGTGAGCCACCGTGCCCGGCCCTCAACATTGTTATGTTTGGCACATAGGTTGTGGTCAAATTGACTTTTCTGAAGTTGATTCTTGCTGAAGACCAAATGGTGAAAGCCGTGGTAGGGTAGAATGATATCTTCCCAAAGATGTGCCTGTCCTAATGCACAGAACCTGCAAATGTGTGACCTGCCATGGTGAAAGGGACTTTGCAGGTGTGACAAAGTCACGGCTCTTGAGAAGGGAGATTGTCCTGGATTATCCAGGTGAGCCCTTTATAATCACAAGGGTCCTCATAAGAGGGAGGCAGGAAGCTTGGAGTCAGAGAGGGAGCTGTGACGACAGCAGCACAGGAGAGAGACAGACGCCCTACTGCTGCTTTGAAGATGGAGGAAGGAGCCATGATCTAAGGCCTCTAGCAGCTGGAAAAGGCAGGGAAACTGATCCTCCCCTAAAACCCCCAGGAGGAATGCAGCCCTGCTGACACTTGGATTTAGGACTGCTGGCTTCCATAGCTGTGTGTGTGTGTGTTTTTTTTTTTTTTTTGGTTTTTTTTTTTGAGACGGAGTCTTGCTCTGTCACCCAGGCTGGGTGCAGTGGTGCGCGATCTCGGCTCACTGCAAGCTCCGCCTCCCGGGTTCACGCCATTCTCCTGCCTCAGCCTCCCGAGTAGCTGGGACTACAGGTGCCTGCCACCATGCCCGGCTAATTTTTTTTTTTTTTTGTATTTTTTAGTAGAGACAGGGTTTCACCATGTTAGCCAGGATGGTCTCGATCTCCTGACCTTGTGATCCTCCCGCCTCGGCCTCCCAAAGTGCTGGGATTACAGGCGTGAGCCACCGCGCCTGGCCTGTGTGTTGTTTTAAGGCATGAAGTTTCTAGTAATTTGTCACAGAAGCAATAGGAAACTGAGACAGAGGCCAACCTTAAAATCCTTTCCAGGGCTCTCTGGTCCAGGGGATCCTTCCTATTAAAATGATGTTTGACTGAGTAACTTTCTGAAAATTTGCTCACACTTACTTGTTCAGTGAAAAGAATCAGGTTAGAAATAGTATGTTATTTATACTTCAATAAAAATTCTGCTTAAAATAGTATGTATTTTTGTAAGATGTATTTATACATTTAAATATATGAATATAAAAATTAAAGGTTATATACAAAAATGAAAATTATTATCTCTGGTTGGTAGAAATACAGGCAATTGGCCAGGCGCAGTGGCTCACGCCTGTAATCCCAGCACTTTGGGAGCCCAATGCAGGCGGATCATGAGGTCAGGAGATCGAGACCATCCTGGCCAACATGGTGAAACTCTGTTTCTACTAAAAATACAAAATTAGCCGAGCATGGTGACAGGCGCCTGTAATCCCAGCTACTCAGGAGGCTGAGGCAGGAGAATGGCTTGAACTCGGGAGGCAGAGGTTGCAGTGAGCAGAGATTGTGCCACTGTACTCCAACCTGGGTGACAGAGCGAGACTCTGTCTGAAAAAAAAAAAAATACAGGCAGTTGTGCCCCTTCCCTTTTTTGTTTTGCTTTGTTTTGCCTGTCAGGAATTTCTATGTCTATTTCCCTGAGAGCAGGAGTTAAGAAGAGCTCTGTTCTTGAGGTCATCCGGACCTGGGCTCATATCCCAGCACTGCCACTTATTGGCTGTGTGTCATTGGACAAGTTACGTCTCTGGGCTTCCACGTTCTCCTCTGTAAAAATGTGGGTAAGACTTGGACGCCAGCACTTTGGGAGGCCGAGGCAAGTGTATCACATGAGTCCAAGAGTTTGAGATCAGCCTGGCCAACATGGTGAAACCCTGTCTCTACTAGAAATACAAAAAAATTAGCCCGGCATGGCGGTACACCTCTGTAATCCCAGCTACTTGGAAGACTGAGGCACAAGAATGACTTGAGCCTGGGAACTGGAGGTTGCAGTGAGCCAGGATCGCGCCACTGCACTCCAGCCTGGGTGATGGAGTGAGACTCAGTCTCAAAAAAAAAAAGGACTGGCGCACTGGCTCATGCCTGCTGTAATCGCAGCACTTTGGGAGGCTGAGGCGGGCGGATCACCTGAGGTCAGGAGTTTGAGACCGGCCTGGCCAACATGGCAAAACCCCGTCTCTACTAAAAATACAAAAATTAGCCGGGTGTGGTGGCATGCACCTGTAATCCCAGCTACTAGGCTGGGGCAGGAGAATCACCTGAACCCAGGAGGCGGAGGCTGCAGTGAGCCGAGATTGCACCACTGTGCTCCAGCCTGGGTGACAGAGCAAGACTCCATCTCAAAAAAAAAAAAAAAAAAAAGACTTGGACCTACCAGGTGCTAGGAGGAATTTAGTGAGCTGATACACAGGAAGCATCTCAGGACATAGCCTGGCACTTACAAGGTATTTAGTAACTGTCATTATCATTCATGTCATGTTAATTTCTTTTTACAGTGAACATGTGTGATTACCTAACAATGAAATAACCAGCACTGAGTGAAATGATTGCTCTTCTTAGTCAAAGTAGAATTTGAGGACCTCATATTGAAGCAACACTGTCTTTGACTGCACTGTGTGAGAACACCCGCTGGAGCCTGGCCAAGGGCACGCTCACGTTAGCAGTGCCTCTTCCCATTTGCTGAGCCTTTGCTCCATGCCAAGCTGCGTGCTAAGCTCTGTGCCAGGGGTTTAGCTACCTGGTTTCACTGAATTCTCACAGTGATGGTTCTTGGTCAGGAGAAATGGCGTTGTTACATGTCTCGTTCTACAGATGAAGAAACTGAGGCTTGGGGCAGTGAAGTGAGCTCTGCCTGAGAGTCCCCATAGCCCAAAAAGGATAAAGGAAGGGTTCCAGTCAGATCTGGCCAAGCTCCAAGGCTGAGGACTGAGCTGCTGCAGTTGGGCTGAATTCATTACTGTGTAGTTCAGAGGAAAGGACGTGGTGGGGATGGCCAGGGCAGGCGAGGGAGGACAGGGTGGGACGAGACGGATAAACACAGAGCAGAGGGGCCGGGGCCACGGGGGAAGCTGGTGTCAGCTCATCCTCGATCATTGTGAGGCATGCTGGATAATTCTACAGGCTTTCCTTTCTAAGAAAGACTGAGCTCCGCCAACTGGTTGCTGAGAATGAAAGTTTGTTTACAGCAACTGGAATTTAGAATTCCTGAACTAAAAATAGTCTGTTATTAGAGTTCACTGAGGCTGGGCACAGTGGCTCACACCTGTAATCCCAGCACTTTGGGAGGCTGAGGTGGGAGCATCACTTGAGGTCAGGAGTTCAAGACCAGCCTGGCCAACATGGCGAAACCCCGTCTCTACTAAAAATACAAAAATTTGCTGGGTGTGGTGGCACATGACTGTGGTCCCAGCTACTCAGGGGGCTGAGGCAAGAGAATCGCTTGAACCTGGGAGGTGGAGGTTGCAGTGAGCCGAGATCATGCCACTATACTGCAGCCTGGGCGACAGAGCGAGACTCTTTCTCAATAAATAAATAAATAAAATAAAATACATAGGGTGCACTGAGGACTCAAATATTTTCCTAAGAAACCTGATGTCCACACGACCTTACACAATCCCCACTATGCGCTTATCCTCAGGATCCCCGGAACGCCAGCCCTGCTGTCCAGCACTGGTAGTGTTGTCTTATGTTGGCGTGGATCTCCATTACTGCTATTTTTTAAAAAAAAAAAACTCTTTGTTAGTGAACATTTCAAACATATACAACATAAGTAGAAGATAATAATGAATCTCCATGTACCCATCACCCAGCATTGCCAAATGTTAAACAGCCCCGTCATTCTCGTCTTGTCTGTACCTCCTCCCACCCCCAACCCACCCCCCACTCAGTGACGATCATTTGTTCTAGTGCTTTGCTTATGGGGTAAATTTACATACATTGAAATGCTCCGATCTTAGCTGCACACTTTTGACAAATGATACACTGAGGATCCCACATTCCTATCACAATATAGAATGTTTCTGTCTCAGACAGTTCCTTCCAAGTCAAGCTCCTCAGGCAACCTCTGTTCTGTTTTTCTTCACCTTAGATTAATTTTGACTGTTCCAGAACTTACTATAAATGGAACCATACTGTGTGTGCTGTTTTGCGTCTGGCTTCTCTCGCGTGGGAGGTGCCCCTGTTGTTGCCTATATTGGTAGTTGTCCTGTCTTATTGCTGAGGACAACCTGGTTCTGTGAATTTACCAGTTTGTTTATCTCTCCACCAGATGATGGACATCTGGCTTGTGTCCAGTGTTGGACTATTGTGAATACAGCTGCTATGAACCTTTGAGTACAAGCCTTTGTGTGAACATATGTTTTCATTTCTCTTGGGGACATACCTAGGTGTGGAATGGCTGGACCCCATGGTAGGTGCATGTGTAACGTTTTAGAAACTTCCATTGTTGCTCAAAGTGGTTAAACCATTTTGTGTTCCCACCAGCAGTGAATGAAAGTTCCAGTTGCTCCACATCCTTGCCAACCTTGAGTGCAGTCAATCTTTGTCATTTTTATTGCTGTTCTTTTTAAAATGAGCTCATACATAGATGGGGTTTCTGGAAGGTTTTTCTTTTGTTGAGCAGCTGGTGTTGGAGAGTTGCTGTGTGTCCCAGAATGGATTGTTTGTTTGCTTCTTGTTTCTTTGTCTTCCCAGAATTCCTTCTCCACTGACTGGCAGCCGGTGGGATGTTGGAGGTGGGGGTTCTTAGGAGAGTCTTGGTCACCAAAGGTTGGGAGCTGCTGTCCGGAGGGAGGAGCTGGGGCTTGCCCTCTGCCTCACCTCTGCTTCCCTGGAGCTCGGGTCCTGCTTTGGTGCTGGGCATGGGGCAGAGTGGTGTGACCTTGTTTTCTGGTCTGATCCTGCAGCTCCGGGAGCTGCTCCCTGATCTCTCCCCGTCTTGTGTGCCAGCCTCAGCTCCTCTGAACATCCATCCTCATGTCGCCGACAAACCAGCCCACCGGGCTGTGTGTCTAGGAGTCCCAGCCCATCTGGGCGTCCCTCTCTCTTCTCCACAGATATTGGCCCAGTGACCCTCACGGCGGACCCCACAGTGTTTCAGAGGGAGCTGAGAGAACTCTACGTGCAGGTGGGCAGCCCCTGACCCTCTGTCCCACTCTTTCCAGTCTGTGTCCCACCAATAGGGTTTGGGGAGGTAGCTTCGAGTGATTCCCTCTTGCCCAGCCTCCACCTCTCCCTCCTCCTGGGTGAATGTGTGGCTTCCTTAGGCCATCTGTTAGCTGCTCCCATGGCCCCCTCCATCCTTGCCCACTCGAAGTACTCGTCACGGTGCTGGGCTTATTGGTGTAGTGACTGCCCTCCATGCCAGATTCCATGGGGGTGGGCCCGTGTCACTCTTGCATGGATGAATGAATGAATGGATGAATGATGCTGCTTATCTACAGTTAAAGCAGGTTGGATGTTATATCGTGTCTCCGGGAAGAAAGTGACTGGGTGGGCAGGAGGTGACAGTTCAAGGTGACTCCCTATGCCCAGTGGTTTTGGAGATGTCCCTGGGTGGGTCCCATCTGGAGGAGGCAGGTGGCAGCTGCTGACATGCTTCTGCCCTCCAGGGAGGTGGTGACTGCCCGGAGATGAGTGTGGGGGCCATTAAGGCTGCCGTGGAGGTTGCCAACCCCGGATCCTTCATCTACGTCTTTTCGGATGCCCGCGCCAAAGACTATCACAAGAAGGAAGAGCTGCTGCGGCTCCTGCAGCTCAAGCAATCACAGGTGGGTGAGCCGGCTGTGGGGGCCCAAAGTGGGGTCCCCCGGGGGTCCCGAGGAAGCTGGGGTCTCTCTCACCACCTGAGCCACCTCCTGGAGAGCAGAGCTGGGCACTTCTCTTCCACAGCCTTGGGTCCAGCCTCTGCCATGCATGGCCAGAGCCTCCGAACCAAGTTGGCCCAGGAAGTGTGAGTGTGCTCTCATGCTGTAGGCCCAGGCCAGGGCTCACACTTCCCTGGCGCAGCTTGTTCCTGTTGGAGACCATACCACCTACTCCTTTCACCCCCATCAAAGTCCAGGCAACCCGTCTTCCTCCTGGCATCGCCTCTGCTCCTGTTCTCTGCCGTTCCTGTCCCCTTTGCCATTGTCTCAGGGTTTGGAAGACCTGTCGGATCCCTTGCTTCTGGCTTTTGCAGTGAGGGCTGGGAGAGGGGACCTGATCAAGGGAGGGAGAAGAGCCTGCTCTTTGGCATCCTTGGGCAAGATCCACAGGGCCGGGACTGCTTCTCTGCCGCCACGTCTAGAACTTGCTTGGGTTCTTCAAGGTTCTTCTAAGTCTGCAGCCTCCAGGGGCCACTCTGAGATGAGTCGACTTCCACGCTCGTCTTTATTGTTGATTTAATAGCAGTTCCCAATATGGAGCACCTACTGTTTTCCTGGCCCTGTGCTGAGCATTTGTCCTGCATCAGCTCCTGATCCCCATGAGATGGGCACTTCTATTTTCCCTTCTATTCATGTGTCATATGTCATTCTATACATGTGACAGACAGAGGAGAGGGCCCACTCCAGGTCACTCCACCCTGGTCGAGGTCCTGCTGCTCACCCCTGAAGCAGCCGGCCAGGGAAGTCGAGAGCAGGCTGCACGTCCATCTTCCAGGTGGTCTTTGTGCTGACGGGGGACTGTGGCGACCGCACCCATCCTGGCTACCTGGCTTATGAGGAGATCGCTGCCACCAGCTCTGGGCAGGTGTTCCACCTGGACAAGCAGCAAGTGACAGAGGTGAGCACTGGGAGGGGGCACCATCCCGGAGCCCATCACTCGGGCACGGTGAGGACACTGACCATCCCTGTGGCTCCAGGTGGTTGAATGACAATCAATCATCCAGAGATGCAGGGACATCTATATAGCTGAGCAGCACTGGGTGCACACCTGTGGCAGGCACAGGACGCGCTGTGCTCAGGTGCCACCACATCATCTTATCTCGCCAAACCCTTCCACCTGTCCCAAAGGCAGGTGCTTCCGTGTTTCCAGGCAAAATTGTGCAGGTAAAGAGGCTGAGGCTTGACGCAGCCCCTTGGGATGGCCTGGGTTCAGCAGTTGGTCCAGGCTGACAAGGTGGCCCCAGAGACTGTGGCAGAAATGTGGGTATGGGGCATCTTCTGAGTGTCTCCCCAGAGTCAGGGAACCTGCGGTGGGTGGAGGAACACAGGAGCTCTCAGGTCCAGGCAGTGGTGCTGGGCACTGGGCAGGGAGGGGCTGGCTTGCTGTGTGGCCTACAGTGCCGGGATCTGCGTTCACTCAGAGCCCAGTGCTCCGCAGGCACCTGCCACTCAGCCTTGCTCCTGGACAGGGCTCTGTCCTTCCTCCTCTCGGGGCTCCATGGTATCATCCTGTTCAGGGCTGTCCCTGCTTTCCCTCCACCCCACACTCCCGTCCGCTCCCAGGAGCACAGGATCCTTTCAGGGGCCAGCTGGGAAATGATGAACAACGCTCTCTCTGGAAAGGACAAGCACACCCATTTCCGTGGTATAAATGCTCCCACCTCGGCTGATTCCAAGTCAGAGTTGGGAAGTGACGCTGACACTCAGCTTTCCGGAGCCTACACAAGTGGCTCCCACACACCACTGGATCCCGCACAGGCACCTCTCACCGCCAGGTCCCTCCCGCTTGTCCCCTGGAGAATGTCCAGCCCCTTATCTGACCCCTCTGCCTTTCTGGTCCCCCTGGTATCCCCTTGCCCAAACTTGCTACCCTGCTGGCTTCTCTGCTATCTCTCCAATGTCCTACGCTCCTCCCCGCCCGGGGCCTTTGCTGGTGCGGCCCATTCTTCGAGCTCCTCCTCTCCTGGCTCCTTCTCACCTTCCTAGTCTTGGCTTAAGCGCACCTCCTCATGGAGACCCTCCTTGATTTCCTTTCAATATTAAGTCTCCTATTGCTTGAACCTGGGAGGCGGAGGTTGTGGTGAGCCAAGATCGTGCCATTGCACTCCAGCCTGGGCAACAAGAGTGAAACTCTGTCTTAAAAAAAAAAAAAAAAAAAAAAAAAAAGATTAGGTCTCCTTGTGTGCCCCTCCCAGCTCCCTGTGCTACTTTGCATAATCATAACTTTATAACTGTGCGATTATTAAATGTCACTAGGCCGTGAAGTTTCCAGGGACTGGGCTGTGAGTCCCGATGGCCACAGCCTTCCCAGCACTTTACATTTCCCAGCTCAGAGCAGGTGCTGGGTAAATAGCTGGTGAATGGACAGGGTCCCTTGTGCTCAAGTCCCTGGTAAGAGGAAGGAGAGAGAGGCAGGGTGTCTGAGGCTGGCCATGGCCTTGAGCCAGTCCTGCTTTGTTGCCTCTGGGAGAGGGTTTTGTGTGTGTATATTTACGAGCTGCAGAGAGCTATCTCCAGGAGTGTGTTTAGATTAGCGTGCCTTAACTCCCTGTTGACAGATGGCGTTTATGGTTCTCTGCGACACTTTAGGCTTCATTTTTTGGCATGTCAGCCTACCCTCGCACCGAGTCACCCAAGCAAGGGTGGGAGGCATTTTACAGTGGAAGGATGGGTTGGTTCTTGCTCCTGGGGAGAACTATCTGGCCAATTGCATGGGAACTTGGTTCCTGCCAGGGGCAAATCAGACACAGGGCAGCTGGGCAGGTTGATGGGGGCCACTCGCCCAGGTGTGAGGCTGGGCTGTCCTAAGCCTCTTCCTTGAGGCTGGGAACCTGGGCAAATCCACTACTCCCAGCTGTGGTGCCAGCTTTCTGCTGTGACAGTCTGGCCGGGCAGCATGTGTCTGACTCAGTAGGACCACCAGTGGCCAGAATTGGCTACCTCTAAGTAGGGGCCTGGAACCCTCTCCTTCCTGGGCATGGAGCTCTGTTGTTCTTTAGCTTAATGCCTTGGACATAGCCTCTTCCAGATGTTCCCAGACATTCGGCAAGCCTGGGAAGGTGGCTGGACAGCCAGGGCTGCGGTCACCCTCCCAGGAGAGATGAACGGTGCCTTCACCCTAGCCAAGGGGCCTCCAGCTGGGAGAACTCCCCAGAAGTTGCAAAAGGCTCCAAACTATGCGTGTGTCATTAATCCTTTTACCTCTTCAGAGTGCATCCAGTGCAGCCCAAGAGGCGTCATGCATTCTCTTCCCCTTGTTTGCTGAGCTCCTGCCCCGGGCCAGGTGCAGCTCTGAGTGCTGGTGCAGAGTTGGCCATCAGTCACAGCTAGGGCTTACTGCTTTGGAGCATTTCACTTTTTTTCAATTGTGAAGTTGGCCTCACTAGTACCTGGATCACCCCTTGGGGTTGCAGGGTAATTAAAGGAAGGTGAGGATCTCTCCCTGGTAGGGGAAATTTGGAGCTTTTATAATCCTTAAACAGACAGGGGATCATGTCAGAGGCAGGCAACGTGGCCCCTTGAACCTGCCCCAAAGGTGTGCATTTTTGATTAAGACTTAGACAAGTCCAAGCACCTGCTGTGCCAGAGCAGCCTCCCCCAAGTTCCCTGGCAGACACAGCTCAACGCACTGTCACTAGCCCCGACAGTGGTGGGGGTGGGGCCAGCAGAGCTGGGCAAACTTGCCTGTCCTGCAGCTCCCCCGTGCCTGGGAAAGCCCCTCTGTCTTTTTTTCCTGGGAGAGCACTGGGCATCTTGCTCTCCTCTGCATCCCCCACCCCACAACTCACACGTTCCAGCACGGCTGGTTCTGGGGGCTGGGAGCCTTCCCATGTTCAGCACCAGCAGGCACAAAGGGTGAATTGCCTGTGTTCTGTGCATCTGCTAGGAGAAAGGTGTCCTTCTAAGACAGTAAGGGCGGGCGGAAGATGGGGGGGTGAGGGGGAGCTGCTGGGGGAGCGTCTGACCAGGTGGCTCTGATTAAATTCATCAGCAGGGGCCCAGAGATGACCTCATCCTGGACCCCTCCCAGGGGGAGGTGGTTAGGGTTTGGACTCCGGGGCAAGAGGCCTGGCTTCAGACCTCGCAGCCCTGCCACTTACCTGCAGGGTGACTGCCAGCACAGTCCTCAACCTCTCTGGGCCACACTTTCTTCTTGTGTGCAGTTGGGTTAACGAGAGCCCCTACCTGGTGAGATGGTAGCCAGGGAGAGAGGAAGCCCTTGGTAAGAGTTCACGATGGCTAAATGCCATCCCACCCCCCCGTGCTTCAATGTGGAGCCCAGGATATGTCCCTCAGTTCCATCAATGCCCCCTGAAGACTAGGAACTCTCTCTGAAAAAGATTCTCTGCTAGGGCGAGTGCCCAGGGTGCCCAGCTGGCAAGGGGCAAAACCCCCTGACTAGGGTTCTCTCTCTGTCACTTCACGGTAAGCCTCCTGGCACAGGGCCCAGGACCCACAGCCCCATCCTCTGTGTTCTCATCTGTGCCTCGGGGGCCCATTCGCCCCCTGGCTTTCCTTCCCTGCTTCCTCAGCCGCCCTGGCTGTCAAATGTTCTGGGAGGATCCTCGGGGATGATTTATCTGCTGCGAAGGGTCGAGCAGCAGCCATCTGGCTGGGGGAGCACTGCCAGATTTTTCGTTCCTTCCCCATGGGTGACAGAGATGAGCCCCAGTGCATCGCAGGCTCGCTGGTCCCCCAGCCCCTCTAACATCTGGAAGCCATTGCCTTCACCAGATGAACATTGAGCTGGCTTAATGAAGGCTCTCTGCGCTGGAGCCCTGGCACCACAGGTCTAGAAGGCAATGTCCCCAGGCCTGGCCCTACAGGGGGGTCTGGCCCTGCTGTGGGCAAGAGGGTCAGCCCCCCAACTCCCAAGTGGGGATATGCTTACAGGGCAGGCCATCCTGTGGGTCACTGGCTTTCTGCCTCGTGTCCCAGCCCTCTCTGTGGTTCAGTAGTCTGAATTGCCGAGCATCTTCCCTCCATCAGAACATCCTAGAACAAGCTTGTAACAGCAGTTACGACACAGTAGCGGGTGTCACTCCTCTGGGTAATTGTCGACTGGTGCTTTGCTCAGTGATGCTTCCCTCCTGACCCCTGACAAGGCCTGGCCCGGGGGAAGGGGACGGTGGTAACGGACCTGCTTCTTTGCTGTTGGAGGAGTTGCCTCACATGTTCGGCGGGCTTCTGTGGGCCTCTCCAGCTGGGAGTCCTCAGCCACTGCTCCCTTCTGTCCACCCCCACATGGACGAAGAACCTTGTCCTCATTCCTTGGCTAAGACAGGTGGGACCTTTTCAAGAGACACATTACTTAGAAAGCTAGGCAAGACACAACAATGAAGTAGCTCCAATTATAAAAACAGATGCATTTTCAGAATACAGAATTCTTGTCACGTGATAGTTGAAATCTAGCCATAAACTTCTAGGCACATATCTTCTAGCTCAGTCTGAAAAAAAAAAAAAAAAAACAAAAACCCAAAAACCTCATTTTCCAATTCTTTGGATTCCTTTCCCTTTTTGTAGAAGATCACATGGTAAGCAGAGCTGAAGGACTATGATTTAGAGCAAGAATGACCAATAAGTAGCATGCAAGACACCACTTTTAAAACCCATATTCATGGCAGACATTGCTAATCAATCACAGACCTTTTTCTACTTGGGGCTGAATGTGGCTTTGCCTTTCTTCTTCAGCTTTCCAGGAAGCGTTTCCCTTAGCTTGGAGTTGGCAAGCAACAGTATACCACTGTGATTGTTCAGGTGTACATTAAAGTCACAGCATACTTGCATACTTGATTTTTGTTTGTTTGTTTGTTTGTGATGGAGTTTTGCTCTTGTCACCCAAGCTGGAATGCAGTGGCATGATCTCAGCTCACTGCAAACTCTGCCTCCTGGGTTCAAGCAATTCCCCTGCCTCAGCCTCCTGAGTAGCTGGGATTACGGGCGCCTGCCACCACACCCGGCTAATTTTTGTATTTTTAGTAGAGATGGAGTTTCACTGTGTTGGCCAGGCTAGTCTCAAACTTCTGACCTAAGGTGATCCGCCTGCCTCGGCCTCCCAAAGTGCTGGGATTATAGGCATGAGCCACAGTGCCCGGTCGCATACTTGTTATTTTTAAATGACTTTACTTTAATAAAAAATTACTATGAAGAATTTCCAAGATGCAGAAAAGTAAAAAGAACACACCTACCAACTAGATTCAACAATTGTTAACATTTCTGCTCGACTTGCTTTATCTATCTCTTTATACTTTTTGCTGAATCATGACACCTTATCTATAAATAATTCAGCATGGATTTCTGAAAAAACATAGTCTTCAACATAACCCACAATATCGTCTAATAAAATTAATGAGTTTCCTAGTATCATTCTATACATAGCCCATGTTCAGATTTCCCTGTCTTCAAACTGTCTTTGATCACAGTTTTCGTCAAATCAGGATTTCATCAAGGGCTGTGCATTTCCTTTGGTTGTTATGTCTATTAAGTCCTCTTTGGTCTGAAGCCATCAGCTCTTTTTTTATGACACTAAGCTGTTCAAGAGGCATGGATTTGTACCCTGTCCCATGTTCTGGATTCTTCTGATTATTTCCTTGTGGTGGCATTCACTTTTTTTTTTTTTTTAATCCCCTATGTTTCCCTCAAACTGGATAAGTCCAAAGGTCTGATTTGATGAAGGCTGAACTTTTTGGCAGGAATATTTCCTAGTTGGTGCTGAGTGTGTCTTCTGTTGTATCACACCGGGAGGCAAATAGTGTCTGAGCATCCTACTATTACTGATGATAAGTTTGATGACTGGGTGAGGGTGGCGACAGCCAGCTCTCTGTATGGTTGGGCTGCGTTTTTGCCTTTATGACTCAAGTGGGTAATGTTCTCGCTCTGTGCGGACATCTAGTTCCCATCAACTTTTCATCTAACAGTTTTAGCATCCACTGAGGACTCTTGCCTGAAATGATATTTCATTAGGGGTTGCAAAATGATGATTTCCTAACTGCATCATTCCTCCCACATTTATGAGTGGGCATTCTTCCAAGAAGAAGAACTTTTATGCATCAAAAGTGACGGATAATTTGGTTTCTCTGAAGTACAATTTCTGTCGAAAAGGCACGGAATCACACTTAGTTCTTTCTCTTCGATTAAGGAGTCACTTCAGTTGTGGCAAGGGAGGCTTTACTGTTTTGAATTTTGCTTTCTCTTTTTTGAGTATCATTATGTGCACATGGATTATATTATTCAATGTGTTTCAATTGAGCACAGTTATTATTCTCTTTTGGGCTCAAGTTGTCCCAAATTTAGTCAGTGGGAGCTCCTTCAAGCTGGTTCCTATGTCCTTTTGATATGTCCCTATTTGTCTTTGAGAACTTCTTTGTTTTATGGAATAACCCATCATCCCAGGCTCACCTTATAAATTGCCTGCCCCAGACCTGGAATTAGCCACTTCTCCAAGGAACCCTCGTGGGGAATGGTATTTAGAAACCAAGATCTAGGTACTGGTGGTGATCATTGTTATTGAAACTTTGGGCCATCATTGCTTCTGGATCAATTGCTCTATCTATCTATCTATCTATCTATCTATCTATCTATCTATCTACCTACCTACCTGCCTATATACCTACCTATCAATTTATCATCTATCTCTATCTGGAGAACTTATACTGATATTTCCAATTCAAATTTCACATTGTAGATCTTTTACTTAGCTCATTTGATTTGATACTTGCAGCTGTCTCTTACATTTGTTTATAAGAAAAAAATCTTGATTCTGAAAATATTGACATCTTTACTTATTTGCTTTATCCAACAAGATATATAAAATGGGTTCAAAATCACAGTGCTGATAGTTCTTCCAAATAAAATCTACTCACTAAAGTTTTTTTTTTTTTTTTTTTTTGCGGTTCTTGTTGTCCTCCTACTGAGAAAGGATAGTTGAACCGCCGGGTTTGGAATTCACTTGGAGATGTTCTTTTCTCTCTGTGGTTGTGGTACCGATTTTATGGTTGAGCTCACTGTCTTTCAGTTTTAGGGTTTGCACAGGATGGACGCTCTTTGAGATAACTTGGCCTGGAAAGAGAAGGTCCAGACTTGAAGGGGCTCCCTTCCTCTCCCTCTGTCTTGGTTTCCTTGCTGGAATCTAGGTGACTTGGCTATTGCAAAGGAGGAGGTGTGAGCTGGGGAGAGGAGGGGTATGGAGTGAGGTGCCTGAGAGGTGGACTTGAGGTCAGCCTGATAGCTCTGCCCAGGAGATGCATGTCCTACTGAACTCACACAGCCAGCAGGTGCCTCCTGAGCACTCACTCTGTGCCTGGCAGTGAGCTCAGGGCTGAGACACACATGGGCACAGCAGAGGTTCTCTGCCCCCACAGAGATCCCAGGCCAGTAAGGATGAGAAGCCCGAATCCAATAAATGTGAATGACTGGAGTGCAGATTGCTGCAAAATAGTATGTATCAGGGAACAGAGCCTTTTCAGGATTAGAGAGGGCTCTTCAAGCAGCGAGCTGAAGTATAGCAAGGAGATGGTCGATGAGGAGGCAGGGCATTCCTGCAAAGAACACGGCATGTATGGGTGGGGGCTGCCTGCGGGAGGGGTGGGGTCCAGTGTAGCAGGCAGGGGGAGGCAGTGGCACAGTGACCTTGGGTTGGCATAGGTGCCTAGGACCATAGAACCTAGGGTCTTGAAGGCCATGGTCAGGATTTGGAGAAACTAAATAAGTTTGTGCTCAGTTTGTGGTAGGGGGAGTATCTCTGAGGGAGTTTGGGAACCTCCCGAAGTCATACCCTAAATGTGTACCTAAGGGATAGGATGATATCCCAGGCAAAGGGTCCTTACCTTTTATCTGATTCTCAGTGGCACTTGTCCAAAAGATGTAAGACTTTAGAATGAATAATCAATTATAGAAACCAAGGATTTAGGTCTTCTCAATATTGCAAAAATCCATCCAGCAATTCCTTACTTCTGTGGACTGGAAAGAGACCTGAAGTCTTTGCAGCAGTGCCTCTCAGTCCTGCTTAGGGAACGTGGCGCCCTGGTGGGAGCACAGTTGGAGGCCCCTGGGATAATCAGTCATGAACTACATGGGTCTGGGGGAGTTTCCAGATCTCCAGGGTTCATTGTGTGTAAGAGGCACCAAGAGGGCTTCCTGGAGGAAGTGTGGGTGCTGTGGAAGGAGGCCAGGTGGAGAAGTGTGGAAGAGTCTTCCCAGTAGAGGGACACACCCTTGCTCCTTCCCTCTGTGCTGAGTCCTCCGAATGCCTCAATTCAGGCTTCACAGCTTGGAGCCTATGGAAGCCAGGAGGGTCACAATGTGTGAATTGGGCCTGGTGTTGGACATGGAGGAGTGGGGTGGCCTTGGGCGACCTGGAAAGTTTGTATGCTGCCTAAAATCCATGGGAGGGGGAAGACATTGTGGGCACCTGCCGGCATCAGCTCCTCATACTTGCCTCCAGGTGCTGAAGTGGGTGGAGTCAGCGATCCAGGCCTCCAAGGTGCACCTGCTGTCCACAGACCACGAGGAGGAGGGGGAGCACACATGGAGACTCCCCTTTGACCCCAGCCTGAAGGAGGTCACCATCTCATTGAGTGGGCCAGGGCCTGAGATTGAAGTCCAAGATCCGCTGGGTATGGACCACCCCGGGGCTGGCCTCCTCTTTGGCCCCAAGACTGAGGTGGAAGCCCAGGATGGGACAAAGAAAGAGACCAAGGGTGACAGGGCTTCAGACATGAGGCTCCAGGAATAGGGAAATATGGGGTGGGGGGGACACGAAGTGGAGAGAGGGCGCCCATGGTGTGCGAGGAAGCAGGAGGGCCATAGCAACCGGCGATGGGAATTAAAGTAATGGCGGTCCCTGCATCGTGAGACTCTCCCCAAGTCTTTTCCGTGGTACCCCAGTGGATTCTCATGGTGGTGAGAACTTGTAGCATATTGTACAGATGGGAAGCTGGGGTTCCAGGTGCTGAGTGCTCATCAAGGTCAACAGAGTCAGGGGAAGTGTGATTCAGACATGGTCACCTGACCCCATGGTGTTCTGAGGATGTCATGAGCACCCAGGTCTAGAGGCCGGGCACACAGTCTGCCCCTGGGGATCCCTGAGGGTGGAGCGTGGAGTGAGGCAGTGGCCGAGGACCACCAAGACCCCTTGTCACTTCCGGGAAGACTGAGGCTAGTGTTTGGTGTACTGTGGATTCCTGGAGACATGCGGGGCTCCTGCCACCCCCAGCAAAGGGTTAGGGACTGAGCAGCCCTTGGGGCTTCCACAGGGAGGATCCTGCAGGAGGACGAGGGCCTCAACGTGCTTCTCAACATCCCTGACTCGGCCAAGGTCGTAGCCTTTAAGCCTGAGCATCCGGGGCTGTGGTCCATCAAGGTAGGGGCACTGGGTTGCAGGAGAAAGGTCGACTAGCTTTACTGGGCTGGAACCATCTTCCTCCTACTTGCCCTGGGGAGCCTGTGGCCTCGGGAAGCTGATGGCTAGAGTGTGGGTGGTGATGTGGTCGTATCAATAGAAGTAACGGGTCAAGGACAGAGAAAGGGCATTTTGCCTTGTACCAGTAGGAAGAAATAGAGTGGTTTGGGGTTACTTTGGGAACATTTAAGAAGGACTTGGAGAAATGACTTCAGGGTTCAGAGGTGCATAACCAAGCTGTGAAGAATGTGTAAAAGAAGCAACAGCAACTTTGGTGGGAGGGCTCAGTGGGGCAGGGCTGGCAGGAAGAGGAGGGCCCTGCTATAATCTACAGGGTGCTGGGAGCCAGGGACTGTGGGCCAGTTTGGCTCCCAACAGAGCATCCTGGGATGGGCAGGCTGCTGCCCTGGAAGAGTGGGGGCTCCTGCTGACCAGGCAAACATTTATTGAGCACCTTCTGCAGGCACTGTGCTAGGTGTTGCAGGTAAAGTGGCAGTACCACCTCCTGCCTTTCAAACTCTGAGCACCTCTGAGCCAAGAGCTGTAATGCCAATGGGGAGGGCAAGGCAGGGAGTTAGACATTCACGGGAACAGACAGGGCCTGCCGGGGCTGAGGCGAGCTGAGGGGCAACACAGCCTCAAGAGGGCTGCTCAGGTTTGGGTTGTAAGCTGGGGCTTCAGCTCCTTCATTTGGGGAGCATCGTGCTGGGCCCCTTGGGAGGAGGTAAGTTGCCCATGTGTCTACAAAAGCAGGAGGATTCCAGCTGCTGATGCAGGGCTGGGTCAGGTTGGTCACCTCCTGCCCTAAGCTGGAGTGCTGGGGTCCCATCCTCTGGTGATGTGAGACCTGGGCCTGCGCTAGGTCTATAGCAGTGGCCGCCATTCAGTGAGGATCACAGGCGTCAGCAACATTGACTTCCGAGCCGGCTTCTCCACTCAGCCCTTGCTGGACCTCAACCACACCCTCGAGTGGCCCTTGCAAGGTACAGTACCCCGACCCTACAGACAGTGCTGAGCTGCCTCTGAAGACCTGGGGCTTGGCTTTGGGAAGTAGGGGGGAGGTGTGGGGGGAATGCTTGGCTGTGTGTGACTGTGAAAGGGACCCTGCAGGAGGCCAAGTGGGACTGTGCTCCCAGACCACAGTGATGTAAACTGAGCTTCCAGGCCAGCATTCTTTCCACTAGCCCCAGCCCAAGTGACATTGTGACATTTACCTTTAGAACATCCTCCGTGCCTCCACAGTCAGTGTCCTGGAGGACACTTACACTGTGCCCTTTATTATTGAGTTCACACCTTCTTCTTTCTTTTTGTCAAAACATATCTGCCTAGAGTCCTACTTCTTCAGTTTTCCAGTGAACAGCAGGCTAGTTCAATGAAAGAACACATGCCAGTGAGTTGATGGCTTACCAAAAAGGAGAGCAGTGCCTTACTCCAAAGGAAGGAATGTCCTGGGGGACATTTGGGTGTCCCAAGACTGAGGAAGGTTGGAGGAGCCTGGGGGGGATATTGAGGGTGGAGGCACAGGCATCCAATTCGAAGCCACCCACCAGGGTCCGAGGATGCCTGCATGCCCGCTATGGTTCTGCTGGGAGAAGCCTGGGCACCGAGGCAGGTTTCTGGTGCGGGCTGCCTGAGCTCCACGCCAGAAAATACCATCTGGTGGCCAGATCAAAGGTCTCAATTTATAGTTGGGAAAATATAGTCCCTGCCATGGGGCCATTTGGAGACTTTTGCAGGGACCAGCTCAGCTCAGCTCCTCCTGGGAGGAGCCTGGATCAGGTCAGGCTGACTCTGGACCCTGAACAGTGACCAAAAATGGTGCAAGCCAGACCTTTAGTGCTTTCTTTCGAGTCTGTCTGCTCTAATGTTTGTTATTCTTGTCAGCCCTTGCCGGTTTTCCTGCCAGGACCAGGAGTCACATCTTGAAAGTGAAAAGGGGCTGCTTGCTCAGTTTGTTTGTTTTGCCGATAGCAGAAAGGGAAGAAGCAGGGAAACTTTGATTCTACTGTTAAGCCAGGAGAGCTAAGATATCCTATGTGTAGTGATGGCGCGGGGACTGAAAACTGGCCTGTCCCCAGTGGAAGTGGGTGCAGGAGGCCACATGCGACCCTGTTGGGTTTCTGCTCTTGATAAAGATGTATATCCAAGATAATTTTTTTTTGAGATGGAGTCTCACTCTGTCACCCAAGCTGGAGTGCAGTGGTGCGATCTCTGCTCACTCTAACCTCTGCCTCCTGGATTCAAGCAATTCTCTTGCTTCAGCCTCCCGAGCAGCTGGGATTATAGGTGCGCGCTACACACCTGGCTAATTTTTGTATTTTTAGTAGAGACAGGGTTTTGCCATGTTGGCCAGTTTGGTCTTGAACTCCTGACCTCAGGTGATCTGCCTGCCTCAGCCTCCCAAAGTGCTGGGATTACAGTCATGAGCCACCATGCCAGGCCAAGATAATTTTTTTTAAAGAGAAACATTTGGGAGGCCAAGGTAGGAGGATTGCTTGAGGCCAGGAGTTCAAGACCAGCCTGGACAACACAGCAAGACCCCATCTCTACAAAATTTAAAAAATTAGCCAGGTATAGTGGTGCATACCTGTAGTCTCAGCTACTCGGGAGGCTGAGGTGGGAGTATTGCTTGAGCCCAAGAGTTTGAGGCTGCAGTGAGCTGTGATTGCACTACTGCACTCCAGCCTGGATGACAGAAAATTTAAAAAGACATTATGAAATTGGAGTCCAGTTCTACCTCTTCTGGGATAGTGTGAAAAGTACCACATTTCCATCAAGACAGTAAAGAAAACCAAAGAAAACCTGAACACGGGGAGAGTCTGGTCAGAAGTTGGAGTCCCCAAACTTGGTGTTTGCTTTATCTGAGGCCATTCCCTGAAGCCTGTCTGATTATGGCCCACACCAGAGTTAATGGGGTGGGGGACAGTTCTACTCCATGGGACTCCAACTCAGTGCAGTCAGAGGGGATGCAGCCATTGGGAAGCCGTGGTTGGACGACTGTGGTGTTTCAGCACCACGGACAGTAGCAAGGTCCCTATCTACCTATCCCACCCCCAGCGTTGGTCAGCACCAGGGTAGGTAGGGAAGGAGGGACCAGGTAGGAAGGGCCAGGCAAGCAGGACCCCTGGGGTGTGGTTCGAGGGCCCCTACTTGAGGGGGATCACAGAGGCAGACACTGACGCCAGCACTTTGTTCTTCACCTTCCCTCTGCAGGAGTCCCCATCTCCCTGGTGATCAATTCCACGGGCCTGAAGGCACCCGGCCGCCTAGACTCGGTGGAGCTGGCACAAAGCTCAGGGAAGCCCCTCCTGACTCTGCCCACGAAGCCCCTCTCCAATGGCTCCACCCATCAGCTGTGGGGCGGGCCGCCCTTCCACACCCCCAAGGAGCGCTTCTACCTCAAGGTGAAGGGCAAGGACCATGAGGGAAACCCCCTCCTTCGTGTCTCTGGAGTGTCCTACAGTGGGGTGGCCCCAGGTGAGTGGTTGGCTCTTTTGTCTCCCAGGCCCCTGGCTCATTCAGAGTCCCATTTCATCCTGGAGCCTTCCCTGACTGGATTAGATTAAATTAGATTAGAAAGTGTTTGTTCATTAAGCTTCTATGGACAGCTATTCCCTATAAGGCATTATGTTAAATACTAAGATGCTCAGATGTGGCTCTCAGCTCAAGGATTTAGAACAAAGTCATCAAGTCAACTATCCATTCATCCATCTACCCATTCATCCATCCATCCACCCATTCATTCATGCACTGACCCATTCACTCACCCACCCATCCACCCACCCATTCATCCACTCATGCACCCACCCATCCACTCACCCATCCATCTACCCACTCATTCATCCACTCATCCACCCACCCATTCATGCATCCATTGACTCACCTATTCATCCATCCACCCACCCATTCACTCACCCATCCACCCACCCATCCACCCACCCATTCACTCACCTATCCATCTACCCACCCATTCATCCACTCATCCACCCATCCATTCATGCATGCATTGACTCACCTATTCATCCATCCACCCACCCATTCACTCACCCATCCACCCACCCATTCACTCACCCATCCATCTACCCACCCATTCATGCACTCATCCACCCACCCAATCATGCATCCATTGACTCACCTATTCATCCATCCACCCACCCGCTCACTCACCCACCCATCTACCCATTCATGCATCCATCCACTTACCCATTCATGCATCCATCCACTCACCCATTCATGCATCCACCCACCTACCCATCTATCCACTCACCCATCCACTCACCCATTTGCTTACCCATCCATCTACCCATTCATGCATCCATCCACTCACCCATTCATGCATCCACCCACCCATCCATCTATCCATTCATTCATCCACTCACCCATCCATCTACCCACCCATTCACTATTAATTCACCTATCTATCCATCTATTTATCCATCTATCCACCCATTCGTCCACCCACCTGTCCACCCACACATCCATCTACTCAGCATTCATTTTGAGTATCTACTATGTACCAGTCATGGTGCTAGGCACTGTAGACACAGCAGTGGGCAGGGCAGACATGGACTTTTGCTCTTCCATAATCACAATCACTGTCATAATCACAATCATCCGAGTCACCATTTGGACACTTTCCATGGGGCAGTCCTGGGCCAAGCTCCTGCCATGTGCTAGCTCACTGATGCTTACAGCTTTTCAGAGATGTGTCCCCACTTCATAGATAAGGAAACTGAGCCCACCCAGCTCACAGGGCTGCCGTGGGGGTGCCCAAGCTAATGCACACAACAAGACAGCATTTGGGTCCTCAGAGGCTGCACTCAGAATGTATCCATTTGTGGGCAAGGGCCCTCCAGTGTGGCAGCTGCTGTTACCGTTACATCATTGCAGGAACAGGTCACTTTGTCCTCCAATCTTTGGCCATGGTCTGTTGGTTCCCGTATGTGTGGCTTTTTGCTGGTTTCCTGTGTGTCCCTGAGGTCTCACCGTTCAGGCTGGAAGCTCCCAGGGAGAAGGGTGGATCTTTGGCCTTTCAGGTCTGCCCCTGGTCCTAACAGGGATGTCTAGGGCCACTGGCCATCTGGCTTCCTTGCTGGCTTCATTGCCTTTCTCCTGCCCACTGTCTCCCTCCCCTGGAGGTGGCCCGAGGGGAGCTTACAAAGGTGGATGTCATTAACATTCTAGTACTTCTTTGTGGGGGATCTCAGTGAGAGGCATCCTCCTCTGTCCACTTCAAATAAGGATGCAGGGAGGGGAAGAAGGGCCAGCTCTTGAGGCTGGCCACGGTGCCCATCGTGCCTACAGTGCCCATGGTTGGTGGAGGACTTTGAGGACCTGGGTGGGGCAAGGCAGGGCTGGGCAGGAGAGCTGGAGACCTCTTCTTTCCAGCCTCCCAGCTTCCACTCCCCTACTGTGGTTCCGGGGCCTCTCTTCCCTTGGCCTTTGCAGCCTTGAGGAGGAACTTTCAGGAAGGAATTTCAGCAGAGGGAATAACAGCCTCTATTTTCTTTCCCCTGTTCTTTCAGATGGATCCAAGAGTTTGGAGTTTAGCTCTGGCTTTTGTTCTCTATCTCAGCTCTAGATTAAAGTTGGGGAAGGGATTTGGTTTGGATTTTTGCTTCCTTCCCCGCCCTCCAGGTCTGGGAGGCTGGAATTTCGCCTTGTAGCAGGTGGCTCTGGGTTTGGAGAGATGAGGGTGGGCCTGTGGTCCCATTTAGCTCATGGAAATGGGGAGCCCAAACTGGCTTGGCAGAGGCTCCCAGGGTGCGTGGGTGAGTGGCGACTGCTTTGCACACAGCCGAGGACGTGGCTGGATGGTCAGACACCCCTCCCCCCCCGGGACAGATGTGGCAGGGAGCCTGGAGCATGATGTCACCGCCGCCTTCCCATCCCCAGCCTGGGCTCCGAGGAGGTCTAGTGCATTGTCTCATTCCCGGAGCATCTCTGCTGGGCTCCTCTGCTGGCGGGGATGGGGAGACGGTGACACAAAGGTTGAGCCCTTGCCAGGGGGCACCCAGCTCTGATGGGCCATGGCTGACCCAGCGGGGCAGTTTCTCAGACTTCTCCATTGAAGTAATTCCAATAGCCAAGGGAAGAGACTGTGTCACTCCAAGACCAGGCTCGGGCCAGGGAGGGGTCCCATGGGGCTCATTACAAGCTATGAGATTTTACTGAAGTCTCTGGTTTTATCTCAAAAATGTGTGTGAATTTTGCATTTATACCCATCCTCTAGCTGTGCTTTTTTTTTTGAGATGAAGTCTTGCTCTGTAGCCCAGGCTGGAGTGTAGTGGTGTGATCTTGGCTCACTGCAGTCTCCGCCTCCCGGATCCCAGTTCAAGCAATTCTCCTGCCTCAGCCTCCTGAGTAGCTGGGATTACAGGAACGCGACACCACGCCCAGCTAAGTTTTGTATTTTTAGTAGAGACAGGGTTTCACCATGTTGGCCAGGCTGGTCTTGAACTCCTGACCTCATGATCTGCCCACCTCCGCCTCCCAAAGTGCTGGGATTACAGGCGTGAGCCATCGCGCCTGGACTGGTGGGCTCATTTTTAAATGAAAAGGCTTCTTTCTAACAAATTTCGATAAAACTGATGTTCTAGGCGGAGAAGCAATTGCACAAACCCACCCATACCCCTGGGGAGCCTAATCCTAGTTGGTAGCATTTCATCAGATTTCATACAGTTGAGACAGTGTAGTGGAAGGGCCTGGTCCAGGCTGGCCAACCTTGAATTGAATAGTCTAATAAACCACAAAAGCCCCAGGAGCTGTGCCTAGGGGAGCTGGTGATGCCACACACATTGTGCCATGAGTTCCCCATGTACCACTTCTCACCAGCTCCTCCAGCTCCTCAGGACAACAGGACGAGGATGGTACCATGATCACCCCATTTTGCAGAGGTGAAAACTGAGCTTAGAGAGGTGACCAGGGGAGCCAGGGGTTGAATCCTGGCCTCCTGGCTGCTGGTGCATCCCTACAGGTCTCTGTGTCACTGGGTGTGGCAAAGGGGCGGTGGGGAGACATTCTGAGTCCTGGTCCCCGCCTACAGGCGCTCCCCTCGTCAGCATGGCCCCCAGGATCCATGGCTACCTGCACCAGCCCCTGCTGGTCTCCTGCTCGGTGCACAGTGCCCTTCCCTTCCGGCTGCAGCTGCGGCGAGGTGAAGCCAGGCTGGGCGAAGAGAGGCACTTTCAGTGAGTGGCCCACGGCAGCTGATTGTCCCCAGCCACAGGGCTCCTGGCTGCTGAGGCCCTGGAGGGATCTCAGGGGAGTGGGTGGCAGGAGAGAGACCTTGGTCTCTGTCATTATCCTCCTGGGCAGCCCAGCCTGGGACTTCCAGTGCAGCCAGGGATGGAGAGGAGTTTTTCCGAGACTCCCACCACTGCTGGGCCATCAGCTGGTGAAGGAGCCGGGGGCCTTCCTCAGCTCCTGGAAAACTCAACCCATGTGTCAGGGCAGGAAGGATGGGAGCCCAGGACTCAGAGAGAGGAAGGGCCTGACTCCAAGTCACACAGCATGTCATGGAATTTCCATGTGCTTGGCTGTGTATGTCTTCTTACCGCATCTCACAGAGGAATTGGGGTCTCTCGTTTGGGCAGGATTCAGGGGACTGAAGTCGGGGGGGACCCTGAGTGGGGGTCAGTGTGATTGTGTGTCTCCCACTGTTCCCTGTTTGCAGGGAGTCGGGAAACAGCAGCTGGGAGATCCTGCGGGCCTCCAAGGCCGAGGAGGGCACGTACGAGTGCACAGCCGTCAGCAGGGCTGGGACCGGGCGAGCAAAGGCCCAGATTGTTGTCACAGGTCTGTCCCTTGGGGCCCCTCCATGTACCCCTTCCTTACCCTCTTCTTGGGTTCTTACCCCTAGGATTTCCTCCAGGCGAGTCTCCAGCCAGCTGCTGGGACAATTCGTCATGCCGGGTCTGGCTGCCCAGGCTGCCACCTGCCTGCTGCCCCTCATGTGGGGCCGTCTCACCCAGGAACGGCCTGTGGGTCTCCGCTGGAGGAAGGCTGAGGACCTGGCTTGGGTCTTCCTGCCCTGCCCAGCTTTGATCCCAACTCTGACTTCTCGGGGCTCGGCTTTCAGGGGCCGCCATCCATCTCGTGGTCGGGACAACCTTCGTGCCTCCAAGTCCCGGCCAGGATGGCGCCATCGAGCTGGGGAGGTTGGATACACCACAGACTGTCTCCAAATGAAATTGGCTTTATTTGAAAAATTACGAACGCAAGCTGCTTTGTAGAGAAAAAAAGGAACCCGTAAGCGTGGAAAGATCAGCCACTCTACATAGACAGCCAGAAACTACACATGCTCTTTGTAGGAAAGCTGGAAAAATATAAACAACCCAAGAGAAGATCAAAATAACTTGTAATCCCTCCATTCTGCCATTTGATTTACTCCCTTTTAGGTTTTTTTCTATGTTCAGCAGTCTCTGATCTTGCCACTTCTTGTGGCTTTTTGCTATCCAGATAGCAGTTTGCTTAGCGCTTTCCTCCTTGGGGGCATATTTGGCTGCTATAAATAGCCCTGCTGTTGGTACAGAGAATCGTTTTGAACACATTACTCTCTTCCTCTGGCTGGAGACTTCCAAGGCTTTATTCCTCAGCGTGGCATCTTCAGCTCGGAGGCATGAAGATGGGTGTCCGGCTTGTTGCACATTGCACTGGCTGTATTTTGGAGAGCAGGCGTGTACCGTGCAGCCCCTGGCAGGTGTATAATGGTGGTGGGAGAAGTGACCTCCCACAGGGGTGATGCCTGATGGTGAGCAGATGCTGGTCACCCTATGCTGCTAGCTGACATGTCCTGAATGATCTGGTTCGGGTGGGCCTGCACCTCAGGGTGGGGTTCTGGGCAGCACCAGGGCTTGCACGATGACCCCCTCCCTTGCCTCAGCTCCTTGGTTCCTCCTGTGCTCATGTCCCTGCAGACCCCCCGCCGCAGCTGGTCCCTGCTCCCAACGTGACCGTGTCCCCAGGGGAGACTGCCGTCCTATCCTGCCGGGTCCTAGGCGAGGCCCCCTACAACCTGACGTGGGTCCGGGACTGGCGAGTCCTGCCGGCCTCGACGGGCCGAGTTGCCCAGCTGGCTGACCTGTCCCTGGAGATCAGTGGCATCATCCCCACAGACGGCGGGAGGTACCAGTGTGTGGCCAGCAATGCCAATGGGGTCACAAGGGCATCCGTCTGGCTCCTGGTGCGAGGTGAGGCTCATCCTGCTGCTGCTGTTCCCCTAATTCAACACGTGACCTGGTGTTTACCCCAGAAGCCGCGAGTCCTTCCCTCTGCTCAGACATTGTCTCTGGCAGGCAATAGCAGCCTTTTCAGTGTTTTTTGAACTTTCAGGGAGAGAGAATACTGTAGCCTCCTAGCCAAAGTCTAATGGCTCTCACTGCTGGGAAGTTCCTCCTAATATCTAACTTAAATTTCTACTGCTGTACGCCAAGCCAATTTCAATTGTGTCTTGTCCTTTTTCCGTGCCATCGAGCCCCTCCATTGTTCCCCACTCCCCACTGCACCCTGCCCAATAGGTAGGGCAGGGACTGAATACTGGAACCTTGGGGAAGCTCAGAGGTCAGATGTATTTGGCAGAGATCGGGCAGCACTGACTAGATGGGGGTGGAGGAGGCAGTGCCAAGAGCACCCATCTGGGAGTTTTAAGAACCCAGAATCTGGACAGAGCCTCCTCCCCAAGTGTAAAAACAAGCATGTTGAACAAGCATTCTCTCTTGTGCCAGCGGCTCTTGAGTGGCTGCCAGAGTGTGTTGGGCAGGATTCTGAGGCTATGTCTAGGCTCTGCAGGAAGGAGGGAATCCACCAGCTGTGTCTGCCTCCAGTGTGGGAGGGCTGTGGTTGCTGTTTCTGGATGCGCGGGCCTGTGAGCTCTTTTGAGTCTGACCAGCCTGTTGTTCTTAGTTTCCAAATGGCCAGGTTAGAACCTAAGCTTGGGGCCAATAGTAGGGCAGGCCTTGGGGTCAACCTCAAGGTCACTGGAGACAGGAGCCGTCCCCAGCCCTGGTAGCTGCCTGACATCTCCCTAAGGCTCCCTAGAGCGCTCAGCCTGGAGTGGACGTTCTAGGAGCACAGGGCTCCGGGTTGGGATTGTTGGAAAATCAGCCTCCATGTTGCCTGGGGATGTGCTCAGGGGCCGCCTGGTCTACCCAATTCCCAGAGAAGCCACACCCGGGAGATTGAAGCCCTCTGGGGTCTTTGCTTTCTCTGTCTTGCCCATCTGTGACTATGGGAGGGGAAGAGCCCGGGGCGGGGTGCCTGGGATGGCACGGCTGCTCTGATGGGCTCATCCTCGCCTATCCACTTTTTGGGTCACAGAGGCCCCACAGGTCAGCATCCACACCAGCTCCCAGCACTTCTCCCAAGGTGTGGAGGTGAAGGTCAGCTGCTCAGCCTCTGGATACCCCACACCCCACATCTCCTGGAGCCGTGAGAGCCAAGCCCTACAAGAGGACAGCAGGTGAGGGGCCCAGGACACAAATCTCAGGGACTCACAGCAGGTGGACAGGACTCCCAGGGGACCTCTCTGGGCCTTGGCCTTCCTATCTGTAAATGGGGAAGAGAATTTGCCTTCCTTGCTCCTGGGATCATTTGAGACTCCAGAGTGAGATCACTTTGGAAACATAAGAATGCCACAGTGTGGGCTCAGCGCTCAGGAGCTCAGGCTGTATGGACCTGCGCCCAAATCCCGCCCCCACCATTCAGGCTGTGTGGACCTGTGCCTGAGTCCCGTCCCCACCATTCAGGCTGTGCCGACCTACGCCCAAATCCCGCCCCCAAATCCCACCCCCCACCATTCAGGCTGTGTGACCTTGGGCAAGTCATCTTACCTCTCTGAGCCTCGAGAATTAAATTTACATAAAGTGCTTAGCACAGGCCTAGAGCAAGCCATCAGTACAGAATGGTCGTCGCTAGTGGCATTGTTAGTGAATTTGTTATTAATGATGATTGTGGATCAACCCCTTTTGTGACCCGATGTGTTTCTATGGCATGATTCTAGAATCCATGTGGACGCACAGGGAACCCTGATTATTCAGGGGGTAGCCCCAGAGGATGCTGGGAATTACAGCTGCCAGGCGACTAATGAGGTTGGCACTGACCAGGAGACGGTCACCCTCTACTACACAGGTACCCAGGCCACAAGCATCACCTTACAGGAGAAGGGCCTCCTTCCCTCCCTCCTCCCTCCCTCCCATCCATCAGTATTTATGGAGCATTTACCTGTCACGCACCGGGGACACGGCAGTGAACACATGGTCCCTGTCTGGGTGGAGCTTATATTCTAAGGAGAAGGCACACACAGGCCAATGGGATGCTTCCCAATGCTGAAGGTGCTGCAAAGAACTGGGAGCCTCCTGGTGCGAGGGAGGGACGTGTGCTGGGGGCGAGGGAGAAGCGGCTGTCATGCCCAGGACTCGGTCATGACCTCTGTGAGGCAGTGACCCTTGCCTTAGGGTCACTATGGGAACAGGGTCATAGGTGGAGGGACCGGGAGGGGGCATTGAACCTGGGGTGCTCCAGGGGCAGCAAGGAGGCCGGTGTGGTGAGTTGGGATGAGGGAGAGGGCTCCCTGAAGCCGTGGAAGACTTTCTTTATGACCTTTGAAGGTTGGTCCCAAATTCTGCATCTCTTCCCCACACAGACCCACCGTCGGTCTCTGCTGTAAATGCCGTGGTGCTGGTGGCCGTTGGGGAGGAGGCTGTGTTGGTGTGTGAGGCATCTGGGGTTCCCCCGCCCCGAGTCATCTGGTATCGAGGTGTGTTGGTGGGGAGGGGCCCTGAAGGAACAGCTTTCCAGAAAGCAAGGTGTTGAGGGGAGGTGGGGGTGTCCTGAATGTGGAGTCTGGGGAGAGCTGGAAGGTTCTGCTCCCCGCCGCCCTGACCCCCAGCCAGTGTCAGAGCTGGTGGGTTCCAGCTCCCCCACCCTCACCCCCAGCCTGTGTTGACACAGCTCATGTAGGTATTCAGAGCAGCACTGAGCCAGGCCCAGATTTGAATTCCGGCTTCCCTGGGTGACCCTGGGCACGTGACTTGGCATCTCTGAGCCTCAGTTTCCTTATCTGGAAAATCAAAGATAGGTTGGTTGCGTGAAGATTAAATGAGTTCCTATGCACATATGGTTTTATTTTTTATTTTTTTGTTTTATTTATTGTTTGATTTTTTTGAGACAAGAGTCTCACTTTGTCACCCAGGCTGGTGTGCAGTGGTGTAATCTCGGCTCACTGCAGCCTCCACCTCCTGGGTTCAAGGGATTCTCGTGCCTCAGCCTCTGGAGTAGCTGGAATTATAGGCGTGTACCACCAGGCCTGGCTCATTTTTGTATTTTTAGTAGAGATGGGGTTTTACCATGTTGGACAGGCTAGTCTGGAACTCCTGACCTCAGGTGACCCACTCGCCTCGGCTTCCCAAAGTGCTGGGATGACAGGCGTGAGCCACTGTGCCTGGCCATATGTGCAAAGGTTTTAGAACAAGCTTGGCACATGTGCTGTGCTTGGCATTCTTAGTGATAGTGCCGACGATAATGTGATTATCTGAAAATGACAGCAATAATGACAGGGTTGTCCTGAGGCCCTGAGGTCATGGGCAGAGCGTTTTCACGGTGCCTGCTGCCAGGCTGGAGTTTGACGGACGGGTGCTGGGGTCGCACTAGGTCTTTCTGGGAGCAGTACGCTGGGCTCCCTCTCGAGGGTCAACCGGGGTCAGCAATACTGTCCCCTCCCATTCCTTGCAGCAGCTGCCTGGGACCTCATCAGAGCCTCACCCTGACTCTGAGAAAGGCAGGGCAGGTGATATTAGCTCAGAGTTGAGCGTTTTTTTTAGGGTCACCAGCAAGTGGGTGGCACAGGCTTCTGGACTCCTTCCTCACTGCATATTCTGGCCAAGAACCCCGTCAACCCAGCCCTAGAGCCCCACTTTAAAAGGTGGCCTTGCCATGAAATATTCTTCCATCTTCAGAAGGAAGGAGATTCTGACACGTGCTACATGGATGTCCTGCTAGGTGGACGCTATTCTAGGTGAAGTCAGCCAGACACAAAAAGACAAATACTCTCTGATCCCACTTATGTGAGTTACCTAGAGATGTCAAATTCATAGAGACGAAAAGATGGAGTGGTGTTCGCCAGGGACTGGGGAGAGGAGAACACCAGGAGTTAGTGTTGAATAGGTATGGAGTTTCTGTTTGGGGAGATGCAAACAGTTCTGTGGAGGCCAGTGATGGCCACACAACAGTGTGAATGCACTGGATGCCACTGAGCTGGCTGCACACCTAAAAGTGGTTCAGATCGTCAATCTTATGTTATGCATATTTAACTACAATAAATAAAATAAAAATTAAATTAAATTTAAAAGGGCGGTTAGAATCAGGTGTGTCCATCAGGCCTCAGGGGCGGAGAGAAGTCAGGCAAGAAAAATGGCGGGCTGGGGGGCAGGCGTGGTGACTCACGCCTGTAATCCCAACACTTTGGGAGCCCGAGGTGGGCAGATCACCTGAGGTCAGGAGGTCGAGACCAGCCTGGCCAACATGGTGAAACCCTGTCTCCACCAAAAATATAAAAAATTAGCTGAGTGTGGTGGTGTGTGCCTATAATCCCAGATACTTGGTAGGCTGAAGTAGGATAATCGCTTGAACCTGGGAGGTAGAGGTTGCAGTGAGCCAAGATCATGCCACAGCACTCCAGCCTAGGCAACAGAGGAAGACTCTGTCTCAAAAAAAAAAAAAAAAAAAAAAAGGAAAAAAAAGAAAAATGATGGCGGGCTCAGGGCTCCCCAGAGCCCTCCCAGAGCTGACCCAGATCTCAGCCTGGACCTGGGGTGGAGGAGTGGACACCAGCGGGGGGGGTCCAAACATGGAGTTCTTGGATGATGAGCCTTGTCATGCAGAGCCTGGCTTAGCCCCAACCCTGTTCAACAGAGGGAAGGCCCAAGCCCCCTGCAGGACTGGACCCAGGGGTCCTGACCTTGGGGCTTAAACCTGCTTCCACCCACCATCTCCCAGGCCCCAACCTTGTGCAGCCGCAGGAGCCAAGGGTCAGGCTCCCACCTCCCACCCTGGCCTCCATGGTACCAGGGACACCGGCCTGATGCTTCTTCCTCTTTGGTCCAGGGGGTCTTGAAATGATCCTGGCCCCTGAGGGCTCCAGCTCTGGGAAGCTGCGGATCCCGGCGGCTCAGGAGAGGGATGCTGGCACCTACACCTGCCGGGCTGTCAATGAGTTGGGTGACGCCTCTGCAGAAATCCAGCTGGCGGTTGGACGTGAGTGTATACCTTGTCTCCCCCTCCCCTGCCCATTCCCCTTTCCCAGCCCTCTGCCTGCTTCTGAGTAGGGAGGGGAAGCTCTCTCACACAAGTGGCCAGTGTAGATGGCATCATGTGGATCCTGAGCATGTGGGGACAGGGGAAGTCCAGGGGAGGCGGTGCATGCATCAGCTCTTGCTGGGTAACAAATAGCCCCCAAATTGTGTGGCTTAAACAATAAGTATTTATTTCACAGTCTGAGGATCAAGAATCTGAAAGTGGCTTGGCCGGGTGATTCTGGCTCAGGGTCCATCCTGAGATTGAAATCAATATCTTGGCTAGGGCCGCAGTCATCTCAAGGTTTGCCTGGGCCTAGGGGATCCACTCTAGGCTCACTCGTGGGGCTGTTGGCAGGAGGCTCCCAGAGAAAGAGAGAGAGAGACAATCTCAGAGGGAAGCCACAGTCTTGGAAGTAACAAGCCATCGCTTCTGCCCTATTCTTTTGGTCCCACAGAGCAACCCTGGTGCAGTGTGTGTGGGAGGGGCTACCCAGGGATGTGAACACCAGGAGGCGGGGGCTACCCATGGGTGTGAACACCAGGAGGCGGGGGCTACCCATGGGTGTGAACACGAGGAGGTGGGGGCTACCCATGGGTGTGAACACGAGGAGGCGGGGATCTCTGGGACCAGCTTGGAGGCCCACCGCAGACAGTTTGGTTCAGCTCGGGATGAGAATTCCAGTCTCGTCTCTGTCCCCACCTATATGCCTTGGTCATGCCATGGAGCCTCAGTTTCTCTCAGTTTCCCATGTGTAAAGTGAGGCTGACTGTACTACTCCCCTCCTTGGGTTGCTGTGAGGATTCAGTGAAATCAGGCCTGTTAGCACAGGGTTGGGCCCATAGTGATTGCTTAGTAAATGCGGGGAGAGGGGTGATCATTCACTTGCTGCAGATGTGGAGTCCAAATTCCTTGGTGGCCAGTGCATGGCCTCAGCTGTGACTTCCGGGATGTCTCCATCCCATATTGGAGTTCCTGGCACTGGGACTTGCTCGGAAGCTGTGGGCACAGCTCCTTGGCACACAGAGCTGGGACAGATCAGGCTCTGAGTGTTTGCCGAGGCCACGGCGAGAGAGGCAGGTGCTAGAGTTCTAGGGAAGCGCAGAGAATCGAGAATGTGCTGGTCTGGGCTGAATGGGCCAGGCTGGGCCAGGGCTGGCTGGGGCAGCCGAGGAGCTCCCAAGGCGGGCCAGGCTCTGACTGGAGTAGGCATAGATAGGAGGGTCTGGCCTGGGGGGGTTGTGCTGTCTCAGGGTTGAGATCCTCTCAGGCTTGGGGTGCTCTTAGCCTTCGTTCACTTGTTCCGTCTTTCATTCCTTCAACACAGGGTCACCAGGTGCTCGTGTGCCAGGCCCTGTGCTGGGGACACAGGGCAGGTGAGACACAGCATCAACCTTTGTGTTGCTCATGAGCTCAGGCAGAGAGAACAGAGGACAGGGAATGAGCATGCACAGGGCACCGAGTGGCTGGAAGGTGCATCCTCAGGGGCTGTGGGTGCCCAGAGAAGGCTAATCCCAGGAAGACTTCTTGGAGGAGGTGATGTCTAAACTGAAACCAGAAGCACCCAGAAAGATGACGAGCTGGGGAACAGTGTTCCAGACAAAGGGAATAGCACGTGCAGCCCTCCCCGTGACAAGAGAAGTGAGGCAGAGAGAGGGTGGGGAGGGGGCAGCAGGACGGCTGCCACCTGGTACCAGTCACTCCCCGCCTGGGGAGCTGCGGAGGAGTTTGGGCTGTGCCCTGAGGGGGTTGGTGAGAGGTTTTCAGGAGGAGGGTCGTGTGCTCAGACTTTTCCACTGTGGCTGGGTTCTCAGGTAGGCTGGGCTGGGCCATGGGCTCAGGAGCCTGATAAGGACAGCCACGGAAACACGAGCCGGCGCTTCTAGGGTGTTTGCCAGGTGCTGGCACCAGCTCAGAGCACATTTTGTTGCTGGCTCATGTAACCCTCACAACAACCCTTGGAGATGGAACGATCATCATCCCCTTTACAGATAGGGAAAACAAGGCACAGAGAGGTTTCATGTCTTGCCCAAGATCACACAGCTGGCGAGTGGCAGAGGTGGGATCTGAACCAAGGGTCTTGCACCTATAGCCCCTGGCCTTGAGTCTGATGCTCACCAGCAGAGTGGGCCTGGCGCTGCTTACGTCTGCAAGCCTTGGGCTCCTCATTGCCAAAATGAGACGTTGTGTGAGCAAGAGAGAAGGAAGGTCTGTGGCACGTGAGCTGTGATCCAGCTGCTGACACTGGTATTAGAGGTTCTGGGTGAGCAGATAGGGTGCTCCAGGGAGGGTGTACCTTGTGTTGTGATGGGCATTGTCATCCTTTGCTCAGCATCTGACTTATTTGAAGCAGACCCATATTTATTTATTTATTTCCTTTCTTTCTCTCTCTCTCTTTCTTTCTGTCCCTCCCTCCCTCCCTCCCTCCCTCCCTCCCTCCTTTCTTTCTTTCTTTCTTTCTTTCTTTCTTTCTTTCTTTCTTTCTTTCTTTCTTTCTTTCTTTCTTTCTTTCTTTCTCTGTCTCTCTCTTTCTTTCCCTTCCTCCCTCCCTCCCTTCCTTTCTTTCTTTCTTTCCTTCTTTCTTTTATGGAGTCTCGCTCTGTTGCCCAGGCTGGAGTGCCCAGGCGCAATCTCGGCTCACTGCAACCTCTACCTCCTAGGTTCAAGTGATTCTCCCACCTCAGCCTCCTGAGTAGCTGGGATTAGAGGCGTGCGTCACCATGCCCAGCTAATTTTTGTAATTTTAGTAGAGATGGGGTTTCACCATGTTGTTCAGGCTGAACTCCTGACCTCAGGTGATCTACCCGCCTCGGCCTCCCAAAGTGCTGGGATTATAGGCATGAGCCACTGTGCCTGGCCCAGAGTCTCATTTCTTTGGGATCCAGGCTGAGTGTCCACCTAGACCTGTTCCTTCGCCTGTCTGCTGTTGACCTTGGAGCCATGTCCCTGTGGCAGAGTTTCTTTCTGGGCCACTGGTGGCCTCTGGCCTTAACTTTAGGTCAGGGAAGGGATGGACAATGGCCCAGCACCTGTGGGTCTGGGGTGAGCTGGTCTGGCAGCGGTGGTGGGAAATGGAATTTCCTGCCTATCTGGGTGGCAGCTGTCGTCCAGCCTTCCTGGCCAGACTGGCAGAGGTCAGGAATGGGTGTGTACTGTGCCCGCTTCCTGCTGTTGAGCTGAGAGCTGGCTTCCTGGTAGTGTCTGGGGCATAGGAAGGGAGGCATCCTACTCCTCTGTGCCAGGAGGGCCTGCACTTGTGGACCAGCCTGCGAGGCACTGGTGGATTACCTTCCGAGCCTGGCATCTGCCAGTCAGGAGTCCTAGGCTCCATGCCCAGGTCCGCTGGTATTTGCCTGCATTATTTGCCTCTCGGAGCCTCACTTTCCTCGTCTGTGAAACGAGGAGGGTGGTAGCAGAGCTGTGCTCATAGGGCCCTCGAGAGGTTTCCTGAGAATGTGCTTCACTTAGGGCTTGCGTGGAATAAATAATGCATGTGGGCACCCCCCCCCATAAACCTGTGTCCAGGCTGGGTGAGCTGACCAGCGCTCGGTGAGGTGGGGCGACTCGTCACATGGCTGGTTGCCTGACTGTGTGTGGCAACCCCTCCTGAGTTCAGTGCCCTGAGCTGTGGTCTGTGCTTTACTTCATTCCTCTCTAAATGAATGTGTGTCCTCTTTTTTTTTTTTTTTTTTTTTTTGAGATGGAGTCCTATTCTGTCACCCAGACTGTAGTGCAGTGGCACGATCTTGGCTCACTGTAACCTCTGCCTCCCGGGTGCAAGTGATCCTCTTGCCTCAGCCTCCCAAGTAGCTGGGATTACAGACACGCACCACCATTCCCGGCTGATTTTTGTATTTTTTGTAGAGATAGAGTTTCTCCATGTTGGCCAGGCTGGTCTCGAACTCCCGACCTCAGATGATCCACCTACCTTGGGCTCCCAAAGTGCTGGGATTACAGGCATGAGCCAGTGCTCCCAGACTAAATGGATATGCCTCCTCTTTCTGTCCTCTCATTTCAGTCCCTGCTTCTTAGTCCCATCCTGGAAGCTCCTGGTTGCCGGGGGCCGAGCTGGGGAACAGGAGATGTGCTGTTTTGGACACTAAAGACTCTCCGGCCATCCTTTGGGGAGGGGAGTTGGGGAGAAATGGGCTGGGCTCTGTGGCGAGGGGGCCATGGCGAGGCGACTTCTCCATCAGGCATAGCAGGCACTGGCAGAAGGCCCTGCACTTGTAGGGGTCCAGGATGCTTTTCTAATTTTGATTTCTTTTAAAATCAGAATTAAAAAATGACCAATAGTGAATAGATAAAGACTAATCCAGCCTGCATCATTCATGTCTTTGTGCCAGTGCAGTTATGAAATATAATTTTCCATGTTTCTTTATGGAGGAAGAGGAGTAAAGGCATCTTGTGGCCCTGACCAGCAGAGCTGCCACCCTAGGCCCAATCGCAGCATTCCCTCTGTGGGAAAAGTGGTCCCCGAGTCCTCAGGAAAGGGGGCTGTGGAGACCCCTCCCCGGGGTCCACTTTGCCCATCTGCACAGTCTTCCATCCTGAGACTCCTCCCTCCTCCTGGCAAACTGAGTCTCAGGGGGCTCTTCTGGAGCTGGCTGCAACCCCCAGCCCTGCCCCCGTGCTCTGAGCCACAGCCCTGGGTGGGAGGCAGAGGCTGGGGTGTGGACTCTCCAGGCAGTGATAAGGAGTCCTAGAGCTGTAAGGTACCAGGACCAAGGTGAAAATAGAGTTACCGCCTTCCAGATGGATAAACTGAGGCCCAGAGTGAGGATGGGACTCATTCCTGCATGCCCAGTGAGGCAGAGGCAGAGTGGGGGCCTTCAGGCCAGTGTCCCTTTCGCTGGGGGAGCAGCAGGCGCAGGGGAGTCACCACCTCTGTCATCTGACTTCACCAGGGCCTTTCCCTTGGAAAATCCCTGGGAGGGGAGCGTGGCCTGACCAGCTGGGTCTGTGCTCTCACCCTCAGCAGCTCTGAGAGCGCCTCCTGCAGGGGGTCAGCAGCCTCACCTGCAAGCAGGAAGTTAGTTACCCCTTCCCTTTGAACCTGCCCTAGACGAGCTCCTTCCTCCCTTCCTCCCTCCCTCCCCTCCCTCCCCTCCCCTCCCTCCCCTCCCCTCCCCTCCCCTCCCCTTCCCCTCCCCTTCCCCTCCCCTTCCCCTCCCCTCCTTCCCCTCCCTCCCCTCCCCCTCCCCTCCCTCCCCTCCCTCCTCCCTCTGCCCTCCCCCTCCCTTCCCACTCCCCTCCCTCTCCCCTCCCCCTCCCCTCCCTTCCTTTCCTTCCCCTCTCTTCCCTCTGTCCCTATGCACCAATTATATGCCAAGCTTGGAGGGATGGCCCTGCCTGTTGCTGGCCAGATCCTTGTACCCCAGGGCTGGGTGGCACTAGGGTTCTCTACAAATGTGAGCCAAGTGAGTTGGGGGTTGAGGCTGGAGGCAGCAGCCACACTGGGCTGGTAGGGCATCTGAGCCTTTCCATCGCCTGGACTCTGCCCTGCCATCCTCGGGAGCCAGGGACAGTATCCTGGTCAGCTCAGGTTGCCATGATGAAATACCATAGACCAGGGAGCTTAAACAGTAGACACTCCTCACAGCTCTGGAGGCTGGAAGCCGACCATCAGGCTGCTGGCCTGGCTGGGTTCTGCCAGGGTTCTCTTCCTGGCTGGCAGCCTCTGCCTTCTCTCAGGTCCTCTCGTGGCCTTTCCTTGGGACCTATGGGTGGAGAGAGGAAGGACGCTCCCTGGCATCTCTTCTTAAAAGGACACTAATCCCCATGGTAGGGGCCTCACTCTCATGACTTACCCAACCTCCATCACCTCTCAGAAGCCCCATCTCCAATACCATCACACTGGGGCTCAGGCTTCAACATATGGGTTTGTGGGGGACACAGTTCAGCCCGTAGCAGACAGGGCTCAGGCAGGCAAAGCCACGGTCCAGCCTGTGCCCTGGGAAGTCCCCTCTGCTGCACCACCGAGGGTGGTTCAGAGGCAGCGTGAAAGGCAGGGAGAGCAGCCAGGGGCCACTGCCATGACTGAACTCAGTGAGAAGTGGATGGAATGAGGCCGAGGAGGACTTGCCACCCCGTCACTGCCAGGAGTGCGACAAAGGAAGCAGCGTCAGGGACTGTACCCTGCGGTGGTGGGTGGTGCTGAGCCGGGAGGCACTGTGTTGAGGGCTGGGGAGTTGTGGAGGTGTCTAGGGGCAGATGGACACAGGGGTAGGGAGCTCAGTGGAAGGTCTGGGCTGGAGAAAGATGGGGGTGGGGGTGCTGCCCTGGGCGTGGCTGAAGTCCCAGATGTGTGGGTGGGGGAGGGAGGCAGAGCAGGAAAAAAAGGACGGGGCACCCCTGCAGGCGGCAGCCCCTCCTGTCCCCTCGCCCCATCCCAGGCTGGTGGCAGGCCCCTTTCACCAGGCACATTTCCGGGTGTTCTAGGCTCCCCCACTTAGAGCCCCATCCCCACAAACAGGCAGCTGCAGCCGTCAGCTGACAAGAGGCTCCTCCAGGAGTCTCCAGAGCTGCTGACAACATCACCTGTCTCTGGATGCTTGTAGCTCCCGCCCCAGAAAACTGACTGTGGCTAAGGCAGAAAGGGTCATTCCTGTGGAGCCACGGTGGCCATGGAACCAGCTCGCTGTCCTCCCTGGGTCACAGCAGAGGGTCACCTGGGAGTCTGTGTGAGGAGGGGCCTGGGAGCCAGAAAGCAGAGATAAGGCCCTGGGCAGAGCACTGGGCTGGGAATCCGGCCTCTCCCCTGACCTCAGCAGGACGTGGGGCCTCAGCCTCCCACATGTACAATGAGGGGCAGACCAGAGGGCCTTCAGCTCTGGCCTATGAGGGTCCTGGGCTCCTGCCTTATTTGGGGGGCTCCAGGTTAGCAGGGGGAGGGATGGCTGCACAGACCCATGGAGTCACAGTTGTCTGCGTGGGTCCAGGGCACAGCAATGAGTCTGGGATTTGGCTCTCTTGCAAGAAGATGGAGGGGGTGAGTGCAGCTCTGGCTGGGGCAGCCACCAGGTGCTGAGGGGGAAGCAGGGGTGGGGTGGTTGAGAGCCTGGGCTTTAGCATTGGACAGACCAGGGCTCTGATCTTAGCCCTGCCACTGGCTTCAAGCTGTGACCTTGGGCAGGTTCCTTCATCTCTCCGACTTTTAGTTTCCTCATCTGTGAGATGGGGATTGTGATGATATCCACTTATGAGTTCATTGAGCCATGAGTGAAATTATGGTTACAATAAGTGCTCGTCTTCATGCCTGTCACTTAGGGATGCCAAATGGTACCCTTTACACTTGAGCCTCGAGGCTGCAGTGAGCTATGATTGTGCCACTGTGCTCCAGCCTAGATGATAGCGAGACCCCACCATCTCTCTCTCTCTCTCTCTCTCTCTCTCTCTCTCTCTCTTTTTTGTAGACAGAGTCTTGCTCTGTCACTCAGGCTGGAGTGCAGTGGTGCTATCTCGGCTCCCTCCAACCTCTGCCTCCTGGGTTCAAGCGATTCTCCTGCTTCAGCCTCCTGGGTAGCTGGGATTACAGGTGCCTAACACCATGCCTGGCTAATTTATATATATATTTTTTAGTAGAGACGGGGTTTCCCCATGTCGAACCTGGGAGGCAGAGGTCGCAGGGAGCCGAGATTGCGCCACTGCACTCCAGCCTGGGCGACAGAGCGAGACTCTGTCTCAAAACAAACAAACAAAAAAAACACAAACAAACCAGAGTCAGGAGACAAAGCAGCGCTGTTTGGGGCTAAGGAGGGCAGGGAATTGAAAGCGGTCTGGGAGGAGAGGAATCAGAGGCATTCTTGGAGTGGGAGGCTGCAGCTGGGCTCTGCGGCTGGGCTGGGTGCAGCTGGGGAAGGTAGGCTGTTGTGGTGTTCTGCTCCAGGTAGGTGAGGTATGGCAAAGCTGCACCCCTGGGGGCCAGGGCTCTGCAGGAACAGTGACCTTGTGTAGGGCGGGCCCAAGGAAAGGCTTTCTGGGATTCTGGGATGCTGGGATTCTGAGCTTCGGCGGCTGCCAGGCCCCAGTGAGAAAGGGTGGTGTCTGAGGTTGGGTCCAAGACAGTCTTCCTACTCGCAGTAATTTTCCAACTTGTGTTTATATCTGCCTGGAACTTCCCTAATCCCTGAGGCCAGGAGGGAAATTTGATGTCATGATTTGGATGGATGAAGGGTATTTCTGGAGACAGATGGAAAGAACAAAGAGGTAGAGGCTTTTCCATGGTATCAGACTCAAAGGGTTAAAATAAAAAGGCCAGGGACTTCCCTGCTGCAGGGGCCTGGGACAAGGACCTGAGGATGGTGCCCAGAGGCTGCCGAGGGAAGGACCTGGACCCACTTGGCTCGGACTGGCTCCTGGCCTGCTGAAGGAGAGACAGGATCTTGAGTTTCTGTTTTGGGAAATAACTTCTTTTTTTCTTCTCCTGATTATAAAAGTCAAATGATGCTTAGGAAAATGATTTGGAAGAAACACTGCAAGCTATTAACAGTGGTTACCTTAGGGAAGGGCGTGGGATTTGGGGTGTGTGGAGCAAGAATTAGGGGAATCTCTGCCCTTTGTGTATTATTAGAATGTCTTATAACTCCTGGTTTCCAGGACAGCCCTTGTTTAGCCAGTCGTCCTGGGGTCACTATTAATGCAACCCCTATTCACTCTTGAGTGGCCCAGTTCAGACCCTAATGTATAAGGTCACGTTATTTATAACAAGCAAGTTTTAATTCTGTCTGCTCTTTCCAAAAAAGTTCAGCCAACAGGGCAAGCTCTAGAGAAGAGGGTGAAGAAGACCTATAATCCCCCCCGACGCTGGCTGTTTGCGGGGGCGGCAATAGAAGGGGCTGTGGAAATGGCAGCTGAGTCCCGCCAGGCCCCCCAGGCCATGCTCCCCTCCACAGAAGTGGGCCTGGCTTAGGCCAGGGGCTTAAGCATCAGAGGGGAGCTCAGGACACCTCCAAGAGAAAGCCTCTCTGGCCCAGGAGGAGGCGAGGGGTAGGGGAGGGTAGGCAGGGGTAGAAATGAAGGCTCACCCTCAGCTCCTATGTCAGCGGGTCACAATCAGACTGAGAAACACTCCTTAGAGCCCCTTGGAGGGGCTTCCTGGGAGGTGTCACAGCCAGGAGTGGGCATGCTGCTCCCTCCCCTGCACCTCTGGGGTAAAGCCAGGCCCCTGAGACCCCACGCACCATCCCACGAGTCACTCCCTCTGCCTCATCCCAAGAGCTCTCCAGGGGTGGATGCCACTCAGCACAGGTTGACCCTGGAGCCCTGGACAGGAGTCGAGCCCTAGGTTCACAAGGGCAATAGTACAGGAGGAGGAGAGGGAGGCAGTTCCTTGGGGACCTGCCGCTGAGCAGGTCCAGCCTCCGGGCATGGTTGACTGGTCACCTCCCTGCAGATGCGCCCCAGCTGACGGAGCTGCCCCGGGATGTCACTGTGGAACTGGGGAGGAGTGCCCTCTTGGCATGCCGGGCAACAGGCCGCCCGCCCCCGACGGTCACCTGGCGCCGCGGAGATGGCCAGCCTCTGGGACTCAGGCTGGGGGCCGGGCGAGGCAGTAGGTCTCGGCAGCCGGATTCGGGAGTGCTGTTCTTTGAAAGTAAGAGATTGGGGCTGGTGGGGGGTGGGCAGGGAGACAGGATGGCCTCTGACACCCTAAACCCCAGGCCAGGTGGCCGAGAGCAGGACCCTGACCGCCAGCACTGACCATAGAGCAGAGGCTGATACGCGGTCACACTTTGGCTGGGTGGCTCTGGCCAAGTCATTCCACTACTCTGACCCTGTTCATAATCACGACCATGAAATCTACTACCCACCTGGCTGATTAGCAGCCACTTTATGGGGCTGTTGTGTGGATAATCTGTACAAAGTGCTTAGCACAGTTCTTGCCACATGCTGTCACACACATATAAGCTACTATGATTACCATAATTACTACTGCGCCTACCCTACCACCCACTCTTTACTACACGCCAGGCCCAAGGGCGGGCACTTTGTCAACCCTGCCCCATCACACTACTACAAGGTACAGGCCAATTACCCCCATTCCACAGATGAGCAAACTGAGGCTTTCTCACCTTCCAAGGTCCAGCGGTGTCCCTCACCCCTTCCCTCTCTACCATCCCAGCCTTCCCTCCTGAACCTCTGTAAGGCCAGGCCATGCCAAGGGGCTGTCTCTGCACCTGGGGAGCTGGAGCCCATGGGGGCTGCAGCTGTGGTGTGCCTTGGCAGTCACACCTGCCTCTCTCGTGCCCCTCAGGTGTGGCCCCAGAAGACCAGGCCCCATATGTCTGTGAAGCTCGAAACGTCTTTGGGAAGGTCCAGGCTGAGGCCCGGCTCATCGTCACTGGTCACGGTTCGCTGGTGGATCTGAGGGCCGTGGGAGGTGGGAGGTGGGAGGCAGGTGCTCCCCGGGGGCACAGCAAGGCCGTGGGCGCCTCCAGGGAGCCTCTCCTGGCCCATCTGTTGGAACAAACGAATCCACAGCCAAATTCTCCAAGAGCAGCACCTGTGCCCCTGCGTCCTGGACAATGTCCTGGGGGTCCTGTGACCCTTTAGGATCCCCAATTCTGATGCATCTCTCAGTTCCCTGGGGAGGGAGAGGGGAGCAGGAGCCTCTGTCCCCCAGACAACCACCCAGGGCACCTATTGTGGCTGACACCGGCTCCTCTCCCCACAGCCCCGCCACAGATCGCCAGCAGCGCCCCCACCGTCCGGGTCCTGGAGGGGCAGCCCGTGTCCCTGCCCTGCATCGTCCTAGCTGGGCGGCCCCTCCCGGAAAGGCACTGGCTCAAGGACGGCCGGCCCGTGAGTGTCGGGCTCCTCTGGGTGCGGTGGGCGGTGGCACCTGGGGAAGAAGGAGGCTGTCACAGCCACGTCTCTATCTCTGCTTGGCTGTTTCCCCGCCTGGGAGTGTCCTCTTCCTTCCACCCTCTTTTTGGCCCCATTTCAGAACCTTCTCTGATAATGCACTGATGGTGTTTGTTGCCCTCTAAAGTCCCGCCGGCTGTCAGATGGGTCATGGCTGCTGGACCCCTGGGAGCTCTGCAGGGCAATCGTGTGCCTCAGGAGTGCTGTGAGCCAGGGAGCAGGGATTTAGTGGAGGCCCAGTCTCAATGCAGTGGTCTCCCCGGTTCTTATGATTCCAGAGCAGGGATGTGAGCTGTGCGGTTTCCTATCTGCCCCAGACACCGGCGCGCGCTGAACGCACAGTGGTTGCCTTATCAACCAGTTCACGTCCATTTGATTTTCTTGGTGTTCTTCTGTTTGCCCTCTCCTATTGACTCTTTCATTACCTCTTCCCTTTCCTCAATTCTTCTGCCTGGTCTCAGACACACCAGGTCCCTGTGTCCTGCAGGCTGCAAAGAGGTGCCTTCCCAACTCTGCATTCCCAGGAGAGACTCTCGTGGGCCCAGCTTGGGTCAGGCTCACCCTGGTCCAGTTGGCCGAGGGAGAGGTGGGGTCAGGGTATGTAGGGGTCAGGCCCACCCAGCCCTGCAGGGTCTCTGGAGGGCTTGACTGGGCACTCGGGAAGGACTCACAGAGCTCCTCAGCCTTCTCTGAGCCCCCGGGCTCTCAGTCCTGGCTGCTCCCTACTGGCCTGATGAGCAGCATAGTTTCCCGAGGGTTCTTTCTCAGCTGCCTCTGAGTGAGGCCCAAGGCTAAGCTGGTGCTTCCTCACCCCCACCAGCTCCCACCTGGCAGCCGGCATTCCATCCGAGCAGACGGCAGCCTCCACCTTGACCGAGCATTGCAGGAGCACGCGGGGAGGTACAGCTGTGTGGCCACCAACACGGCCGGCTCTCAGCACCGGGACGTGGAGCTGGTGGTCCAGGGTGAGTCCTGGGGTCTCGGAGGTGGTGGTCGTGGGGCAGGGAACATGATGGGGTGGGGGAATGTGCAGAGGTAACTTGATCTTGAATGCATTTGCTTTAAAAAATCGTGCAAATCATATATATTCTCTGTGGGAAAATTAGGGATTTGACAAGTTAAAAAAATACTCTCATAATACCAGTAGCTAAGAATAACCAGATTTTGCATTTTGGCATGTATCTTTTCATACTCTATACACACACACTCTCTATATGTATATCACACACACCTATGTGTAGTATATATATACACTATGTATACATAGAATATATATTCTTTATACATTTTACATACAGATTCTTTGTATGTTCTTATAAATTACATAAAAATTATCTATCATCTATCTATCTAATCTATCTATCTATCTATCTATCCATCTATCTATCTATCTATCCATCTGTCTATCTATCTATCTATCCATCTAATCTATCTACCTGTTTACAAACCTATTTAAAAACCAAATAGGATCACATGCTGTCATTGTCTTGGCACCTAAGTGTTTCCATGACAAGGTGTTATGGCTGTTCTGTTTTCTGTCAATTAAGATTCAGAGGCATCAGTTTAATAAGGGGATGATCATGTCCCCTGATTATCTAATTACCTGATTATCTGTACTCCCCCCGCCCAACCGCATCCCCCACACCCCGGGTATGAACAGCCTCGTACCTACACATTGTAGGTGACCACGTACCTACGTGACCAATTCTTTCCTTAGGATAAACCCATTAATGTGGATTAAGTTTTGCATCACAGAGATTGTACGTTTTTGGAATTTTTAGTGTCTTGCCCAACTGCTCTCCTGCCCACAGCACTGGGTTCTTTTATTCACCCAACTGGAACCACTGTGCTTTTTAATGTAAGATGAGACATTTCAAATTAAATTTGGTTGTATTTTGTGATTTACCAAGTATGTTAATATCGTCTTTTTTCTTGTTTGTTTCATAAAGCCCCCAAGGGATTAGTGGGAAGAACGCGCGTTCCCCATTTTATAGGGGAGTGCAAAGTTCAGAAGGGCTGGGTTGAGCGCTCAGGTGCAATTCTAGGTGCCATCCCCTCATAATTCCAGATCCAAATCGCCATCCAGGGTGGAGTGTGTACCACATGCCAGGCATCTGCTAGTTTCTATATATGATTCCACTCAGTTTCACCCCCTAACTTCCCACTGTGCCCTCACAGCCGCTTCTGTGGGGCTAACATGAACAGGCTCAGTCTCTCTTGGCTCAGTTCATTTCTATTCAGCAAATATTTATGGGCCTCTGCTGGCTGTGGCGACCTGGGAGTCCAGAAGTCCATTTTCCTCCCTAAAGGAGCTCCAAGTGCTAGCGTGAGAGCCCCTGGCTTCTGGATTCCTCTCCTGGCTTCTCCATGCCTAGTTACCCCTCTCTCGCTCCCCTTAGAGACCCCGTGTTCAAGCCTGCGAATCTGAGTGGTGCCCAGGGTGGGTGTGACACCTGTTTTTAAGCTCACTGTGTTCTGCAAACACTGCTCATCTATCCATTCCAGAAGGGACGACCAGGGAACTGGGGTTAAATTAGCTTTTGTGCTGATCAGGGAATATGGGTACCAAAAGATTAAGTGGCTTATCCAGAGCCCCAGAGCAATGAATCAGCGCAGCTGGTTCCCAAGCACATGCTGCCTTCTGTATGGGGAAGACAAAAAAACTGACGATGGCAGGCAGTGGTGGCTCAGGGATTGTTCCAGTTTTATTCTCCCATTGAAAGCTTTTTTTTTTTTTATTTTACTTATTTATTTCTGAGACGCAGTCACTCTGTTGCCCAGGCTGGAGTGCAGTGGCATGATCTTGGCTCACTGCCACCTCCACTTCCCGGGTTCAAGCGATTCTCCTGCCTCAGCCTCCTGAGTAGCTGGGATTACAGGCATGTGCCACCATGCCCGGCTAATTTTTGTATTTTTAGTAGAGACGAGTTTCACCATGTTGGCCAGGCTGGTCTCAAACTCCTGACCTCAGGTGATCCACCTGCCTCAGCCTCCCCAAGTGCTGGGATTACAGGCATGAGCCACCGTGCCTGGCCTGAAAGCTTTTAAAATTGTCAAATATACATAACATAACGTGTATCATTTGACGATGTTTAGGTGTGCAGTGGTGTTGGTACATTCACATTTCACACTATCACCGCTATCCATCTCCAGGACTTTCTCATCATCCTAAACTGAAACTCTGTCCTCATTAAACATTAGCTCCCCATTCCCGTCTCCCCTCAGCCCCCTGGGAGCCACCCTTCTGCCTCCTATCTCTATGAACTTGCGTATCTAGGGACTTCATAGAAGTGGAATCTTACAGTATTTGTCCTCCTATGTCTGTGATTTCACTTAGCATGTTTTTAAGGTTCATCCATGGTGTAGCATGTGTCAGAATTTTATTCCTTTTAAAAAAACAGACTGGACTTTTAAGAGCAGTTTAAGTTTATAGAAAAACTCAGCGGAAGGTACAGAGATTTCCCACATAACCCTGGCTCCCGCCACGCGCAGCCTTCTTCACTGTCAACATCCCCCACCAGGGCGGCCCGTTGTTAGCACTGAAGACACGTCATCATCACTCCAAATCCCATAGTTTACATTGGGGTTCCCTCTTGGTGGTGTTTATTTGTTTTATTTTTTATTTTTATTTTAGATGGGTTCCCTCTTAGTGGTTTTTTAATTTTTTATTTTTTTTGAGATGGAGTCTCACTCTATGGCCCAGGCTGGAGTGCAGTGGCGCAATCCCAGCTCACTGCAACCTCCACCTCCCGGGTTCAAGTAATTCTCCTGCCTCAGCCTCCTGGGTAGCTGGGACTGCAGGCGCCCGCCACTGTACCGGTCTAATTTTTGTATTTTTAGTAGAGACAGGGTTTCACCCTGTTGGCCAAGGTGGTCTCGAACTCCTGATCTCTGGTGATCCGCCCACCTTGGCCTCCAAAGTGCTGGGATTACAGGTGTGAGCCACTGCACCCAGCCTTGGTGTTGTTTATTTTGTGGGTTTGGACAAATGCAGTGACCCATCACTGCAATATCACCTGGAGTAGCTTCACTGCCCTAAAAATCCTCTGGGCTCTGCCTCTTCATCGCTTCCTCCCCCAACCTGGCAACCACTGATCTAGTTTTGTCTTTTCTTCTTCTTCTTCTTCTTCTTTTTTTTTTTTTTTGTAGACAAGAGTCTCACTATGTCTCCCAGGCTGAAGTACAGTTGTGCAATCTCTGCTCACTGCAACCTCCGCCTTCCAGTTCAAGCAATTCTCCTGCCTCAGCCTCCCGAGTAGCTGGGATTACAAGGCATGCACCACCATGCACAGCTAATTTTTGTATTTTTAGTAGAGGCGGAGTTTCACCAAGTTGGCCAGGCTGGTCTCGAACTCCTGACCTCAAGTGATTCTCCCGCCTCAGCCTCCCAAAGTGCTGGGATTACAGGCATGAGCCACCATGTCCGACTGCTTTGCCTTTTCCAGAATGTCATATAGCTGGAATTAATTGCCTTCCTTTTTAAGGATGAATACTCTTCTGTTGTGTGCACACACCGCATGCTGTGTGCCCATGCATCGCTGATGGACATTTGGGCTGTTTCTACCTTTTGGCCACTGTGAATGATGCTGCAATGAGCCTTGGCTTTGACATTGGTTTATTTATAACAGTGCCACCTAGAATCCATCCCACTGCCACCCACCATATCACCAATGAAGGGGTTGCGGCCTCTCTTCCCTGCGTCGCTTCAGGAGTTCCCGCCCCCACCATCACGTGGACCAAGGTAAGCAGTGCCTGTTACCGAGAGGATAACTGGAGAGGTAGGCCCAGTGTGTCATGGGGCGGAGGTGTGGGCTTCGCCGATGTCACCTGTGCCTCTGCCCTAGGAAACCAATGCCCTGACCTCCAGAGGTCCCCACTACAATGTGAGTAAGGAGGGCACCCTGCTCATCGCCCAGCCGTCTGCCCAGGACGCAGGGGCCTACGTCTGCACGGCCACCAACACCGTGGGCTTTTCTAGCCAGGAGATGCGACTTTCTGTCAACAGTGAGTGATGCCAACCCTGTCCTGGGAGAGGGGGCTCAGTGGCTGTGGAGACAGAGAGTCCCACGTCAGCCCTGTGGAGCCTGAGGCAGGGAAGCTGTTGCATCAGCAAGTCCTGCAAAGACACGTGGCTCTGCACAGGACCCGCGTCCCCAGCAGCCCTCTCCCCGCCTCTCTCTGCCCCAGACCCTCTGGTCTCCTTTCTGTTTCTGGAATGGTCCAACCTGCCTCAGGGCTTGTGCACATGTAGTTCCTTCTGCTTGGAATGCTGTTCCCCCACCTCTGGGCCCAGCTGACTGCTCCCATCTGTCAGATCTCAGCTCTCCCTGTTCCCCCAGGCTGGTCAAGTCACCTTGCTGTAAACTGTGGAATATCCCCTTCCTGGCACCCGTCACAGCTATGATTCAATAATTAATCACACAGTGAGCTTTTTGGTACCACTATTGCCAAAGGACCCTAAAGGCTGTGAAGATGGGGCGGGACCTGTCTCCTTCGCTGCCGTCCGCAGCATTCCCCATAGGGCTGGCGCTCAGTAAATACGTCTGGGAGGAGTGAGCAAATGTATAAGCCAGGCTTTTTCTCTCATAGACCCTTACAGTCAATATTTTTATATTGTAAAAAAAAAAAAATTCCTAATGGGGGAGCATTTCCTTTGAACTACAAATGTACGGGGAACACGGGAGGGCTAGATGGGTTTTGATGTCCCCAACTGGCTAGCTTCTTTCATTGTTGCTGCTCAGACAGGTAGCGAGTGCCTTCCTTGTATGAACTCCAAGGTAGAAAGGCGGAGGCGGGGAGCGGGGAGGAAGGAAGGGTACCATGCTGTTTCTGCCGACGAAGGGTCTTCAGCTTAAGGTGAGAGAGACGTGACATGCACAGATTGCCATCAATCCCTCACCAGGCTTCGAGAGGTCCAGAGGGAGGGTCTGTGCATTCTTTGGTGGCTGATATCATGGGAATAAGTGAATGAGCAAGGGGAGAAGGTAGAGAGAGAGGAGGAGTTCAGAGCCTTTCAGAATGTCCCTGGGGAAGGGACAGCAGGATGAAGAGAAGCCAGAGAAGGCACAGACCGTAGGGCAGGAGGGACCGGGTCAGGGTCCTCAGAGCAAGGTGGTGGTGGGGAGGTGGGTAGGGGAGGACTGAGTGAAAACCCTGGGACCTGAGTCCCACCTCCAATCTGGACTCCCCCCCTTCTGACAGCCATATCCACCTTCTGGACCTCCTGAAGGTCGAGGGTGCAGTACCGGCTCTGCCTCCTGGGGGAGCTGCCCCATGGCCCAGGGCGCTCATGGACCCTAGTCCCCTCTGCCCTGCTGACAGGCCCTGCTTACTCTCCCCGCAGCCAAACCCAGGATCCATATGAACGGGTCACGTAATGCAGATGTGCCTCTGCAAGTCACAGCGAAGGCTGGCGAAGAGGTGACCCTGGACTGCGAGGCCAAGGGCTCCCCACCCCCACTGGTCACCTGGACGAAGGACTCCCGCCCTGTACCGCCCATCACCAACAGGTAACCCCAGTCCCATGGCCTCAAGGGACAGAGCTTAGGGCTGGAGGGAAACCTGCCTCAGGTGACCAGTGACCCAGCGGGTGTCTTGGACCCTGCAGTCTCTCCCATAGGGTGCTGCTCCTGGGCTTCTGCACACAAGGCTGTTGTCCACAGGGCCCCAGAAGCCTGGAAGGGGCCTCTAGAGGGTGCCTGGAAGCCCAGGGTGAGACTCCCCATCTGAAATAACATGCACGGGGCATTGCCTGCAGGATCCCATTTAATCTGCACGGCCACCCTTGATATCTAACAGGACACTGACACTCAGCCAGGGAGTGAGCTGCTCGCCATCACCCAGCTAGGAAAGAGCAAAGCCAGGGCTGGGACCACGTCCCCGCCACGACACACACCACCCCCATGCCTGCTCTGCAGACCAGGTGTCTGGCGGCTGGGCTGTCTGACTCAGCTGCTCCCGGTCCGGGATCCTGGGAGTGGGCGGACAGGGAGGAGGCTGGCTTGGGTGTCCTTCAAAGCCACGCCGTACCCCCCAGGAGGGGATGTGGGGGATGCTAGGGCCCTTGCCCCTGGCTGGGGGGTTCTGTGGCTCAGTCTGGTGACATCAGCCCTGGCAGGGTCTTTGAGATGTTCCAGACTCAGAAGGTCTCGGAGCAGCCTGCCCTGTAACGTGACCCCCGCCCCCACCATGTGTCAGTGCATTTCAGAACATCTGTTTGGTGAGTCCTGCCAATCCTTGCAGCCGGGCACCCCTAGAGGTGGCGGGGACCCAGGGAGCCGGCCCTGGGCATCATCGGTGGGGTCCCCCATGCCCTCTTGGCATTGCTGCAGCTCTATGTTGTAGGGTGGGGGTGTGGCGGGGGGCCGTGGGAGCCCACAGCTCCCCTAGAAAGCCCGGTCCTAGCTCCGCGGCTGGGTGGTGGCCCTCAGCTGGAGGATGTGTGTTGATCTATGGCTTGTTACTGAAACGGGAACCGCATTCCCATTAGTTCACCCCTCCTCGCCGTGGTGCGTTAATAGGTCAGCTGGGAGCTGTAAATTTGCGAAAGCCACTTTTGCAATCCTAGAGTTGTGTTGTGTTCCCTCTCCCTTGCCCTCTTCACTTCGTGCTGGCTTACATTGTTTTATCTCCAGATTTGGGAGATTCTGAGAGTTTATCTAAATAAGGAGGGAAAATGTGCTGGGAGGCGGGGGTGGGGTTAAGTGCTCAGGCCCTGGAGTTCCGCAGACCCGGTGCCGAACTGCCTGCTCCCTTCTTAGTCATGCAACCTCGGGTGGCCACTGGCTCCTCTTGGCCTGTTCCTCCATCTGCAAAGTGGACATTATTTAAATAGCACCCTTTTGGGGTAATGACGGATGTGCAGTGCTTAGGAAGTCAGATGTGCTGAAAACTCGCTCCCTTTCGTATGATTTCCCTGCTGTTGCTGTTCACAAACTGAGACATCCTCTCCAGCTTTTACACATTTATCCTCCTCCTACCACACCTGTTATCTCAATTGTCACCTGCTTTTTAAATATAAAACCTTTATTGAGATGTAATTCACATACTGTATCATTCGCTTATTTAAAGGACACAGTTCAGTGTTTTTAGTATATTCAGACTGTGCAGCCATCACCATGATCAATTTTAGAACATGTTCATCACCCTCCCAAAAAAACTTCATACTCATTGGCAGCCACCAGCCCCCCATTTCTGCTCCAGCCCCACTGCAGCCCCTGACAGCCACTGATCTGCTTTCAGCCTATTCTGGACATTTGATATAAATGAATTACATGGGGCCTTTCGTGTCTGGCTTCTGTCACCTAACTCAATGTCTTCCAGGTTCATCCATGTCGTAGCCAGATGAGTGCCTGCTTCCTTTTAATGGCCAAATAGTGTCCCATCCTGTGGGTGCTCACCTTTTGTGTGTCCACTCATCAGTTGATGTGCACTGGGGCTGTTTCCACATTTTGGTGGCTGTGAATAGCCTCACTTTTTTTTTTTTTTTTTTTTCGGAGATGGAGTTTCACTCTGTTGCCAGGCTGGAGTGCAGTGGTGCAATCTCAGCTCACTGCAACCTCCGCCTCCCTGGTTCAACTGATTCTCCTGCCTTAGGCTCCCGAGTAGCTGGGATTACAGGCACCTGCCATCATGCCCAGCTAATTTCTGTATTTTTAGTAGAGACGGGGTTTCACCATCTTGGTCAGGCTGGTCTTGAACTCCTGGCCTCAGGTGGTCCACCCGCCTCGGTCTCCCAAAGTGCTGGGATTACAGGCGTGAGCCACTGTGCCTGGCCATAGCCTCACTTTTGATTGTACTTGAAGCTTTGTTCGCAGGCTCTGGGTCCTCTGGTTCCCTCCCTGCCCCACACTGGCAGTGTCCACACACAGAACCACACTCAGCCTCTCACAGACACACCACACCCCCTCCGTCCCTCAGTGACTCGACCAGAACACAGAGACTTAAAAAGCCCCTTGGAAAACACACAGTGAGACTTTCTGTCTGTCTGCTTCCTCCTCCCCTCCCCCCCTTCCCTACATCCTCTTCCTCTTCCTCTCCTGTCTCCCTCTTCCCTTTCCCTCCTCCTCCCCTTCCCCTCCCTTCCCCTCTCCCTTGTCTTCCTTGTCCTTCCTTCTCCAAGGATGTCCCCAGGCTCAGCCTCAAAGCTGCCCTTCTGAAAACGGAGCACTTACCTGGCTGATGCGTCTGGTGAGTCGTAGGTGCTCATCTCTTGACAGGGGCCAGCAGCCCTCCACGCCCCTCTCCCCCCTCCCCTGCTCCCTTGCTCCTCTTCCCTGCTGAGCTGCCCCAAGGACAGGGCTCCACGGCAGCCCCTTCTCCTGTCTGTGGGGAATTCTGCGGTGTAGTCAGGGCTGAGAGCCAAGATGTGCTGAGCCTCTGCGGCCCCCTCCATTCCCCTTGTCCAGGGGTGGCCCTCTCCTGCCAGCGCCCTGTAGGTGGTTGGGGTGGATGGCACCATGCCCAGTGCACTGAGGAGGAAACAGAAACACATGGGGTGTGGGGACGTGGAACCTGACCCTGCAGCTCTTGGGGCTGGGTCCCAACATGCACAGACACGCAGACACACATAGACGCACGCACAGGGACACACGTATCAGGTGGGCCACTGCTCTCTGAACTCCTAGGTATCTTCGACCCCCCCAAGTCAGCAAGTGCTCACAGAGGAAGCATCCTAGGAACCTCAGAAGCCGTGAAGTTCTGAGCCGCCCAGCTGCATCCCAGTCCCTTTGGAGCGGCTCTTATCCTTGTAGGGGCTGTTCTAAAATTAAACCTCGTGCATCTTATATTCCGTCCTCATCACGGATTCCTTTTCTCTTTTACCCATTTTCTCGATTCATTCTGGCCCACGTCACTTGCTTTTCCTTTTGAAGGGCAAAATAGACCGGTCATGGTGGCTCATGCCTGTAATCCCAGCACTTTGGGAAGCCAAGGAAGGCGGATCACGAGGTCAGGAGATCAAGATCATCCTGGCCAACATGGTGAAACCCTGTCTCTACTGAAACACACACACACACACACACACACACACACACACACACAAATAGCCGGACGTGGTGGTGCGCGCCTGTAGTCCCAGCTTCTCGGGAGGCTGAGGCAGGGGAATCGCTTGAACCTGGGAGGTGAAGGTTGCAGTGAGCCAAGATCGTGCCATCGCACTCCATCCTTGCAACAGAGCAAGACTCTGTCTTAAAAAAAAAAAAAAAGGACAAAGTAACATTCCAGGGCGCTCGGCTCCCATCATCGCTAAGTCATTGCTCTGTGTGGGGCACGGCCATGTTGCCAGCTCTCGCGGTCATAAATGGGACTGTTGGAGCAGCTTTGCACAATGTTCCTCTTTATCTCCTGGGTCGGTTCCTTGCGGGACGGTCCCAGAAGCCAACGGTGAAGTCCGAGGGTGGGAATGGTCACTGAGTGCTTCTTTCCTGTGGGACTTATTTTTGAAAAAGACATCCAAGTTGCAAATTCAAAATTGAAGTCAGCAGCATTGACTGAGCAGTATCCTATGCCCAGGATTGTGTTGCAGCCTCGGAGACAGAAGACATGGGCTTGGGCTGTGTGTGAGGTCAGGTGGCAGAAGACCTGGGGTCCCATCCCAGCTTCACCCCAGCTCGCCCGGTGACCTCAAACAAGACCCTTCCCCTCTCCCCTCCCTGGGCCTCAGCCTTTCAGTTTGAGAAATGAAAGGGTTGGACAGGCGATGGTGGCCAGAGAGCATCTCGGGGCTCTGGTCCCATGATTCAGCCCAGGGATGCTGGGGCGAGGCAGTGTTTCCAGGCAACAATGTTTGTTTGGGATTCCGATGAGGAGATGGGACGGCTGTGAGCACTCCTGGCTCTGGCTGTGGCTCCCGGAGGCAGCCGGCCAGCATTCCACACAGGGCCAAATCCCTAATCCCAGCGCGGTGTGGGGGCAGTGAGAGGATGGTGCGTTTCTATCTCGTTCTTCCAGGTTTTCTTCCTTTGATACCCCCACCACCCTCCTCTGCCCCTTCCCAAGCACACTGCAGGACAGGCTGCCCACCCACCCTTCTCCTGGAAGGGGACCACTGGGCCGGCTCATTAGAGGTGAGAGGTGAGGCCTGCAGCTGGGATCTGGTGACTTGTGGCAGGGAAAGCAGCTCACTGCTCTCTGCAAGCCAGTGGTGTGCCTGGACTGCCCAGGGCCCTGCATGGGGACTGTACCTTGGTGGATCCTCAAAGCCCTTGTTGGTTTCTGGTCTGGTGGCTCTGGAGTCCATCTGGTCAGCCTGTGGGCAGTGGCTGTCTTTCTGGAGAACATTTAAGTTTCCTCGCCTTCAGAGCCGGACGTTTAGATCACCATGGCGGTTAGGAAGGAGCATGGTCGCACAGTGTGAGGGTCCAGTCCTCGCTGTGCCCTGGCCAGCTCAGTGGCCGTGGACACCAGGACCACACCTCCGGAGGCTCAGTCTTCTCCTCTGCAAAAGGGGGTGTGGTAGTGGGTCTGCCTGCCTGGTAGGTCTGGCTGTTGGGATTCTAAGTGAGAGCGTGTTTGGCGGCACAGTGACCCACAGGAAGCACTCAATAGTTGACAGCTGTGGCTGGCGTCAGCACCATCCTCGTTAGCAGCACCAGCATCGCAGGGCTTACGCTCTCCGGGCTCGTGCGATGGCGCTGGCTCCGTCTCCCCCTACCTACCTGAGGCCCCTTGGCGTGTCTCAGGCACCTCCTCCTGAATTTCTCCAGCATGACCTTCCCTCATGTGGCCTCCTCACGGGTCTGCGATCCTGGTCAGGCTACAGGAAGAAGACGCGAGTTGGGGCAGTGGTTTCCGGGAGGGGTTCTCTCCAGGCCAGCAGACAGGGCTGGCGTCCACTAGTGCATAGTGGGCATCTGTTGAGTGTTGCCTGACTGTGCGCTCTGTGCTGAGAACCAGCCGTGCAGCAGGCTGGGTGACTCTGGCGGGGAGTGCCGTTCATTCCACGGCCGCCGGCCCTGCTCCTGGATGCTTTATAGACAGAGGCAGCAAAAACAGCAATGTGGGAGACAGCGGGGGTCTGGGGAGGGCAGGAGGGCAGTATTGAGATGGTGGAAGGTCTGGGGGGAGGGAGGGAGAGCAGGGACCCGTGTCAATGAAGGCGGTGAAGGGAGTGTGTGGCATGGACAGGGAACAGATGCAATTTGCCATGAAATATTTATTGAACACCTACTGTGGACCAGGCCAGGGCCCATGCTGAACTGGGGCATGCCGGGGACCTGGGCACACCTGGCTCCTTCCCTCACGGAGCCATCAGACAGCGTAATGACAGGCGTGGTAAACTGCAGAGTGGCATGGGAAGCATGTAATGGGAGGCAGGGTATTGCCTGGGGCAGCAGGGAAGGCTTCCCTGAGTGCAGCAAAGGTGTGTGCCGGGGATGAGGCAGACAGGTGAGGCCTGGGAACTGGCATTATTCCTGGCACTCCCTATCAGATGCCCTTTGGTCTCTCTGGGCAGCCCTCTGCCCCCTGGGCCCCTCTTGCTTCTCCCCACCACTCTGACATCTGCGTGCGCCTCACTGCAGGGGCTCAAGCCAGATGGATGTCATAAACAGGAAATTCCCCTCAAACCTCTCCACTCTCATCTGGGCGCTGCGTGGAGCCATCTGGCCGTGCACGTCGCGATGAAGTCTGCCCCGCTCATCACACCATGTGCCCAACAGCAGCCTGTTCCTCGGAGACTCTGTGGCCTCCTCCCTTTCTCCCATCTCTCCGCTGCCGCCTCCCCTTCCCTGCTGGGCTGCAGCCCCCAAACCTCCCACTGAGCTTCTGGGAATGTAGCGGGAGAGTGGTAGGGGGCAGAAGGAGCAGGTGGTAGGCTGCCCTCGAAACCCCAGGCCCATAGCTGCAGCTTCACCTTTTCCCTGAGTCTCCGCAGAGCATGCGCAGGGTCATGATAAGGCATCTCTCTGTGCCAGGTCTGAGCAGGTCCTGGAGATACCAAGAGAAATAAGACGGATGTCCCCTTGGAGCCACAGGCAGGCAGGTGACAGGTGGTGACAAGCCAGTGTGGTGAAGGCTTTGATGGCAGGATGTTCAGGAAGCTGTGGGAGCCTACAGGATGGACCTACCAGCCTGGGGCATCAAGTCAGCCTTCCTGGAGGAGGTGATGTCTCCGTATTGGAAGATGAATCAAGTATCATCCAGGTGAATGGGAAGTGCAGGTGTGTCCCAGGTAGAAGGAACAGCATGTGCCAAGGAGGGCTGGTGAGATGGGCCTGGCCCCCTGCGGAGGAACGGTGGTCCAGTGCCCCCATGCAGGGATGCAGGGGAGTTGGGGGTGGTCTGCGTAGGTCCACACAGGCCATAGTACTGTGCTTGGGTTTTGTCAGGGAGCAGTGGGCAGCCACAGAGGGCTTGAGAGCAGGTGAGGATGTGGCCAGTTTGGCATTTAGAGCAGACACAGGCTCTGCTGGGCAGGTCCTGGATCCTTTGGCCTCAGCTTGTCCATCTGTAAAATGGATTCCCCCATTTCTTCCTTGGTGATGTAGCAAGCAGAATCCTCCTTCTAGGAAATGATCTTGGATGCTCCTAAGAAAGATAAGATACCCACTTTTATTGGTGTGAATTGTTAACACTTTTGGAAGTTTTTTTTTTTTTTTTTTTTTCAGAAGCCCCATTTCCTATCTTTTTAAGGGTTTGGTGAAGAGGGGAGTAGGGATTCTATGGTCCTTAAAGTTCTGGAGGGCAACTTCTCAGATTAGAGTCTGGAGCTGCTCTTTCTTTCTCTCTTTCTTTCTTTCTTTCTCTCTCTCTCTCTTCTCTCTTTCTCTCTCTTTCTCTTTCTCTCTCTCTCTTCTCTCTCTCTCTCTCTCTCCCTCTTCCTCTCTCTCTCTCTTCTCTCTCTCTCTCTCCTCTCTCTCTCTCTCTCCCTCCCTCCCTCCCTCACCCTTTATTTTTCTTCACAGAGTCTTGCCCCGTTGCCCAGGCTGGAGTACAGTGGCACAACCAGAGCTCTCAATCTCCTGGGCTTGAGTGATCCTCCCAACTCAGCCTCTCAATTAGCTGGGACCACAGGCATGTGCCACTATGCCCAGCTAGTTTTTTATTTTTTGTAGAGATGAGGTCTCCTTGTGTTACCCAGACTGTGTGCTGCCTTTTCAAATATGAAATGGGGTTCAGAGATGTTGACTGCCCTGCCTGGGGCTGCACAGCATGTCTGAAGCACAGTTGAACCTCGGATCCAGAACTCCAGTTTCTAGCCCAGACCTCTTCCTACTGGCCCACATCATCCCTGTTTGCCAGCCCAGGTGTTGCGATGAAATCTAGGGAGGGGACCGCATCCCAGCCTGGAGTGTGATTGAGTGTATAAGTTTCAGCATCAAATGGATTTGGCCGTTGATTGGTGGGTGTCGACATGTCAACATATTTAATTTTTTAAAAAGCTGTAGAAGAGAACATTCAAGCTGGAGTGGCAGACAGAGGAGAGCTACGCAGGGGAAATGTTTACCCATTGCCAGGACACATACATATTTCTGTGGTGTCTTCTCGCGTATTCCTTTGCACTATAAAGACTGAGCAAACTGTTCAGGGCTGCCCAGCTGATTGAAGACTGCGGAGAGGTCCCAGACATTGGCTGGGGATTTGTGTCACACTAATAGCAAGGCAGTTTAGGTGACCTGGAGGAGGTGATGTCTCGGTATTGAAAGATGAGCAGGTGTTATCCATATACTATGTCCTGGGCACCTCAGGCTTTGTGTGTGTGATATCAGTTCACACTAGATAAGGACACTGAAACTCAGGGAGATGGCGTCCTTGGCTCGAGGTCAGCCTGTAAGAGGCAGAATGGTGGTTCTCACCAGGACACCTGCCGTCAAAGACCCGCACCCATCTGCTCTGCCATGCTGCTTCTTGGGGAAGGGGCACGTCTTCATGTCCTCAGGCAGTGGTTCCCTGGAGGCGGTTCCGCAGCCATTAGTATCAGCTACCTAGGGCTTTTTAGTAAAACCCCAATTCCTACCTCCTCCATGGAATGAGTCTCTGGGTAGGGCCTGAGAATCAGCATGTTTCACATGCAGCTGGGAGAATCTGATGAGAACCCCTCCCTTGCAAGGTGTGAGATCTTTGAGAGCAGAGGGTGTGAGCCTGTAGCCCAGGAGACCTGCTCCGGTGCATGTGAGACACATAGAGCAGTGAGTGAGTGAGAGAGAGAGAAAGGAAGGAAAGAAGGAAGGAGAAAGGAAGGAAAGAAGGAAGAGATAAAGATCTGAATGTTTAAATGTCCACTCAAAAGGGAGCAAGTTAATAAACTGTGGTGTGATCATACAAGGGAATATTACACAACAGTCAAAAATGAGTTAATTAGCCCTACATATATACTCATGATGCTATTTATATCGTGATATAGCTCGTGATGCAAGTTTTAAAACATGCAAAACTTTGTGTATTATTTATGCATGTGCTCTTGTCTCCATGGAAGCAGCTGACCTTTGTTGAGGACCTCTCTGTTCCAGACGCCGTGTTATGAATTAGGCCATTCAGTTCTTTTGACAACCCTGTGAGCATTGAGCACAACTGATGGCTCTATTTTCCAAAATGAGATGGCTTAGGCACAGGAAGGGTGAGGTGACTTGCCCAACCTCACACAGCTAGCGCATGGCCTAGCAGGTTAGACCCAGGCAATCCAGCCCAGTGCCTGGGCTCTAGAGACCACCACCCACTGTGTCATCCACAGCCATCCTCAGAGAACTTGTCCCAAGAGGCTGCTGGATGCTCGGGACAAAAGGATGGAGGGGGTGGCTGGAAAGGGGGTGTCATTGCACTACTCTGCAGATGGGGAGACAGAGTTCTCAGCTGGTAGCCCGAGAATTGCCGATGGTGTTGCCCTGTTTAATGACTGCATGGCCCGCGCTTTGCTCACCATGTCTCATGTGATCCTTGCAGCTGCCCGCGAGGTGGGGGCTATGAGGACCCCTAAGAATTCTATAAGGGGCTCTGTGAGCCCCGTTTTGCAGAGGAGGAAATTGAAGCTCAGCAGAAAGCAAGGTGGGGGCCAGGCATCCCGGGCCTGCTGGGTTCTAGAGCCCAGCCAGTGAGCGCAGGGCCAGCGACTGGGCCTTGGAGTCCCCCACCCCCATGCTGGCTGCGTACTCTTGAGGCCAGCTAGGGTCAGTGGCCGCAGCTGTCCTCCCTATTTTATGGAGGCAGGAGCTGTGCGGAGCCAGCACATATGGCCCAGTGACATCATGTCTGCAGGGGGCCCTTGGGGTCCAGCCCAGCTGCAGGAGCCTGGCTGGGGGTCCTCGATCCCTGTGGGATGGGGGTGATGTGACTTTATCAAGCTGAGCCAGACTGGGGAGGACAACGATGGCAGCAGGGGTGGGGGCTCCACAGCTTCCTCCTGAGGACCCTCAACACAGTTCTGGACGTAAGAGCACCAAGCGACTGCAGTCAGAGTCAGGCCGGCCCTGGCACCAGACCAGAGGGCCTCAGGGCTGCCAGCTTCTTCATCCCACACACCGGGCAGGTGTGTGTGGCAGAGGAGGGGGAGTTGCCACCCACAGTCAACAGGTGTCAAGCGGTGGGCAGGTTCCTGGCCCTGGGCTGAGCCTGTGATAGACTCCGTTTACCAGCCCTGGCCCAGACACAGGCCGTCTTAGCATGCCCATTTTACAGATGAGGAAATGGAGGCTCCAAGAGGTGAAGCAACTTGCCTGAGGTCACACAGCTAGGAAGGATTTAGAGTTTAGACTCGAACCCAAGCCAGTGGACTCCTAGTCCAGTGCTCTTCTTCTCTTACACCAGTAGGCGTGAGAACTGGCCCTGGCCTGGTGGTTCAGGGAGGATGGAGGCGGGGGTGGGGGTAGATGGTGGGTGCTGGCTCATTCTCAGAAGGCTTCCTGGGGGAGGTGGCTGGTTCAAGTTGGGTCTTGAAGCCTTTCCATGGGGGTGGGGTCAGTGGGGGTCTCACCAGTGCTCCTCATTCCCGCAGGTATGGCCTCCTCCCGTCTGGCTCCCTGCGTCTGGCCCAGGTGCAGGTGGGTGACAGCGGCCACTACGAGTGCACAGCCAGTAACCCCGCCGGGTCCGCCTCCCATCGCTACGTCCTTGGGGTGCAAGGTAGGACCAGCTGGCAGCCCCAGTCCCTCCCTGTCCCCCATCACCCTGCCTGTCTCTCAGGTCTCTCAGTGCCCCTCCTGCAGCCCACGCCCAGGTCTGTCAGGCTCTGTCACCTCTCCCTCCGTGCGCCTCTGCCACCTCCTTTTGCCACCCCCACTTCCTGTCTCTCTCAGGCCTGTCTCTCCTCCTCCACCCTTTCTCTCCACCTCTCCCCATACCCCTTGAGGGGTCCTGGAGACGCTGTTCAGAGGCCCCCAACAACACAGGGCAGAGCACAGTGGGGACTTGGGTTTGGGAGGACAGGGGTCAGAGGGGAACCCATGAAGGTGGGTCTGAGAGGGTCTCTGCCTGGTACGCGAGGCCCAGCTGGGAGCCCAGGGTGTGGCGATGGGAAGAGGCCTGTGAGGTGCCACAGAGCCCCTCCTGCTGGGAGCATCTTAATGCCCCCAAGAGGCCCTTCTGAGCCCCTGCTCCCACCACTGCCATCAACAAGGCACTTTGTGCACCTATAACAGTGGGTGCCGCTCTCTCTCCATGTATCCCTTCCTCTAGTCCAAGGCCCCTACGTACCCCACTGTGCCTCTGATTCCCAGCCTGGTGGGGGGTCCCAGGAGTGGGTGTTCCCCTGGGGCTCATTCAAAGGGAGCCAGCCAGTGGGAGTCATACACTGAAAAGGGAGGGCGCTCGTCATCCGAAAGAACCCTGAGAGGCATCCAAGACAGGCCCAACTATGGCCCAAGGGCCCAATCTGCCCTCCTGTTTTCAGAGATCATGAGCCAGTGAAGAATGGCTTCCACTTTTTAAAATAATTGGACAAGCACAAAAAACCAACTAAATAATATTTTGTGATATTTCAAATTTATCTGAAATTCAAATTTCAGTGTTGGCCAGACGTAGTGGCTCATGCCTGTAATACCAGTACTTTGGGAGGCCTAGGTGGGAGGATGGCTTGGGCCCAGAAGTTCGAGACCAGCCTGGGCAGCATAGCAAGACCCCATCTCTACAAAAAATAAAAAATTAACCACTTGCAATGGTCCGCACCTGTAGTCCCAGCTACTCAGGAGGCTGAGGTGGGAAGATAGCTTGAGCCCAGGAGGTCGAGGCTGCAGTGACCTGTGATCGTGCCACTGTACTCCAGCCTGGGCAACAGTGCGAGACCCTGTCTCAAACAAAACAAAACAAAAATTCAGTGTTTATAAATACAAGTTTTATTGGAACACGCCCACGCATGTTTATCTATGTGCTGCCTGTGGCTGCTTTACCCTCTGACGGCAGAGGTGAGAAGTGGAGGGAGCCTGCCTGGCCTCACAGCCCAGCATCCTGACCACCTGACTCTTTACGGAAAAAATGTGCTGCCCCGGATCTAAGCTCACACCCCATTTTACAGGTGGACAAGCTGAGGCCCAGAGTGGGAAGGGGCTCCAGGGTTCCCATGGGTTTGCCTGGGGGTGTGAGAGAGACACAGGAACAGGGAGGCAGTGTAATAAGCAGGGCCTCAACGTTGACAGAGCTGGGTTTGAGTCCTGACTGTGCTGCTGACTGGCTGTGTGACCTTAGGCCAGTCACTTGGCCTCTCTGAGCTTTGCTTTCCTCCTCTATAAAGTGAGGCCACAATAAAGCCCATCCCATTGTGGGCATTGAATGCTCAGAACAATGGAAGCTGTTATTGTTTTCAGCGGTTGTGTGTGAGAGAGATTGACAGATGGGCGGGGCATCCACGCTCTCTGTGCTCCTGGGCACCCAGGCCCTGGGCTAAGGGGTTGGTCTCCACCCAAGGGCCAGGATCCCATGGGTGGTTTTATATCCAGGCTCCTTCTCAGAAGCTGCGTAGGGGGTGGGTGCACCTCAGTGTCCCTCGAGGGTCCAGGACACTTGTCCCAGTGTCCCATGCAGTGCCTGGAGCAAGGTGGCCCCTGGGCTCTGAGAAGTCTTTTGTGCCCACCCAGTTTGGCCCCGCAGGGGCCTGGACCCTTGGACACTCAGACCCAGGGTTGGTGCCAGCTCCTATCCCCTGAGGGAGGGGGGCGACTCTGGCCAAGTCATATAACCTTTCTGAGACTCAGTTTCCCCCTCTGCAAAATGCGGAGGCATGGATGGCATCACTTGCCATGTAGGAAGGACCGAGTGAGATGGAGGATGAGAAAGTGACTTGAAACCACAAATGTGAAAGAACGGGAAGCCACAGCCAGGGGGAGGGAAGGACGGGGCAGCGGTGATGCCCAGCTGGAGTGACTGCAGCCACAGCATGCCAGCCACCGGGCTCTATGCTGGCTGCTTTAGTGCCGCACCTCATTTCATCCCGCAGGGCGGGAGGGGTTGTGATGAGGGGGAACTGAGGCTCTGGCTGGAGCAGGGTCCCTTGGCTATAAGGAGCTGAACCAGGATTGGAGCCACCTCCGCACATGCTGCCTCCGAACCTTGCTTAGCCATTATAAGTCGACCCCTCTGCCTTGCCTCAGTTTCCCCTGTGCACTGAGCTGGATGAATCCCAAGTGGCGCTTTTTTTTTTTTTTTCTTAGACGGAGCCTCCCTCTGTCACACAGGCTGGAGTGCAGTGGCACAATCTCAGCTCACTGTAACCTCCGCCTCCCGGGTTCAAGCAATTCTCGTGCTTCAGCCTCCGAGTAGTTGGGATTACAGGTGCGCGCCACCACGCCCAGCTAATTTTTGTATTTTTAGTAGAGATGGGTTTCGCCATGTTGGCTGGGCTGGTCTCAAACGCCTGACATCAGGCAATCTGCCCACCTCGGCCTCCCACAGTTCTGAGATTACAGGCGTGAGCCACCGCTCCCAGCCCCGAGTGGCGCTTCTTAAATGATGTCAGGCACATTGGCGAGGGCAGAGGGATATACAAGCTCAGCCCTAAGGGTTGAGTCTTTCAGGAGTGCGTGTGTTCAGGTGAAAGACCGGAGCTCACTCACTTTGGGGGAGTCCACGTGAGGTGTCCCAACGTCTTTTCCTGCCAGCCTTTGATTGTGCTCCATGACAATTTTGCTGGTTGGTGACATCTGAGATGTGGCTTGGGCCTGGGTTCTGGGACCCTCTCGCCTGGGTCCCCCAACCTTGATACCCCTCCTGTGGCCCCTCAGTCCCCCCTCAGGTGCAGCCAGGCCCTCGGGTTCTGAAGGTGCTGGTGGGAGAAGCCCTGGATCTGAACTGTGTGGCTGAGGGCAACCCAGAGCCCCAGCTGAGCTGGTCCAAGGATGGCGTGGTGTTGCAGGGCCGGGGGCCTCAGGGCTCCGTCCACTTCGCAGCCATCAGAACCTCTGATGCCGGGAGGTACCGCTGTGAAGCCTCCAACAGCGCCGGGGTGGATGCCTGGGAGGTGGAGCTCAGGGTGCTGGGTGAGTCTCCCTGGCCCCAGAACCTGCTTCTCCCCAGCTCTCCCAGCCACAGCCTGGATTTGGGAGGTGCTCGTCTCTGTTCCGGGCTCTGTGCCTGCCCGTTCCCTTCCTTCGTGGGACAGATAGAGCCCTGGCCCTTTCTGGGACCTTCCAGCCCCACAGCTTTGGGGCTATCCTGTGTCCAGGAGCCTTTGTCAGTCCTTGGGTATGGACCAGGTGGTCCTCAGAGCTCCCAGCAGGGATTCCCTGTACTCCTTACCCTTGGGTGGTGACCTGTGGGGCCCCTGAGTACCTGGGTGGACAGAGGCACCTGGAGCAGTAACCAGGGAGTGGCACTGGACCCAGGGCCATCCAGACAACCATAGGCCAGTCACCTACACTCTCTGACCCCGGTTTTCTCACCTGCAAAGTGGGTCCAATAGTATGTGGGGGGTCCATGTGAGAGAGTGTGTGAAGCACCTGGCGCATAGAAAGTTCTGGATCAGTGGTGCTAGCAGTTTCACTATTAGGAATTTAAAACAAGCTTGGGGCTGAGTGCAGTGGCTCATGCCTGTAATCCCAGCAATTTGGGAGGCCGAGGTGGGTGGATCGCTTGAGCCCAGGAGTTCGAGACCAGTCTGGCCAACATAGTGAAACCCCATCTCTTAAAATAAATAAATAAATAAATAAATAAATAAATAAATAAATAAATAAATAAAAGCTTGGAAAGCCACTGCTGAGAGGGACCACTCATGGCCCCTTGTGTCTGAGGGTACAGCTCAGCCTCCCCAGCATGTGGGGCTCGGCCCTGGTGGCTGCACCATGGGGCCTCCCTGCAGGGTGAGCCAGTACCCCTGGCCCTGACTGGACTTGCCAGGAGGCTAGGGGCTGGGATTCTAGAAGGGGACACCCTCCCCATTGGCCCTGGGTTCCTTGGAGGCAGGGGTTGAGGGGTGCCAGGCTTTGGGCCCGAGGTAGGAGTGTGGCCATGTTGCCTCCCTACAGAGCCACCACACTGGGGGGCTGATGAGACCAGCGGCCTGCTGGAGCGAGTGGCCGGAGAGAATGCCAGCCTGCCGTGCCCTGCCAGAGGTGAAGCTGCGTCTGGGGAGGGACTGGGGAGGTGGGGTGGGCTGGCTTGGGAGGCGTCCCCACTCATGTTCCAGTGCCCTGGGTTGCACGTGGCAGGCCCACGGGGCACATGCTCCTTGTCAGCAGCATGCCAGGTGGTTCATCCCATTGTCAACCCTGCAGGATGGTGTTATTGCCCCTTTTGATTAGGGGCAATCCAGGCCCAAGGGGGTTAAGTGACTTGCCTGAAGTCACACAGCCAGGATGTGACTCAGAATGTGGACAAGTGTGACCCCTGCCCTGCCCCCCTGTGCCCATCAGCATCTGGGGGTGTGATCGCCAGGGCTGAGGCAGCCCGGGGTCCTTGTGGGTTGGGGCTTCGTGGTCAGCCCGCCTCTCCCCATGCCCCTGACTTTCCCACAGAGGATGGATTCAGTGGTTCTGGCCAAAGCAGCTTTTCTGGGCTTGTCTTTGGGGCAGGAGCACGGTGTGGGGCCGATAGCCACCATGGGTCAGCTGCCCAGCGCCGAACCCTGCCCTGGCCCTTCCTGGTTTTGTAACTCAGGACAGTTTCTATCTCCTTTCGAGCATCAGTTTCCCTGTCTGTACAGCGGGGTTGTACCAGCCCCTCTGCATGGAGCTGCTGTGGGAACTCAGTGGGACCCCACGCGTGCACAGGGCTGGCATCTTAGGAGGGCTCAGGAAATGTGGTGGATGCCTGGCTTCTGCCTTTTTGTGAACCCCACGGCCCCACCCAGAAGATCCCTCCTCAGCCCCCGCCACTGCCTCAGTTGCTTCTTTCGGCGTTGGGCTCCTGCATGGCTGGGAGCACCGCCTCCCCTCTGTGGGGCTGAGGTTCTCTGGAGGGTGCTGTCTGGTGTCTGGTAGCAAGTGGCAGGTCACCAAAGCCTGACAGGAGCCTGGGGGGCGTCTCTAGTCTTGGTTGTTGCTCTGTGAGCCACAGGACGCCCTGGAAGGCCCCAGAAAAGGACTCAGGGAGAGGCAGGTAGAAGCAGGGATGGCACCCACCTAGGCAAGGGGAGGACCTGGGTGGGAGCTCTGGGAGCCCCTCTGGATCCCCAGGTGCAGAGCTGCCGACCTGCCCACCTGGCCCCCCGACCCTCCCCGACCCAGGTCCCCGGCCCTTGACTATGGCGCCACCTTGCGTTGGATTCTGCTAACAGCAAGCAGCCGTTCTGCGCTTTTGGGAGGTGGGAGACAGTGGAAGGTGGGACCCACCCAGCCCCTGACTGCCACACACAGCCCTGGTCAGTCAGGGACCAGTCCTGAGCCTGTCAGCCTCACCCAAATCCCCTCTGATAGCACTGCCTCTCCCCACCAGGCCTGCCGCCTGGGCTGCCCCGGCCTCCTTCCTGGTCAGGAGGGCCTTGTTTCACAGCCCTGTGGCCTTGGGCTCGGAGCGCTCTGAGGGCTACAGGGTTGGGACTGAGCCCAGCACCCTCATGGGGACTCCCTGGGCCCTGCAGTGACACCATCTGCCTCTTCCTCGTGGGGTGGGGTGGGGCGTGAAGGCCCAGAGCCTGGACACCCACTTGGTGGTGTGTGTGGTGTGTGGGACTCTGCACAGTGGGGAGGGGGCGGCGTGAGGGACCCTGGGCAGCAGCTGGTGCCCGGGGATCTCCTTGTCCTCCTTGTCACAGAGCTTCAGGGCCGTCCTGCACTAGAGCACTTTAGGCTGAGATTGTGGTAAACAAGGTTCCACAGCAGAAACCATCACCCCTCCCGACCTGCAGCTCGGAAGGCCTGGCCCCCGGCGTGGCGGGAAGTACAGGGGCTCTCAGGGGAAAGCTGAGGAAGATGAGAGGGGGGTGTGCATGTGTGTGAGTGTGCGAATGTGTAGTGTGTGTATGTGGTGTATGTGTCATGTGTGGGATGTGTGTGCATGTATGTGTTCTGTGTGTATGTGATGTGTGTATGTAGTATGTGGTGTGTGTGTGTGGTGTTTGGCATGTATGTTGTATAGTGTTTGGTGTGTGCATGTATGTGTTCTGTGTGTGTGTGGTCTATATATATGGTGTTTGGTGTATGTTGTGTGTGTGGTGTGCATGGTGTTTGTGTGTGGTGTATGTATGTGGTGTGTGTGGTGTGTAGTGTGTGGTGTGTATGTGGTATGTGGTGTTTGGTATGTGGGGTGTGTATGTAGTGTTTGTATGTTGTGTGTATGTGTATGGTGTTGTGTGTAGTGTGTGATGTGTGTATGGTGTTTGGTGTATATGTTTGTGTGTGGTGTGTGTATGTTGTTTGATGTGTATGTAGTGTGTGTGTATGATGTGTAGTGTGTGGTGCGTATGTGTGAATGTGTGGTGTGTGTGTGTGTATGGTGTTTTGTGTGCATGGTGTTTGTGTGTATGGTGTGTAGCATGTGATGTGTATGTGGTATGTGGTGTTTGGTGTGTGTGGTGTGTGTAGTGTTTGGTATATATGTTGTGTGTGTGGTGTGTGTATGGTGTTTGGTGTATGTGGTGTGTGTGTGTGTGTGTGGTGTTTGGCATGTATGTTGTGTGTGTGGTTTGGTGTGTGTAGTGTGTAGTGTTTGGTGTATATGTTGTATGTGTTGTGTATGTGGTGTGTATAGTTTTGGTGTGTGTGTGGTGTGTGCATGGTGTTTGGTGTGTATGTTGTGTGTGTGGTGTGTGTAGTGTGTAGTGCATGGTGTGTATGTGGTGTGTGGTATGTATTGTGTGTGGTGTGTGGTGTGTGCACAGTGTTTGGTGTGTATATTGTGTGTGGTGTGTGTATGGTGGTGTGTGTAGTGTGGTTTGTGGTATGTATTGTGTGTGGTGTGTGGTGTGTAGTGTGTATGTTGTGTGTGGTATGTGTATGGTGTGTGGTGTGTGTAGTGTATGGTGTGTACGTGGTGTGTGGTGTGTGTGTTGTTTGATATGTATGCTGTGTGTGTGTATGTTTGTGGTGTGTGGTGTGTATGTGGTATGTGTGGTATGTGTAGTGTGTGGTGTGTGTGTGCTGTGTGTGTATGTTGGTGTGTGGTGTGTGTAGTATGTGGTGTGTATGTGGTGTGTGGTGTGTATAGGGTGTGGTGTGTGTGTTGTTTGGTATGTATGTCATGTGTGGTATGTGTATGGTGTTTGGTGTGTATAGTATGTGGTGTGTGTAGTGCTTGGTGTGTATGTTTGTGTGTGGTATGTGTGTATGGTGTTTCGTGTGTGTAGTGTGGTGTGTGGTGTGTGTATCGTGTTGTGTGTGTGTGGTGTGTATCCCCACAGTGGGGAGTGGGGGTAGCAGCCCCTGGCGGTGGGACATTCTGGCCTGCATTCTGGGCAGAGGATTCCAGAGGAAAACGGGCACAGGGGGATTCAGTAAGTTGCCCAAGGACACCCAGAGCGTGGGTGGACATGGAGCAGGGCCCTGGGCCCTCCCTGTCCCTCATGCCAGCAGGGAGGGTCTCTGGCACTTTACGGTGGGCGGTCAGGGTAGGGCGGAGGGGGCAGGGCAGCCTCCTGCAGAGATGATGCCAGTGTGCCTTCCACATGCCATGTCTTCCCCGCCACCATGCTTACTGGTCCTTCCAAGGATGAAAGAGTGAGCGGCCCACAGCATAAGTGTCTACCCCTGGGCCCCCGCTGCCAGGGGCGGCCCTTTCTGATGATAATCAGTGTTAGCTACAACAGTCCTGATGACCAGCGGTAGCAGCAGAAGGCGGGTGGGAGTGACGTGCCGATCTGCAAGTGTGGGGACCCCACAGGCTCCCCTGAGTCAGCGCTGGCGGAGGTCAGGGGGCAGGTGAGAGCTAGGGCCAGGATGGCAGCAGCAGAGTGTGTGCCTGGGGCTCACGCTGCGACCTCTGGGCAGTGTGCCTCAAAGGGGTCACTTGGAGGACTGGGCTGTTAGCTTCAGCTCACATAGGACCCCCTCTGGGCAGGTTCTGTCCTTGGGGCCCGTGAATGAAAGCTCCACTCCAGCCCAGTGGGCAGCTGTTTCTGGCACACCTACTGTGTACCAGGCTGTGTGCACAGACCAACATGGGGCGTGTCCTAGAGATCAAGGGGCTGGGGGATGTGGCACTCACGGTGGGGCTGGAGGCAGGGGGGTGTGGCACTCACGGTGGGGCTGGGGGTTGTGGCTGGCAAAGTGACTGACCCAGGCTTGTGGAGGGAGGAGCAGGAGCAGGCTGAGCAGAATTGGGGCCTCCCACAGGCCCTAACCCCAGGGCACAACGCAGGGTGCTGGAGCACGGCAGGCTTGGCTCGTTCATTGATTTAGTGCCTACTGTGTGCCGGGCACTGTGCTAGAGGCTGGCGGTGGCAGCAGGGAAAAAAACAAAGAGCCTGGCCCTCGTCGGGTGGGGGACACGGAAAAGAGACAACAGAGACCTGGAGCATAGACGCGTCCTCTGATCACTGGAAAGTGGAGGACGACGGCTGAAAAGCAGGGAGGGCAGGGGCTGGGGGTGCCTGTTGGGGTGCAATTCTAAATGAGGGGACTGGGGACTTGCTGTGAAGAGAACCAGAAAACAGGCCTGCAGTCCCCGCCTTGGTCCCTCAGGGACCCTAGGAGGCTGTATGGATGGGCAGTGTGGGTAGGTGGCGGGTGTGGGGGCTCCCACGGCTCCGAGGGAAATGCTCCTTCCAGCCTCGGGGGGACGGAGGTGCCTGGAGTCATCGCTGGACCGTCAGCCCCTTTTGCACAGGAGAGACATGTGGGAGACAGTGCAGGTGTGGAGGGGAAGGTGTCAGGGTGTTTGTACTGATGACTCCATGCACCCTGCCAGGAACGCCCAAGCCGCAGGTCACATGGAGGAAGGGCCCGTCCTCGGAGCCCCTGCATGGCCAGCCAGGTGTGGCAGTGCTGGAGGAGGGGTCTCTGTTCCTGGCCTCCGTCTCACCTGCGGATAGTGGAGACTACGAGTGCCAGGCCACCAACGAGGTGGGCTCCACGTCCAGGAGAGCCAAGCTGGTGGTCTATGGTGAGCAGGGACCCAGAGCTGGGGGCAAGAGAGGAAAGCGGCAGGGACCCAGAGACGGGCCTGTCTTCCTCCCAGGACCGCATCCGGCCAGAGGCCCACAGTGAAGCCGGGGGTCTGACAGTACCACGGCGTGCCCAGGTGTGGCAGTGCCAGTTCCCCGGGGCCTGAAAGCTTCCTACACAGGAGAATCAGGTCCTGCCACCAGGTGCCAGTGACAGGGAGGGCTTGAGGGGGCTGGGAGAGTGGCAGGTTGCACTGTACACCCCACTTCCCTAGAGAGACCCCCACGGAGACAGTATGGGGGAAGCACCTGGAATTCCATCAGTGTCTTTGAGATTGGTCTAGAGGTGAAGGCATTTTAAAATGACCCCTTGGCTGGGCATGGTGGCTTGCACCTGTAATCCTAGCACTTTGGGAGGCTGAGGCAGGAGAATTGCTTGAGCCCAGGAGATCGAGACCAGTTTGGGAGAGAGAGACCCTGTCTCTACATAAAATAAACTTAAAAAATTATTTTTAAAAATGAGCACGGATGGCAGTGCAGAGCCCCAGAGCCCACCTCCGGGTTAAAACTGTTACCCCTGGTCTCTTCTCACATTCTTGTCCTCAGCAGGGAGAGCGCCCACCCCCACATCCAGGGTGCTATGTGCAGAGGAAAGGAACCCCTCCTTAACACGGGCAGTGTGGGTGGGCTGGGGAGTGGTCTCTGTCGGCAGGATGAACTGGCCCCGCTTGGGCAGTTCTACCAGCTCCTAACGCCACCTGCTGCTTCCCCAGGACCAGCTGCTCTGGCTAGCCCTGTAATGACTTGCTCAAGACATTTGTTACAAAAGCGTGGCCAGGCCTCACCTTCAGAGATTCTCACTCAGGGGGACCCTCCCTGGTCACTGTGACACCAGGTTGGGTGTAGAACCAGATGGATCTAAGGGGACTCCAGCACCTTGCAAAGCTGAGAGTCAGAAAGGGTGACACCTGGGCCTGGGCACGACTGGGGGTGTGTGGGTCCCAGGGCAAGGCTGCTGCGGCCATCTGCAGGTCCACAGGACCCTTTGTGGCTGGGCGGACGGGGACAGGCAGACCTTCTCCAACCCCAGTGACGAAGGGGAGGGAATGGCCCAGATGAGGTCCCTTCGGCTGTGGCTCTAAGGGGGCAGGGAAGCAGCTCCTCGGCTCTCCTTGCCCCCAAGTGCCCCCCAGCATCCGGGAGGACGGGCGCAAGGCCAACGTGTCGGGTATGGCCGGGCAGTCCCTGACGCTGGAGTGTGACGCGAACGGCTTTCCAGTCCCTGAGATCGTGTGGCTGAAGGACGCGCAGCTGGTGGGTGTCCCCCTAGGGTGGGCGGGGTATGGGTGGGATTTAGGCTGGGGACAGGTCTTCTGGATGGGCATTTCTGCGTGTGCCAAGGTGGGGCAGGGAGATGTGACAGGTGTCTTTGGTGGTGCTCTGGGGTTCACGGCAGTGGAGGATAGTGGTCATGTAGTGAAGCCTGGCAGGGGCTGCGTGGCAGAGAGCATGGCACCGTTCTGGCCACTGGCCACCTCTCGGGCCTCAGTTTCCTCATTACTGATGCTGGGGGTGGTGGCTGGATCCCCTCTTACTGGCTCCCTCTGGCCTCTCCTACCCAGATTCCTAAGGTGGGCGGCCACCGCCTCCTGGACGAGGGCCAGTCCCTCCACTTCCCCAGGATCCAGGAGGGTGATTCTGGGCTCTACTCCTGCCGGGCAGAGAACCAGGCTGGCACCGCCCAGAGGGACTTCCATCTCCTTGTGCTCAGTGAGTGAGACCTGAGCCCTGTAACTCCCAAGTGTGTCTGGCCCTGTAGCCCCAACTCTTGCAGGCACACCGGGGGAGAGGGTAGACTTTGCCTGCGGAGAGCAGGGGGCACAGAGGGACCCATGACAGACCCAACCCCCATCCTCACAGAGCTATCAGGCTTGGGGGACAGACATCAGACAGGTGAATAGCAAAATCATTACTGTCACAAGTGCTACCAAAGAACAGTCTGGGTGCTGAGGGCTCCAGAGCAAGCCCTTCTGGCCAGGGTTTTGGGGGGCTTCCCAGGAAGGTCAGGTAGGAGGGGGGCCCAGGCTGGGGGGTCTGCACAGACAAAGGCCCCGTGGTAGGCGGGGCTTGCAGGGTTTGAACAGTTTCCCACCCCTCACGCCTTCTCACCCCCAGCCCCTCCTTCCGTGCTTGGAGCCGGGGCCGCTCAGGAGGTGCTAGGATTGGCCGGTGCAGACGTGGAGCTGCAGTGTTGGACCTCAGGGGTCCCCACGCCCCAGGTGGAGTGGACCAAGGACAGGCAGTGAGTGCCCCCCTCCCCGAGGATGGCGTGTGGTGGTGCCCAGACTCAGCCTGCTGGATGTGGGGGTTGGGGAAGGTTGAACTCTTCTTGGGGAGCTGACAGGCATGGCATGTGCCACCCAGGGCCCAGACTGAGGGCTGTAGGGGCGCCTCCCACCCAGCAGGAGATTAGCCAGGGAGACCCCACTCTTACCTCAGCAAAGTCTTCTCATCTCTTAGCCTTTCCTTTTTTTTTTTTTTTTTTTTTTTTTTGGTGACAGGGTCTTGCTCAGTTGCTCAGGTTAGAGTGCAGTGGAACGATCTCAGCTCACTGCAGCCTCAAACTCCTGGGCTTCTTGGGCTCAAGAGATCATCCCACTTCAGCCTCCTAAATAGCTGGGACCACAGGTGTGCGCTACCAACAACGGCTAATTTTTTAAAAAATGTTTGTACAGATGGGGTCCTGCTTTGTTGCCCAGGCTGGTCTTGAACACCTGGCTTCAAGCAATCCTCCTGCCTTGGCCTCCCAAAGTGCTGAGATTACAGGCATGAGCCACCGTGCCCAGCCTCTTTTTTTAAACTCACTTTTTCTCTAAGTAAAATTCACATAATGGGCTGGGTGTGGTGGCTCACGCCTGTAATCCCAGCATTTTGGGAGGCCAAGGCGGCCAGATCACCTGAGGTCAGGAGCTATCAGCCTGCCCAACACAGCGAGACCCTGTCTCTGCTAAAAATACAAAAAAATACAAAAAAAAAAAAAAAAGAAATAGCCAGGCATGGTGGCAGGCGCCTGTAATCCCAGCTGCTTGGGAGGCTGAGGCAAGAGAATCACTTGAACCTAGGAGGTGGAGGTTGCAGTGAGCTGAGATCAAGCCACTGCACTCCAGCCTGGGTGACAGAGCAAGACTCCGTCCAAAAAAAAGTCCACGTAACATACAATTAGCCATTTTAAAGTGTACAGTGGGCCAGGTGCAGTGGCTCACGCCTGTAATCCCAGCACTTTGGGAGGCTGAGGTGGGCAGATCACGAGGTCAGGAGATCGAGACCATCCTGGCTAACACGGTGAAACCTCGTCTCTACTAAAAATACAAAAATATATATATATATATACGGGCATGGTGGCGGTAGTCTGTAGTCTCCTGTAGTCTCCGCTACTTGGGAGGCCGAGGCAGGAGAATCACTTGAGCCCGGGAGGTGGAGGTTGCAGTGAGCCATCGTACTACTGCACTCCAGCCTGGGCAATAGAGCAAGACTCAGTCTCAAGGAAAAAAAAAGGTGTGCAGTGTAGTGGCATTTAGTACATTTGCAGCATGGGGCAACTTTCACTTCTATTTAGTTCCTGACATTCCATCACCCCAAAAGGACACCCTGGACCCATCAGCAGCCAGTCGCTGTCCCCTTCTCCCCAGCCCCTGGCAACCACAAGCCTGCTTTCCTTCTCTATGGACGTGCCTGTTCTGGGTACTTCACATCACTGGCATCATAGAGTGTGTGGCCTTTTGTGTCTGGCTTCTTCCACTCGGCATATTTTCCAGGTTCATCCATACTGTGGCAAGTGTCAGAATTGCCTTCATTTTTGTGGCTGAATAATGTTCCGTGGCATGGACGGACCACACGTTGTTGATCCATTCCTCGCTTACTGGGCCTTTGCATTGCTCCCACCTCTTGGCGCTAATGAATGGCCCAGCCTCGCTTTTTACAAGCCACACACTCCCTGTGTGCAGCGTGTCCCATCCAGCCCCTCGGCCTTACTGGCGCTTTTCCCTTGCCCGTCTCTCCAGGCCTGTCCTTCCGGGAGGCCCTCACCTGCAGGTCCAGGAGGATGGCCAGGTTCTCAGGATCACCGGCAGTCACGTGGGGGATGAGGGACGATACCAGTGCGTGGCCTTCAGCCCAGCTGGTCAGCAGGCCAGGGACTTCCAGCTCCGAGTTCATGGTGAGCCCCCACGCCTTCTGGGACCCCGCCACAGGCTACTCAGGAAGCTTCCCACCCAGCTGCCCGCTGCCTTAGAGGGAGAGTGAGGGCTGAAATGGGGGACCTGGTGAGTGATCCCTGAGTCCAAGAAAGCTGGGGGCTGGGGTCGGGGTTGGGGTCAGGGTCAGGGGATAGAGGTTATCTGGCCCAGCATTTTCCAAATCCGTGGTTTCCATCCCAGCTCTAAAAATTTACTACTTATGTTTTTTTTTTGAGATGAATTCTCTCTCTGTTGCCTAGGCTGGAGCGCAGTGGCACCATCTTGGCTCACTGCAACCTCCCCCTCCCAGATTCAAGTGATTCTCTTGCCTCAGCCTCCCGAGTAGCTGGGATTACAGGTGCCCACCACCACACCCAGTTCATTTTTGTATTTTTAGTAGAGGTGGGGTTTCACCATGTTGGCCAGGCTGGCCTTGAACTCCTGACCTCAAGTGATCCTCCTGCCTTGGCCTCCCAAAGTGCTGGGATTACAGGCGTGAGTCACTGTACCTGGCCCAAATTTACTACTTCTGATACCACTTGGAATTATGATTTACTTTTCTTTAAATGAGTCACACTTCCTTACACTGAAACACATTTATTTAAATATCCCTTATTCTTATAAAGGATATTTAATATCGAAACTGTAAGCAGAAAACCAGTTTCGCTTGGCTAAGGAAGCTGAAAAAACAAACACACCCCATAGAGCAATGTTGTAAATTCTCGAGGCGTGGACTCCGCAGAGGGCACCCAGCCTGCATCTGCACTCTCTGTGCTAAAAAGCGGAGAGTAGAAAGTGCTAGAAAGGTTAGGGACATGCATAGTAGCACCAAACGGAGCCTTTCCTTGCTGTAACCCGGATAGAAGGAGATTTGGGAGGGGCGTAACCATTCCATTCTGAGATGCAGTTATTTCATGCTGTGCCCATGTGCCCCTAGCATTGTCCTGGGTAGCATCGGTGGTGAGTGACCAGCCCTGTGTGAAGTCCTCATCTAGTCCAGCCTCTCATTTCACAGATGGGGAGACTGAGGCCCAGAGAGGGGAAGTGGCTCACCCCTGGTCTTCCAGTATGTTAGAGCAGAGCAGGGCCCAGAATCCAAGCCTGTGGCCCCGCCCCCACCTCCTGCACCTTCCACACCAGCATGTCCCCATGCTGGCCTCTCCCATCTGTCCCCAGACCCCTCCCCTCCTTGTCCACCATGCCTTCCCTGCCCCCGCAATGGAAGCCTGTGGTGTGTCTTGTGGCCCAAAGGCATGAGTCTGCTGCCCTGGGGAAGATGCCAGAGGCCTCAGCGGCTGCCTGTGACCAGCCCCACCTCTTTCCTTCTCAGCGCCCCCCACTATCTGGGGCTCCAACGAGACAGGCGAGGTGGCCGTCATGGAGGACCACCTAGTGCAGCTCCTGTGTGAGGCTCGAGGAGTGCCCACCCCAAACATCACCTGGTTCAAGGACGGGGCCCTGCTCCCCACCAGCACCAAGGTGGTCTACACTAGGGGCGGTCGGCAGTTGCAGCTGGGGAGGGCCCAGAGCTCCGATGCCGGCGTCTACACCTGCAAGGCCAGCAATGCTGTGGGGGCCGCAGAGAAGGCCACCAGGCTGGATGTTTATGGTGAGCAGCCAGGGGCCACGGCAGCCGGGGTGGGCAGTGGGAGGGACTCAGCCATGGTGGCCCCTGCCTGTCTCCAAAGGAAGGCTAGGTGGCCACTTGGAGTGGTCAGAGGCAAAAGGATAATGGGACCAAGACATTATCTAGGGAGAAGGGTCCTCCCAGCTTATGTGACTTCCCTCATACCTGTAAGGAAACTGAGGCCAGGAGTGGAAGGGCCTGTCTAGGAGGCCATGGCGGAGCTAAGTGTAGAATCCAGGTCTCCCCTCATGGTGTGGGGCTTTTCACTAAACCATGCCCAGAACCCTGTGACCACCACAATAATTAACTGCCCTCAGCTCATCACTTCTGTAAGCTAGACCAGAGGGGCACTTTGCAGCATCAGCTCATTTGATCAGCTGGCAAAGGGACTTGAGCTCTCATGTCCCCAGTTACAGATGGTCGCAGTGAAGCTCTGGAGCAGAGAGGTTTCCCCAGGTTCACACCCCTAGGAGGTGGTGGAACCCGGTCCTTACGCGGGCAGATCTGACTCCAGACCTCATGCTGTGAACCTCAGCATCAGCTCAGCCCTGAGGGGCTTGGCTCTGGGGACTTTTGAAGGAGAACTCAGAGGAAAGGGTGTCGGTGGCTCTGGATGGGTCTGAGCAGGGCCCCGGTGAAGTGTGAGAGGGCAGCGTGCAAGCTGATAGGGGTCAGCCTGGCCCCCCGTGGGGAGTCACTTTGGGAGCTCTGGCTTCCAAAGATGCAAAGGGCTTGGGTACTGGAACCTCAAAGGGCAGCTGAGCTGCATGGGCTCCACGGCAGCCTCTGAAGATGGCCCCGCCGCTAGCTCAGGGAGTCTTATTTTGGGACCCGAGGTCCCCCAGGAAATGAAATAGAAAATGTGTATGTGTATGTTTTCATTAAATTTTCAAAGCGTCTTACACCCAAATAAGGTTAAGAAGCATCTCCCAGGCCACGGTTGCCCCTTGTGCCCTGGTAATGGCTTCATCAGCTCAGCAACTTGAGGGTCTCCTTGAGGGTAGGAGAGAAATTTCCCCTTTGGCGTGGCCACCATGGGCTCCAAGCATAGTTAACATCTGGTCCCCTTGGCCATCGCTGGCTAAGTTAGGAGCCCCCCAATCCAAGCCATCTGGGCTCAGGTCTGCCCCAGTCTTCTGCCTCCTGAGACCAGGGAGGGAGGGGACTTCCAGGAGCAGAGCTCTGTCCCGGCCCTGGGGGTCTTATTTGAGTCCAGCAGACACTGGACCTGCTGTGTATAGGCACTGGGGATGCAAGTAGGCCGGCCGTCTTTCCACTCATGCTGGGCTTGCCGGGGTAGCAGCGGGGATGGAGAGGCAACAGTCAGCACCCAGGGGTGGGGTGGCGCGCCCAGGGGCTGAGGAGGGTGAGAATGCTGCCCCGGGGTCTGAGCAAGGGGTTCAGCCACTGGAGGTGAGGGAAGGAAGTGTTTCACATGGAGTGGGGTCGGTGAGGGGCTTCAGCGGGCCTGTTGGGCTGAGATGAGAGCAGGCTAGCGTCCAGCTGTGGTCCCCAAGCCGCCCCCTGCCTCTTTTCCAGTCCCACCTACCATCGAGGGCGCCGGTGGAAGACCATACGTGGTGAAGGCTGTGGCTGGGAGGCCTGTGGCGCTGGAGTGCGTGGCCAGAGGCCACCCGTCCCCCACCCTCTCCTGGCACCACGAGGGGCTGCCCGTGGCAGAGAGCAACGAGTCGCGGCTGGAGACAGACGGGAGTGTGCTGAGGCTGGAGAGCCCGGGGGAGGCATCCAGTGGCCTGTACAGCTGTGTGGCCAGCAGTCCTGCCGGGGAAGCCGTCCTGCAGTACTCCGTGGAGGTTCAGGGTGAGCCCGGCCCACCCCACTCAGAGCTGCCTGGGCTGTGGACGTCTGCCCAGGCCTGCTGCGTGCTTGTCCCGAGAGAGCTCCTGGAGTGGAGGGAGGGTGGGGAGAAGTAACCAGTGTCCCCACATTGCATGACACAGATGAGGACGCTGAGGCCTGGGCTGTGGGGCCGGCAGGGCTAGGAGTGGGCAGGGTGGAGCCCCAGGATCAAGGGTCCCTGACTGTGCCCAGGACCCTGGGCTGGGTCACCCAGGACAGAGGACCTCGTTCTGCCTTCTGCCAATGGAATGGCCCTTTACGGAGACTTTCCTAAGGCCGGCTTGTGGGTATGGTCCCAGCAGGGCGGGTGGGGCCTTCGCCTGCTCTTCCATCCATTGCTGAAGCATCTCAGGTCCTAGTGCTGTGTTGACCCCAAGCGGCACTGGAAATGAAGCTGGGAACAAGGCCAACCGGACTCCTGAGCCCTCAGTCTGCCAGGGAGGCAGATGTTAAATAATTAGGCCCAAGCCTTTGGGGAGCCCGGGGTGTCCCCTTACCCGCCTTGGGTGGCCCTGGAAGGCCTCCTGGAGGAAGGGCCACTGATAGGGAGACGTGAGGGTGAGGTGCAGCTGGGCCTCGCTTGGAAGGCTCTGGGGACTTGGGAGGGTTTGAGGCCAGTGGCTGCTCAGCTCCAAACACCCAGGAGTGTGTTCTGCCTGCAGTGCCCCCACAGCTCCTGGTGGCTGAAGGCTTGGGACAGGTGACCACCATCGTGGGACAGCCCCTGGAACTTCCCTGCCAGGCCTCAGGCTCCCCAGTACCCACTATCCAGTGAGTCTGGGGTGGTGGAGGCCAGGGCTGGGGGTAGGCAGAGAGCGTGTGCTTTGCGGATTGTGGGGGGAAGTGGACAGGAGAGAGGCTTCCTGTTTCCAGGAGTAGGAAAGAGGCCTGGAGCCACGGCTGGTGAGAGCAGGTGGGAGGAACTTCTAGGTTTCCTGCTTGTCCTGCCTGGCCTGGCCTTCCCTGGTCTCAGGTTGACACGCCCCCCTCCCTACTCACCTTAGGTGGCTGCAGAATGGCCGCCCAGCCGAGGAGCTGGCTGGGGTGCAGGTGGCCTCGCAGGGGACCACACTGCACATTGACCATGTGGAGCTGGACCACTCAGGCCTCTTCGCCTGCCAGGCCACCAATGAGGCGGGCACTGCCGGGGCCGAGGTGGAGGTGTCTGTGCATGGTGAGTGGGCGCCTGGGGTTCTGGAGCTGTGGGCAGCCTGAGATGCCAGGGGTGGGTGGAGCCTGGGCTGTGGCAGGCCTGGAAGGGCACGGGGCTGGTCTTTGCTGGATGGCGTTTCTGGGCTGGACTTCCCAGTTCCCCACAGAGACGCAGGTGTGAGAGGCTGGCCGGGCCACTTATCACACTTATCCTCAGTCCTGACCAGCCCCTAGGCCTCACTCCTCTCCCCAGCTTCCTCTCTGTCCATCTGCTGAACTTCACTTAGTTCTTTTAATATATCAACCCTCTTTCTCTTGTCTTCGTCTACGTTTGCTGTTCCTTCTGCCCAGAACTTTCTCCCTCCTCTTTGCCTGCCTAGCTCCTTATCTTTCAGGCATATCCTGAAATACTTTTCCTCCAGGAAGCCTTCCTTGATTCTACCATGTTTCTCATCTGCACTGCCCAGCCTCTCAATGCCTTAGCCCTCCAACAACTACATTGGGATTGCTTATTTGGTTGTCCATCTCCACTGTCCACCTCTGTGAGCTTTGAGAGGGCAACATGGTAGCTGCCTTTCCCTGACTGTGTCCAGGGGCCCAGTATAGTTCTGGCCACAGAGTAGATGCTCAGCACACATAAGGATGCATGGATAGATCAGTGGGTGGGTGGATGGATGGGTGGGTGGATGAATGGGTTGGTGGATGAATGAGTGGACAGATAGAAGGGTGGATGGATGGATGGATGGAAAGGTGGAGGGATGGGTAGATAGATGGAAGCATGGGTGGATAGAAGGGTGGATGAATGGGTGGACAGATAGAAGGGAGGATGGATGGATGGATGGATGGATGGATGGATGGATGGAAAGGTGGATGGATGGGTAGATAGATGGAAGCATGGGTGGATAGAAGGGTGGATGGATGGGTAAATGGATAGATGGGTAAATGGATGGATGGGTGGATGGATGGATGGAAGGGCGGGTAGATGGATGAATGGGTGGGTGGGTGGATGGATGGAAGGGTGGGTAGATGGATGAATGGGTGGGTGGGTGGATGGATGAATGAGTGGGTAGATGGATGCATGGGTGGGTGGGTGGATGGATGAGTGGATGAATGGGGGAGTGGATGGAAGAGTGGGTAGATGGATGGATGGGTGGATGGATGGATGGAGGGATGGATGGATGGATGGAAGGGTGAGTGGATGGATGAGTGGATTGATGGATGGGTGGGTGGATGGATGGAAGGGTGAGTGGGTGGATGGCTAGCTGGATGGATTGGTAGATGATGGATGGGTGGGTGGATGGATGGAAGGATGGATAGACAGAAGGATAGGTAGATGAATAAATGCATGAATAGATGCATGGGTGCACAGATGGTTGGGAGAATTTTTAAAGAGAATAACTTCTCTGCTGGCTCCCAGTCTAGAGCTCTTTCCCCTAAGCCATGCGTCTAGGGGATATGGTGGGCAGAAGCTAGATGCTAGCCTTTGGCCAGCCCTTCAAGGGCACCTTCTCACCCCCAGGCATCGAGGGGGTTGCTGGGTGCCCACTGTACTCCTCCTGATTCTGACTCGGGCTCTTCCTGACTCTTTCCCTTCCCAGAGTTCCCATCGGTCAGTATCATTGGGGGTGAGAACATCACAGCTCCTTTCCTGCAGCCTGTGACCCTCCAGTGCATAGGGGATGGGGTGCCCACCCCAAGCCTCCGTTGGTGGAAGGATGGTGTAGCCCTGGCAGCCTTTGGGGGGAACCTACAGGTATGTGCAGGGGCCCCAGGGCTGGCAAGCCAGCTGGGCACAGGTGGAGGGGCTGCTCTGGGGGCTTCCTGGAGACTCTGAGCAAATCCCAGCAGGCTGGGCATAGGAAGGGCCCAGAGCCCTCTCAGCCTGAAAGGGTGAGCCTCAGCCTCTTCCGGGTCCTAGGAGCTTCAGTTGTCAGAGGGAGAAAATGTCAGTGGGGGGGACAGGGAATGGTATGCCTGGAGATCGGACGAATCCCTGGAATCCAAGTGCTTGGCTCATAACTCTACCTCCAGAGCCAAAAGTGTCCCCATGCCTCACTGCTCCTGCCCCCGGGCTCGGCAGCAGCCTGGCCACTCGCCATGTCCCGTCATCACTTGGACAGCCCTGTGGCATACTCTCTGCCCCCTCCCCTCCAGATTGAGAAGGTGGACCTGAGGGACGAGGGCATCTACACTTGTGCTGCTACCAACCTGGCTGGGGAGAGCAAGAGGGAAGTGGCGCTGAAAGTTTTGGGTGAGGACGTGGGTAACCAGCAGGGCCCAGGCCAGCATGTTGGGTGATCCCTTGGGGACCCTTGGGGCTGAAGTGTGTGGCGAGGGAGGGGGAGGAGGTTTTTCAGTCATAGTTGTGCACTTAACTTCAGAGGAAGTAGAAAGCCCTGAAATGAAAGTGTTAGCAATAGCTGTGTAGTCCCTTTTGGCGGGATTTTTTTTTTTTTGAGATGGAGTCTCGCTCTGTCGCCCAGGCTGGAGTGCAGTGGCACTATCTCGGCTCACCGCAAGCTCCGCCTGCCGGGTTCACGCCATTCTCCTGCCTCAGCCTCCCGAGCAGCTGGGGCTACAGGCACCCACCACCACGTCTGGCTAATTTTTTTGTATTTTTAGTAGCGACGGGGTTTCACCGTGTTGGCCAGGATGGTCTCGATCTCCTGACCTCGTGATCCGCCCGCCTCGGCCTCCCAAAGTGCTGGGATCACAGGCGTGAGCCACGGTGGGATTTTTAGTGGAAGACCTTGCCCACATTCATATTTACGTTTGCTTATTTTGGGGGTTTATTTGCAGGGAAATCCTCGTCCTTGTCCCTTCCCCTGGCTGTGCTGGCGTCGGCTGTCCTGGGGTGGGGGCTGGGTGCTGTATGATTGCCGTAAGGATGGCAGCCTGTTGCTCTTTGTTCTTGGGCTTGCTTCCAGGAGTGAGGTTGCTTAGTCTGAGGACATGAGCTGTTTTAGAGCCCTTAGTCTAGGATTTTCTATGGGGAGCAGGGAGCAGCACTGCTGGGATGGCTGGGATTAGAGCTGCCCAGAGCTTGCACCTACCAAGCTGGGTCTCTCCTTGTCTCCCCCTAGTGCCCCCCAACATCGAGCCAGGCCCAGTCAACAAGGCAGTGCTGGAAAATGCCTCAGTGACCTTGGAGTGTCTGGCTTCGGGCGTGCCCCCTCCTGGTAAGACCCCTCCTCTTGGCTGAAAGCTACTTCCAGCCCAATTTACTGTCTAATGAGGCTGGCGAGTGACCCAGGGACTCTCTGATTGGACATAATGGGGAGAAATCATCAGGTCTTTCCCCCCCGTTTCTCTCATGTTCCTCTCTTCCTCTTCAACAATGTCCTTCGGGCCAAGGCCATGTTAGGGTCCAGAGCCAGTGTGAAACAGGCCTGCAGGACATCTACTCACAGTAAGCTTCACAGGGCTGTCCGGGGCTAGGGGCGAGGATCAGGACCTCAGAGTCACCATCTGGTCTGTAGGGTCCTCCCCTCTAGACCAGAAGTGGAGGAAAGGGCCGGGAGCTGGGGGCTGGGTGTGGGTGTTTGCATAGGGGACTGGGTGAGGCTTACGGTGGCCCAGGAGGAAGGCCTCTCTCCTGCTCCCATCTGAACTAGGCCCACCCTGCTTTGCTTGTTGCCTGTGAGCCCTGGGGATATTTGCCCCCTCTCGTGGGGATGCCTGCTGAGTTCCGGGGACATGTCCCGGCAGGATGCAGGGAAGCTGCAGATACACGCGGTCCAGCCTGGCTTTGAGGCTGCTGCTTTGGGCTGGTCCATGTTCTCTAATGCCCCCTAGGGGACGGGGTCTTCTGGTAGGGGGAGGGCAGGGCTGAGTTTGACTCTCTCTGCTCCTGGCTGCCTCAGCCTCTGCCCACGGGGCTTCTTCTCCACCCTTGGTCCTGTCTTGGGCAACATTGCCCGGTTCCATCCCGGTTCCCTTTCCTGAATGAAGAACTCTGACCTTCTCCAATGCCTGAAAAAATAGTGTGGTCACCCTGGAAGTTTCTCTTGGGTGCCCACCACACCAGCAGAGTCTGACGGGCTGGCAGCACCCTTGCTTCTCTCTTCCATTCCCCCTTGCATCTCTCTTCCTTTCCCCCTTGCATCTCTCTTCCTTTCCCCCTTACTTCTCTCTTCCATTCCCCCTTGCTTCTCTCTTCCTTTCCCCCTTGCATCTCTCTTCCTTTCCCCAGATGTCTCCTGGTTCAAGGGCCACCAACCTGTCTCTTCATGGATGGGAGTGACAGTATCAGTGGATGGGAGAGTTCTCCGCATTGAGCAAGCCCAGCTTTCTGATGCTGGGAGCTACCGCTGTGTGGCATCCAATGTGGCAGGTAGCACAGAGCTGCGGTATGGCCTACGGGTCAATGGTGAGCTTCCCTGGGCCTACAAGGTCCCTTGTCCAAAAAGTTGTCTTTTCATTCATTTGTCTATTAGTCTGTCCATCCACCTGTCCACTCATCCATCCATCTACCACCCCATCCATCCGTTACCCCATCCATCCATCATCCATCCAACCATCCATCCATCCATCCATCCATCCATCCATCCATCCCACCCATCCATCCACCCATCCACCCCTCCATCCATCCACCCATCCACTCATCCACCTATCCACCCATCCATCCATCAACTCATCTATCCATCCATCCATCCATCCATCTCTCATCCATCCATTTATCCACCCAACCATCCTTTCATTCATTTATCTACCCACCTGTCTGCCCACCCATCCACCTGCCCATTTGTCTACCTGTCCACCCTCCCATCCACCCACCCATCTATCCATCCATCCATCTACTACCCATCTACCCATTCACCATCCATTCAGTCATTCAACTACCCATTCTTTCCTTGATCCATTTTCTATCCAACCACACTTATTGAGTCCATGCTCTGGGGCGGAGACTGGACCTAGAGCCCTAGATAAGACAGACCTAGGAGCTTTCAGTGTAGTGGAGGACACAGCAATCAGATCATTCCCCAGAGTACTACTTGATGTCAATTGTGATAGCAGCTGGTGAACATGAGGTGCAACGGAGCACCTATAACAGGGCACTGACTTGGCCTGTGGAGTCCAGGAGGCATCTTTGACACTTGGATACCTACACTGAGGTCTCTGCCAAGGCCTGAGGTTATGAAGATCTGGGGAATTTGAGAAACTGAAAGGAGGCCACGGGGCCTGGGATTTACAACACTGAGAAGAGGGCCAGGATGGTGCTGGTGGCCATATGGAGGCTGGACCTCTTGGGCCTCATGGGCCATGGGAGAGGTTGGTTCTAAGAGCAGTGGGTAGCTGGGCAGAGGCCTGGGACCCTGGGCATCATGGCTGGTGCCTCCCAGATACAATGGAATCTTCTGGCTATTTTCTGCCAAAAGGGGACTGCCTGTAATATGGTATTTCATCTCACACCCCTGAGTTAGGAAGTAGCACTGTCCAGGGACCCTTGGTCCCCTCCCCATCCCCATAATAAATGACCTTCTGCTGACCAGAGGCCTGAGTGCGAGTGCTGCTTCCTGGGTGGTCAGCCTTGGGCAGGTGACTTCCCCTCTGTCAGCCTCAGTTTCCCATCTATAGAAGCCTCATGGTGGTGTTGAAAGGATGGAAGTAGCAGCCTTGGGGGCAGTGGAGTGGCTCAGAGCCCGTGTCTGGATGGCTGTCCTTGTGCTTTTGCTGTGGCTGTGTGCTCCTGCAGGGGTGCCCAGCCAGGGGCCCTGCCTGCTTTGCCCCAGTGGGGCTCAGCCTGTACCCCATGTCACCCCTGCCCTGCAGTGCCCCCTCGAATCACACTGCCACCCAGCCTGCCAGGCCCTGTGTTGGTCAACACCCCTGTCCGGCTGACCTGCAATGCCACCGGTGCCCCCAGCCCCACACTGATGTGGCTGAAGGATGGAAACCCTGTGTCCCCTGCAGGGACCCCTGGCCTGCAGGTCAGTAGGGCTGGGTGGCCCCGGCTCAACCTCCCTGCACCTCCCGTAGATGCTGGGAACAGAGGTCAGGCCCTGGGAACTTAGGGTGAGGGAGAAGCAGCGATAGCCCAGGGCCGAGGGCTAGAGGGAGGTGGGACTGAACAGAGAGGCTGGAGCCACACTGCCCAATGGTAACGATACATTCCATGAACATGAACCACCTACATCATTGTAAATGTTCTTGTGGCCACAGTAAACTGAGTAAAAAGAAACAGGTGAGATCAATGTTAATAATACACGTTAGTTAATCCAATATATCCAAAATAGCTTCATTTCATCATGGGATCAATACAAAATAATTATTGAGATATTTTATATTCTTCTTTTCATATTAACTCTTTGAAGTCCGTGGCATATTTTGTACCTGGGGCCTCTCTCAATTTGGCCTGGCCACATTTCAAGGGCTCACTGGCCATGTGTGGCGAGTGGACAGAGGGGCTCTAGAGGACTCTTCCTGAGGTCCAGTGTCATTGCCAGCTGGCAGAGGTCCGGAGGCCCAGATGCAACCCTGGGTTTCCCTGCATCATGAGGGGCTCTGAGTCTGGGGCAGGCTGTCCAGGCGTGCTCGGCAGCAAGGCCGGCTTGGGCAGGTGGGGTTCTGCCCCTTGGGGCCTGCAACAGCAGGACAGTTGCCTAATTTGGGCTTCCCCCTGGGGTCACAGGTCTTCCCTGGGGGCCGGGTCCTCACCTTGGCTAGTGCCCGGGCCTCCGACTCTGGGAGGTACTCCTGCGTGGCTGTGAGCGCGGTGGGCGAGGACCGCCAGGATGTTGTCCTGCAAGTCCACAGTGAGTCTCAGACTGGGAAAGCCATGTGGTTCAGAGCAGCGGGGGAGATGGGGTGGGGGGCATTCCCAGTCACTTCCAAAAGGAGAGAGGCTGGGTGGATGGAGGAGTGTCCACCTGAGAACAGCTGCCTTCCAGTAGGAATCAGTGAGATCCAGAGACCTGCCCTAGAGTATGAGCTCCCGCAATGGGTGGGAGGGTGGGCAGGTGGCCCCGCATAGCCAGGAGCTCTGCCCCATGTTCAGGGAGACGCGGAAGGGGTGTGAAGTAGCAGGAACAGCGTGGAGTGGTGGTTAGGAAAGCCGGCTCTTGAGTGTCACCGACATGGGGTTCAAACCCTGCCTCTGTGACTTTGAGCTGGTCACTTTGCTTCTCTCGGCCACCATTTCTTCATCTGCAAAATGAGAAGAATAGCACTCACCTCAAAGGTCACCATGGGGACTCACTAAGCCTCTGAGCTCATGAAGCTACTGTAACCACAGTAGCTTATTTTTAAATGTCCTCCTCTGGGTTTTTCTGGGGCTCTGTGGAGGTATAAGAAAGAATGCTGGGAGCTGGGCATGGTGGCTCACGCCTGTAATCCCAGCACTTTGGGAGGCTGAGGTGGGTGGATCACTTGAGGTCAGGAGTTCGAGACCAGCCTGGCCAACGCAGTGAAACCCCGTCTCTACTAAAAATACAAAAAATTAGCTGGGTATGGTGGTGCGTGCCTGTAGTCCCAGCTACTCGAAAGGCTGAAGCAGGAGAATCACTTGAACCTGGGAGGTAGAGGTTGCAGTGAGCTGAGATCATGTCACTGCACTCCAGCCTGGGCAATAGAGCCAGACTCTGTCAAAAAAAAAAAAAAGAAAGAAAGAGAGAAAAAGAGAGAGAGAGAGAAGGAAGGAAGGAAAGAAGGAAGGAAGGAGAGAGGGAGAGAGAAAGAAAAAGAAAGGAAAAAGAGAAGGAAGGAAGGAAAGAGAAAGAAAAAAAGAGAAGGAAGGAAGGAAAGAAAGAAAGAGAAAGGAAGGAAGGAAAGAAAGAAAAAGAAAGAAAACGAATGAACGTAGTCTTGGGCGGGAGGTTATAGGAAGGATTCGATTCTAGCTCTTTCCCTTTGCTGGAGTGAAGATGGTGGTTAATACATATTGTATGCCCAAGAGCCCCACCTGTGCCATTGGATTGAACCTCATGGCGGCCCCATCAGGTGGGGATTTTCATTATCCCCACTTTACAGACGAGGAGACTGAGGCCCAGGAGTGCAAGTGGCATCCCCAGGGCCTCGCATGGCGAGTGAGTGGTGGAGGGCAGGATTCCACCCCATGAGTTCTCCCCCTGGACCCTGCGTTCCTTCCTGCAAAGCTGCACTGGTTATTTTTGCTTCAGGGGCAAAAGGTGGTTCTGAGACCTGCTTAAAAAAATTTTTTTAAACAAAAATTTTAAATTTTAGAAAGTTTTGAGATAACTGTGGATAATTATAGATTCACAGACATCTGTAAGAAATAACACAGGGGGACCCTGAGCTTCCTTCCCCAATTTCCCTCGGTGGAAACATGCTGCAGAGATCTGGGATGTGGATATCGTGACAATTTTACTCAGACTGGCTCCTCCGAAGCAGGACTGAAGGCAGAGGAAGGGTGGTCACTCCTGGCTGCTGCGAGTAGCTAGGCCTGACCCAGGGTGTGGCCCCTCCTTGCCAGCCCCACCCATGTGCCTGAGGGAGCCCTTCTCCTGCCCCCTCCTGCAGTGCCCCCGAGTATCCTTGGAGAAGAGCTGAATGTGTCCGTTGTGGCCAATGAGTCAGTGGCCCTGGAGTGCCAGAGCCACGCCATGCCCCCTCCTGTGCTGAGCTGGTGGAAGGACGGGCGGCCCCTGGAACCACGGCCTGGAGTCCACCTCTCCGCAGACAAAGCCTTGCTGCAGGTGTGCAGGCCCCTGGCCAGCCAAGCAGGCCTCCACCTCGGCCCAAGGGCAGGGTGGGGCCTGCAGGTGCCCCAGCTCAGTGACCTGCAAGCCCCTTTCCCCTCAGGGGATGGAGGACAAAACCCCAGGACTGGTTCCTCGGGGCCTCCCTCAGGGCCCCTGACTCAGCTGAGTGGCGCCAGCTGTTGGGTTAGAACCTTCCTCACCTGTCTGCTCCTCCTCCCACCCCCCTACACCTTGTGATATGATCATTCCCAACTCAGAGCACTGCCATTTGGTTTCCCCTCCTTCCGTTCATTCTTCAAAGCCACAGCCTAGCCCCAGCAACCCCATGTCAGGATCTGAGCCCTGAGGACAGGTCCCCTGCACCCCACCAGCCTCATTCCTCCACCTTCTCTTCGGGTCTGTTTTCTTGAGCTTTCCAAAGAGGCTGGGAGCTGATGAAATGCAGGAGCAGGTCTGAGCCAGTCACATGCCTCCCCCTTAGCAGATCTGGGCCATGAAGTTTGGGAGGCTGGCAGGACTGCCATCGAGGGGGCCCTTCTCAGGCCCACCACAGGCACGTGCTTCTGGAAACTTCCCGGTGCAGCTGGTGGGGAGATGCTGTCACTGCCCCGTGCTCCAAGTGGGCAGCTTGGGGGCTCAGCAAGGTCACGTGACATGTCTGCAGTCACACAGTCTGTCCAGGGCTCACCCATCTCTGTGCGTCCCCTCCCATGGGGTGTCTTTGCTCTCTGCCAGGTGGACAGAGCCGATGTGTGGGATGCGGGCCATTACACCTGTGAGGCACTGAACCAGGCCGGCCACTCAGAGAAACACTACAATCTGAACGTCTGGGGTGAGGGTCTCCCAGGCTGGGCAGGGGGAGGGGGCTGCTGCCTTGATTGCGTCCCAGGACACAGCCCTCCTCCAGCCTGCCCTCGCCTTGCTCATCCCCTCCCCATCTCAGCCCCACCCCCACTAACTCTCTCTCTGCTCTGACTCAGTTGCTCCAGTGTTCCCCTTGAGGGAATCCCACACCCTGACTGTGAGAGAGGGGCACCCTACCAGGCTGTCCTGCGAATGCCGGGGTGTCCCCTTCCCCAAGATCTCCTGGAGGAAGGACGGTAGGATTGCTGCCCTCACCCAGCCCCACCTCATTGCCAGGCACAAGGAGGCTATGCCCAGTCCCCACTGGTTACCCCCACCCCAGAGCCTAGCTGAGATGGGGGGGTCTTATACCTCGAGGGGGTGGGGATGCTGGTTACAGAAGTGGTGCTTCCCCCAGCTCCTCTCTACTCAGTCCCTGAGCCTGCAGGAGCCCCTGGTCCTGCTCTGCCAGTAAGAGCTGGATTGAACTTCAGGCCTCACTTCAGACGTCCCTTCTTCCAGGAAGCCCTCCCTGACTGCCAGGCTGGGACAGAGCCTCCCTGATGCAGTCCCTGTCACTTGTCATGTCACCCACATTAGTCTTTCTGTGTGTGCTCCTCCATTAGTCTGTGACCCCTGTGAGGCACCATGTTGACCACCGCTGAATTCCAAGTTCAGTGTATGGTACAAAAAAGATGCTCAAAAAACATTTGGAATTCACTTCACCAATTTTTTTTTTTTTTTTTTTTTTTTTTGCCAGGCTGGAGTGCAGTGGCACGATCTCAGCTCATTGCAACCTCCGCCTCCTGGGTTGGAGTGATTCTCCTGCCTCAGCCTCCTGAGTAGCTGGGATTACAGGCAGGTGCCACCATGCCCAGCTAATTTTTGTATTTTTAGTAGAGACAGGGTTTCACCATGTTGGCCAGGCTGGTCTCGAACTCCTGACCTCAGGTGATCTGCCACCTCAGCCTCCCAAAGTGCTGGGATTACAGGCATGAGCCACAGCACCCAGCCCATTTAACCAATATGTATTGAGAGACTGTACCAGGCCCTGTTCTAGGCACTGGAAATATAGCAGAGGATAAAACAGATCCCCACCCTCACAATGGGGGCAGTCAGATAATAAACACACAGTTAGTAAATGACTCTGTACCTTAGGTGATAAATGCTATGGAGAAAAATAAAGCTAGGAAGCGGGAAAGATGTTCTGGGGGGTTGTAGGATTTGCAGTTTTAAGTTGGGTGGCCAGGAATGCTCGACCAAGCGGACTTGAAAAGCTAAGGGCTGAACATGAGAATATCACAGGGAAATGCACCCCAGGCGGAGGTAAGGGTAAGTGCAAGGGTCCTGGGGCAGGAATGCTGGTTGGATGGGGGAATGAGAGGAGGCAGGGAATCAGGGATGATGGAGGAGAGTGGAGCTGCCATTACCGAGATGGGAGACCCCAGGGGCAGATATGGTGGAAAGACCTAGCGTTTGGGGTGAATTAATCTTGAGACATCTGCTAAATACCTAGTGAGGTGTCAAGTGGATGGTGAGAGACAGGTGTCTGGAGCTCAGAGGAGAGGTCTGGGCTAGGAAGCAGCCTGGGAGTAGCAAGACAAGCTGAGGTCACCAGGACAGAGAGGGAGGAAGCAATGCCAGGTGGCCACTGGGTCTGCTTCCCTGATGGGACATGCGTTGAGTCATGACCCAGCCCAGAGGTCTGCTTCTCTAGAAACAGAGGAGGAAGGGTTTAATCCAGTAGGTCGAGGTTGACAAATCCTCTTCCTCCAAGGGGTCTTCTTGATGCCAGGTCCACCAGTTGCCTGGTCACCCTCCTCAGGCCACTGTAGCTAAGTGGATGGTCGTTCCTTCAGTAGCCTTTATTGAGCCTTGCTGTGTGCCAGGCCCTGGGGAGCCACTAAGGATCCCAGGGGGAGGCTGGTCGCGGTGGCTCACACCTGTAATCCCAGCACTTTGGGAGGCCGAGGCAGTGGGTCACCTGAGGTCAGGAGTTAGAGACCAGCCTAACTAACATGGTGACACCCCGTCTCTACTAAAAAATACAAAAATTAGCAGGGCATGGTGGTGTGCACCTGTAATCCCAGCTACTCGGGATGCTGAGGCATGAGAATCACCTGAACCCAGGAGGCAGAGGTTGCAGTGAGCCGAGATGGTGGCACTGTACTCCAGCCTGGGCAACAGAGAGAGACTCTGTCTCAAAAAAAAAAAAAAAAAAAAAAGGGATCCCAGAAGGAAATTGAGGCAGAGTCTGCCATTCCGGAGGGCTCAGGCCAGAGTAGGATTCAGATGGGGCACCTGTAGGCAGATCTGTGATGCAGAGAAGCCTAGGGGGATGGGGGGAGTTCAGAAGAGGCACCAGGACCAGAAGTGGCACTCATGGAAGGCTTCCCGGAAGAGGTAGTGTCTAAATGGACACCTGAAGGATGAGCAGGAATTGGCAAGAATGGGTAGGAGGACAAACTTTCCATGTGGAAAGACATCACGTCCTTGCAAATGCCCTGGACCAGGAGTTTCTTTTTTCCTGCACCCAGGTCAACCCCTCCCCGGGGAGGGGGCTGGCCTCCAGCACGTGTCGGCTGTGGGGAGGCTGTTGTACCTGGGACAGGCCCAGCTGGCTCAGGAAGGAACATACACCTGTGAATGCAGCAACGTGGTGGGGAACAGCAGCCAGGACCTGCAGCTGGAGGTGCACGGTGGGTGAGCTGGGCGGGGGCTGGAAGGGTCTGGGATCATGGACTGGCTGGGCAGGCGCTGCCCTGAAATTGGAGCAAATACGGGGAAGTGATGGTGTGTGGTGCAGGCTTTCTCCTCCCTCACGTTCCTGGTGTGTGAGTCCGTTCTCACACTGCTCTAAAGACACTACCTGAGACTGGCTAATTTATAAACGAGAGGCTTAATTGACTCACAGTTCCACATGGCTGGGGAGGCCTCAGGAAACTCACAATCATGGCGGAAGATGAAGGGGAAGCAAGGCACGCCTTACATGTCGGCAGGAGAGAGAGAGAGCCAGGGGGGAAGCACCAGACACTTATCAAACAACCAGATCTCCTGAGAACTGACTCACTCACTCGCTATCAATCACAAGAACAGCATAGGGGAAACCGCCCAGATGATCCAATCACCTCCCACCAGGTCCCTCTCTCTGCACGTGGGGATTACAATTCGAGATGAGATTTGGGTGGGGACACAGCCAAGCCATATCACCTGGCATTTTAACTGCCCCTCCCACACAGCTTCTCACTAACCCAAGCATTGGGGGTGGGGGCAGCAGCACAGTCCCTAAGGGCCCCCCAGTGGTCCAGAGGAGAAAAGCCACATCTGAAACAGCTGGAAACCCGAAAGAAGCATGAGTATTATGTGAAGCTCCTATATATGATGGAAACCTAAAGCCCTATCTACTGGTCCTGCAGTGATGAAATGAAATCCCCCAGCCTGGTAAAAATCCTGCTAGAAAATAAAACCAGGAACAGTGCTGTTCAACATCTTGAGGAGAAACCCACCCGTAGAATAATTTCCCACCCCTAACCAGTCCCAACAACTGTTGAAACTCCAGGAAGTCTCTGGTTTTTGAGGAAGAAAACCCATCACACTTCCTGAAAGGGCTGTTCCCCACATAGCAGGCCTGCCTGTGACTCCCAGGCTGTAGTAGCAGTAGGGTGCTGTTATGACCCCATTGTTGGGAAGGAAAATGGAGGTGAGGTCACGAGGTCACACAGCCAGCGATGGCAAGGGGAGAGGGTGTGTCCCTATTGGGCCCGGGGTAAGTGTGTGGTGCCTGGTGGCCCCAGCAGCTTTCTCTGATGGGCTTTCTCCCCACCCCAACAGTTCCCCCTCAGATTGCCGGTCCCCGGGAGCCTCCCACACAAGTCTCTGTGGTCCAGGATGGAGTGGCCACTCTGGAGTGCAACGCCACAGGGAAACCCCCTCCGACAGTGACATGGGAGCGGGACGGCCAGCCCGTGGGGGCTGAACTGGGCCTGCAGCTGCAGAACCAGGGTCAGAGCCTGCATGTGGAGCGGGCCCAGGCTGCCCACACTGGACGCTACAGCTGTGTGGCCGAGAACCTGGCTGGGAGGGCAGAGAGGAAGTTTGAGCTCTCCGTACTGGGTGAGGACCGGCAGCTGCTGGAGGAGTTGGGCTGGGGCAGATTAGAGTGGGCAAGGTGGGTTCAATCTCCAGGCACGGCCCTCAGGCTGTGATCCTGGGGTCACACCTGTTCTTTCTGGAGTCAGGGCTCTAATGAGAGCTGCTGGTGGGGGGAGCCACCAACACTGCTCTCAAAATCAGGACTGGTCCCAAATGGCCCCAATTTCCCCCAATTCGCCTCTCCTCCCTCCCTCTCTCCCTCTTGGGTTTACTCTTCCTCTACTCTGTTCTGGGCACTGGGAAAGTAAGCAGTCCCTGTCCTGCATGACTGGTATGTGATGGGGAGAATTCAGGGGCTTGTGAGAGACCAGGAAAACCTTGAATACTGTTGGGGCAGGTCAGGGCAACCTCCCAGAGGAGGTGCCTTTTAAGCTGGACCATAAAGGGTGAGTAGGAGTTAGGCAGCTGCTAGGTGAGGGGAAGCACGTGCCAGGCAGAGGGTGGCTGGGGCAGCCTCATGCATTCCATCATTTACTGAGCTCCTACTGTATGCCTGAAGGATAATTCAGGGTGGAGACAGGGAGTGGTAAGAGATAGGGTGGGAGAGGTGGGCGGGGATCAGTTTAGGGAGGGCGCCCCTCACTGTTGCTGGGATCTCGAGCCTCACCCAGATATCCCCAACACCCCCACCCCCCTGGGTAGAGAGTGGCTTCCTTCAGGAACAGGTTCCTTCAGAACTGCAGCGTTGCCACTTAGCTTCCACACGTGGATTTGGGAAGCACATCTGGCTTCGCCTTTGCACTAATTCCGGTCCCACTGGCTCAGCGCTTGCTCTGCCCAGATACTGGACTGGGCACTTTCACGTGTTCCTGTTGAATCCCCCAGCATCCCGCTGAGGGCTTGGGGAGACTGAGGCCCAAGGAGCCTGCCCGACTCCAGAGCCCAGCCTGTGGCGCCATGGGCTCCCTCCTAGGTGTCCTCACTTTAGGGGGAGCAGCTCTGCTCTCGTCACTTCTGCTCCTCAGACTCTCCCAATTGGGTGGAGTTGGGGGGCAGTCAGTGGGGCTGGGGAAGGAGCATGAAGCACACAGCCCATATCTGCACCCTGAATGTGGCTTCTTCTTTGTGTCCAGTGCCCCCAGAGCTCATTGGAGACTTGGACCCGCTGACCAACATCACTGCTGCCTTGCACAGCCCCTTAACTCTGCTCTGTGAAGCCATGGGGATCCCACCTCCAGCCATCCGCTGGTTCCGAGGGGAGGAGCCTGTCAGCCCCGGGGAGGACACCTACCTGCTGGCAGGTAAGATACCAGCTAAGGTTGGATCCTGGGAATCAGGTCGGGCTCTCTGCCTCTGACTCTATCCATTACATGCCCATGACCTCTGACTCTGAGCTGCCAGGCCTGGTTGGAATAATCATTCCAGCTGCTGGTCCCCAAAGAATGCAGCCCAAAACACTAGTCAGGTGAGGTGCTCCAGGAAAATATCATGGATTTAGATAAATTTGGAAAAGGCTTCCTGCTCTGTTCATCTAGAGAACCACAATGAACATTTGCATAGCAAAGGTTCTGATAAGTCCTGCAGAAAAAAAAAAAACAAACTTTGGCACTTATATATAACATCCCACAGAACAGTAACAAGTTTTGGATGTGCTGATCTAAGCACCTTCTCCTCTGAATATTTATCCTCCTCATAAAATGGGTTTGTGAGGTTCTTGCTGGTATACAAATGAGGAACTGAGGCCCAGGAGTCTCTGTCCCATCCAAATCCTGCAAGGACTTCAAGGCCCCTGAGGCTATGCCTCAGTCACCCATTGGTTGTTCCACGCAGCCCATGATGAGATGGCAAATACATTTCCTCTTGGGCATCATTTCTGAGCACTTGGTAAGAATTGCCGGGTGCATTCTGTGGATAGGAATTCAGAGACTGCATTGGGCCCAGTGGAAAGGAATGTGGCAATCAGTTAGTAATGTCGGCTCTGGGTGCAGTAACAGCAGTGGTGTCCTGTGTCCTATGTATCTGCCCTCCACACACTGATCTTGGGAGACCCTTGGGTTCCTCTGAGAGGAGCTGTCTCTCCCTGAGAGATCCTTGGGAGGAGAAGCCCTTTTACCATGTCTGTCAGAGTAGAGCAGAGGTCTGCTGGGCCAGGACTACATAACCCATTACTCTCCCTTCAGCTCCAGCCAATCCCCAGAGCCAGGGGTGGCCAGGGTGACAGATACTTCTTGCTAGAGCAGGGTCCTCAGATTTATTCTGGTACGTGTCTAATCTCCAGGCAGTTCCATCCATTTGTTTACCCTCCTGGGCCTCAGTTTGTGGATCTGAGGAACAGGACACAATGGGAGACAGACATGTACACGCCTAATTATAATGCCTTTTCCTGCTGGGCAGCAGGGGGCTCGGCTTGGGACAGAATGCTGCTCAGAGCCATGCTTGGGGCCCACGCCCCTCCCTCCCCAGGTGGCTGGATGCTGAAGATGACTCAGACACAGGAGCAAGACAGTGGCCTCTACTCATGCCTGGCAAGCAACGAGGCTGGGGAGGCACGGAGGAACTTCAGTGTGGAGGTGCTGGGTGCGTTACAACCCCATTCTCATGGGTGCCCTATGAACTCTTCCCCACTGCCTGGGAGCTCCCAGAGGCAGGTCCCCAGACTCATGGCTCATGCTGTAGCAGGGGCCCAGCACAGAGAAGGAGGGAGAAGCTAAGCCCTGTACACTTTGCCTCATCAAAAACCTTTGTTCAAGCCTGGGCAGTGTGGTGAAACCCTGTCTCTATTAAATGTACAAAAATTAACAGGGCATGGTGGTACACGCCTGTAGTCTCAGCTACTCAGGAAGCAGAGGCTGCAGTGATCGTGCCACTGCACTCCAGCCCAGGTGACAAGAAACCTCTGTTCTCAGGCCACCATGGAACTTTCCAGAAACAGCAGGGACAATCGAAAGTGGAAGGGGGCAAATATTTTTGACACCACTAAGACTGCCTGCCTCTCATCAGAGTCTTCTTCTGAGACACTGGTACTTCCATCAGGCAGCAGGAAATGTTTCTTAAACTCACCACCCTATGGAAACAGGCATGGGATGGGGAAACTGAGGCACAAGAAACGGTGGGCTCTTGGCTTCTTGTTCTGTGATTGTGTAGCCTGGGCGGGCCAGCCCCCCCCCCCACCCCATCACTAGCCATTTGTCTCCCTGCTTCTCCCAGTTCCTCCCAGTATTGAGAACGAGGACTTGGAGGAGGTGATCAAGGTCCTTGATGGACAGACTGCCCATCTTATGTGCAACGTCACAGGTAAGGGCCACATGATGTGATGGGCTGGGAGAAGGGGCGGGAAGGCACCTTCAGAAAGGAGGGGATCCCTGGGGATCTGCCCACCTGCCCCAGCCCCACTCCTCCTGACTGGGGTCTCTCTACATCTTGGACTCGGCACCAGGTCCCAGCTCATCTTTGCATGTGTTCTTCCATCCCAAACACTCTTCCCTCTCCCCACCTCACTACAGACCTCAGCTTTCAGGACCCTCCACAGGGAGTCCTTGGCTGGCCCCTAAGGCTCAGTGGGCCATCTCCACTGGGCTCCCACAAGCCCCAGTGCTTCCCTGTCCTAGCACTGACCCACATTGGACCATAGTGGCCTTGTGGCATCTGAGCTTCTTGAAGACCCAGCTGCTGCCTTGTCACCATGGTTTCCCCAGTGCCTGGCAGAGTAGGCTCCCATTCGTGCTTATGGGTTGAAGGATGGATGGATGGATGGATGGATGGGTGGGTGGGTGGGTGGATGGATGGATGGATGGATGGATGGATGGATGAATGGATAGATGGATAGGTAGGTGGGTGGATGGATGGATGGATGGATGGATAGATGGATGGATAGGTAGATGGATGGATGGATGGATGGATAGGTAGGTGGATGGATAGATGGATAGGTAGGTGGATGGATAGATGGATAGGTAGGTGGATGGATAGATGGATAGGTAGGTGGATGGGTAGATGAATGGGTGGATGAATGAATGAGGGTTGGATGGATGGATGGATGTGTGGATGGGTGCATGGATGGATGGATGGATGGATGGATGGATGGATGGAGAAATTTGTGGCTGAATAAAAGGATAGGTGGGTAGGTAGATGGTTGGATGGTTGGGTGGTTGGGTGGGTGAATGGGTGGATGGTTGGGTGGATGGATGAATGGAGAAATGAATGGATGATTGGTTGAATGGAGGGATAGTTGGGTAGGTAGATGAATGGATGGTTGGATAGTTGGATGGTTGGGTGGATGGGTGGGCGGTGGGTGTGTGGACGAATAGAGAGATGAATGGATGATTGATTGACTGGAAGGATAGGTGAGTAGGTAGATGAATGGATGGTTGGATGGATGGATGGATTGGTGGGTGGTGTGTGGGTGGGTGGATGAATGAATGGATGGAAGGAATACCTTGTTTTTCTGTCTTGCCTGTCTATGCTAAGCCATCTCTAGCCATTCCTCAGTAAGGAGAAGGCAGCCAAATCACAGAGGAAGGGGCACAGGCTGCTGCTGCTTCTTCTTGTGCTTCATGGGCCTCTGGGCCGGAATGGAAAATTCACATCCCCTGATCCATCTGGGAGCAGCCTGTGACCCCTGGGCTGCCCTAGTCAAAGCCTGCCAAATTGTCTCATTCTCTGCTCTGCATACAGGCCACCCACAGCCCAAGCTCACATGGTTCAAAGATGGCCGGCCTCTGGCTAGGGGAGATGCTCACCACATCTCCCCAGACGGAGTCCTCCTGCAGGTCCTCCAGGCAAACCTGTCCAGTGCTGGCCACTACTCCTGCATTGCAGCCAACGCTGTTGGGGAGAAGACCAAACACTTCCAGCTCAGTGTCCTGTGTAAGTTTTGGGCATCTCCTGGCCACCGCGGGTGCTGGAGGGAGGGAGAAGCAAGGTGACTGGCTCCTTACAGACAACTTCCCACAAACCATTCTACTATTTTTCTTCTAATTCTCCGAGTTTGACAACAAAAATCATATAGCGACTCTATTGACGGAACATTTATTATGGGCCAGGCATTTCAACAGGCCTGACTGAATCTTCACAATGACACTAGGAGGTGGGAGATGTGCTTGTCCCCATGTCATTGATGAAGCCCTGAGGCTCAGAGAGGTGACAAGAGTTATTGCCAGGCCCCAGGGTGGTGGGTTCACAACTAGGCATCTCTCCATCTCCTGAGGACAATACATACCTACTATTCTGTAAGCCTGGAGAAACAGAGCATCTATCAAATGAGAGGGGCACAGACCAGCTTAGAAAAATCTGTTTCTAAAATGCTGGCAGTTAAAAGGAGAGTCCCCTGCGGGAGTTGAAAGAAGAAATCTTGGGACCAATGAAAGCAAAGCTACTCTACTCAGCGGGGAACAAAGCCCCCAACTCCCACTCCCCCCTCAAACAGAATTGAGAAGCCTCTGGTTAATTGGTAGAGAGGCTGGATGTTGAGAAGCTATGGGGAAATGGAGGCAAAAATTATTCAGCTTTCCCTTGTAGTATTGCTTAGCGTTTGGAGAGCCGGGCTCTGGGTCACCCAGGCCTGAGTTCAAGCCTGGCCACCCCGGGCATGGGCTTCTCTGAGCCTCAGTTTCCCATCTCTGTAATGTAACTGACAGAAGTACCGAGGCCAAGCACCGGGGTCTGAGGCTTTCCTGGTCCTTAGTCTAGGGTCAGGGATCTCTGCTCATAACTGCCTCCCTGGCCCCCCATCACAGTGGCTCCCACCATCCTGGGAGGGGCCGAGGACAGTGCAGATGAGGAGGTGACCGTGACTGTCAACAACCCCATCTCTCTGATCTGCGAGGCCCTGGCCTTCCCTTCCCCCAACATCACCTGGATGAAGGACGGGGCCCCGTTTGAGGCCTCCAGGAACATCCAGCTGCTCCCAGGTGACGCCCTCTGGGGGGAAAGGAGGGAGGGAACAGGTGACATGTCATCAGAATTGGAGGAGAGGACCTGTGAGCCTGTCCTCATGCCTGGCATGAGGCTGCAGATTTGGGGTGACCCTGGCCACTGGCCCCCACACAGGTACCCACGGGCTGCAGATCCTGAATGCCCAGAAGGAAGATGCTGGCCAGTACACCTGCGTGGTCACCAATGAGCTCGGGGAGGCCGTGAAAAACTACCATGTGGAAGTGCTCAGTGAGTCGGGGACCCTGGGGCACAGCCGGGTGGGCAGAAGACCGCCCGGGAACCTAGGGGCCCAGGCACCTGAGCCACCCTTGGTGCTCCAGGGAGTCTCCATGTGGCATATGTCCTCTGACAGTCACCGGGCAGCTAGGGCGGGCTCCAGAGGACACAATGAGGAGAGAACAGTGAGTTAGGGCATGTGCCACTTGGGCTCCCAGACCCACTGCAGTCCTAGCTTCCTCCTGCCACTTCTGCTTTGGAGTATAAACAGAGGCTCTGCAGATTGAGACTGGGGACCCCCAAGGAAGTCCTCTGAGGTGACCCCAGAAATTCCCTTGCCTCAGACCTGCCCCATCCTATAACTCTTGCAGACAAATGCTCTCTCCCTTAAGTGGACAGCCAGGAGCAGGCTGGCTTCCAGGATCCCTGTGTCTCTTGGGCCGGCCCCCATTTCTGAGGCTACCCCCAGGACCAGGGTAAGCTCAGGGTTTCAGCACCCATCCCCCAGCTCTGCTCTCAGACCCCTCGTGCTTTTCAGTCCCCCCTTCCATCTCCAAAGACGACCCCTTGGCGGAGGTCGGCGTGAAGGAGGTGAAGACCAAGGTCAACAGCACCTTGACCTTGGAGTGTGAGAGCTGGGCTGTGCCCCCGCCCACCATCCGCTGGTACAAGGATGGACAGGTGAGTTTGGGACCCCCTGCGCAGCTTCTGGCTCTCACCTCTGCTTCCGGCTGGTTCTGCTTGGAACCTTCCAGAAAAGGCTTCCCTTAAAGCACCTAGCCCTAGAGCTGGTCCGGGCCCCAGTCACCCTTTATTTATTTTATTTTTATTTTTTTTGAGATGGAGTGTTGCTCTGTCACCAAGGCTGGAGTGCAGTGGTGCAATCTTGGCTCACTGCAACCTCTGCCTCCTGGGTTCAAGCAATTCTCCCTGCCTCAGCCTCCTGAGTAGCTGGAATTACAGGTGCCCGCCACCATGCCCAGCTAATTTTTGTAATTTTTGGTAGAGATGGGGTTTCACCGTGTTGGCCAGGTTGGTCTCGCACTCCTGACCTCAGGTCATCTGCCCGCCTTGGCCTCCCAAAGTATTGGGATTACAGGCATGAGCCACCGCACCCAGCCTTTATTTTATTTTATTTTTTTATTTTTATTTTTGAGACAGAGTCTCGCTCTGTCACCCAGGCTGGAGTACAGTGGCACGATCTTGGCTCACTGCAGCCTCTGCCTCCTGGGTTCAAGTGATTCTCCTGCCTCAGCCTCCTGAGTAGCTGGGATTATAGGCGCCCGCCACCACGCCTGGCTAATTTTTTGTATTTTTAGTAGAGATGGGGCTTCTTTATGTTGGCCAGGCCGATCTCAAACTCCTGACCTTGTGATCCACCAACCTTGGCCTCCCAAAGTTCCGGGATTACAGGCCTGGCCACTGCGCCCAGCCATATTTTTAATAAAAAGTTGAACTCTTTGTAAACTTTAAACTCTACTATTTTCACCCATGTGTGGCCCTTCTCATCTTTAGGCTCTATGGATTTGGTTTTATAAACGTCTCAGGGTGTTCTTGTCACTTTATGCTGCATTTTTGGAGAATGTATTGAGAATTAAGCACATTTGTCTTGCTGCTCGTGGCCCCTCATTTCTGATCTCCCTTCCCCTGACCCCCTCATCCTCCTCACAGCCCGTGACCCCCAGCTCGCGGCTGCAGGTCCTGGGTGAAGGGCGACTGCTCCAGATCCAGCCCACACAGGTCTCAGACTCGGGGCGGTACCTGTGTGTGGCCACCAATGTGGCTGGCGAGGACGACCAGGACTTCAACGTGCTCATCCAGGGTGCGTGGCGCCAGTGGGCCAGGGGTGGGGCGTCAGCCAGTGTGAGGACATTGTGGGGCTGGCCCTCCGCAGGCCCCCACCATGTGTCCTGCAGCTCACGCGCCACCCGTGGCATCTCCCACTGGCTCATCTCAGCAGCCCAGAACGGCACCCTGCCCCAACCCCTCTGCCTTGAGGGACCAAAGTCAAGACATGAGGGCTGTGGCCCCAAACCACAGAATTGAGTGGTGGAGCCTGGAATGGTCTGGTTGAGCCAGAACGCCACACTCTTAGCCCCTCTGCCAGATGCCTCTCGCGTTGTTAGGGAAACCTGGGGATTTGCTTCAGAATCTCTGGTCGAGAGTAAGCTGAGTGGCGGCCTCAATGGTTGAAACTGCCTGTGGGTACCTGGGGCTCATTATATTCTTCTCTTGCTTGCGTCAGTGTTTGACGTTTTCCTTTTTAAAAAGTGAAGGAAGGAAAGGAGGGAGCCGGGAGTCAGAGAAGCTGGGAGGGAGAGGCTGGGAGGCTGGGATGAGGAGGCTGGGGAGGAGGCTGGGAAGGGGAGGCTGAGAGGCTGGGATGAGGAGGCTGGTAGGCTGGGATGGGGAGGCTGGGAGGGGGAGGCAGGGAGGCTGGGAGGGGGAGGCCGGGAGGGGGAGGGTGGAAGGTAGGAAGGGGAGGCTGGGAGGCAGGGAGCTGGGAGTGGGAGGCTGGGATGGGGAGGCTGGGAAAGAGGCTGGGAGGGGGAGGCAGGGAGGTGGGAAGGGGAGGCTGGGAGCGGGAGGCTGGGAGGCTAGAATGGGGAGGCGGGGAGGCGGGGAGGCAGGGAGGCAGGAGGCTGACAGGCAAGCTGGGCGATGGATAAGTGTTCAGAACCAGGTTTTGCTACACAATGCCCATGGAGTGTCCTGGCAGGAGGAACACCTGCTCTGGGCTGCTCATACCCTTTTTCATCTCCGGTGCTTCTGGCCACCAGTCCTCTAGCTCTGGCTCTGTCATGAACTGGTTATGTTACCTGGGGACAACCTGGGGATGACACGGCCCCCTCCAGGCCTTAATTTGATCCTTTGTAAAATGCAGGTGATCAGAGCAGGTGACCTTGAGGGCCCCCCTCCATTTCTAAAGCTGATGATTTTGTGCCTCTATGCTCTGATAGACAAACATCGGCTGAAGCTTAGTATCTGGCTTCCAACTGTGAAAAATATTTCCATGTTACAGGGAGTCTTTAGCGTCCATTAGACATGAGCTGCTTAGGGAATGAGCCTTATCCTAGTGCCCAGCACATACTAGTTGCTCAATAAACACCGGTTTAGGGAGTGAGGGAATTTAACAAATGCCCTGACCCAAGGGAATGGCTCAAGTAATGGATTTCCGCTTGGGAGAGGCTGGGACGAGAATCTCCGTGAGCAGAGGTGCATTCCCCACCCCTCTGCTGTGCTTCCTAAGGGCTTTGTCTCCCCCACCCAGTGCCCCCCATGTTCCAGAAGGTGGGTGATTTCAGTGCAGCCTTCGAGATCCTGTCCCGGGAGGAGGAGGCCCGGGGCGGAGTCACGGAATACAGGGAGATCGTGGAGAACAACCCAGCCTACCTGTACTGCGACACCAACGCGATCCCACCCCCGGACCTCACCTGGTACAGAGAGGATCAGCCCCTCTCGGCCGGGGATGAGGTGTCTGTGCTGCAAGGTGGGTCAGGGGTGCGTGAAGAAAGTGGGCGCTTTGAGCTCTCCTGTGTGCTGCCTGCTGTGTGACCTTAAGCAGAGCACACAACCACTCTGGACCTTAGCTGCAATTTGTAAACTGGGGCTACAAGTTCTTTGCCTGTGTGAAGGCAAAGACTGGATTGCCTTTTGCCTCTGGTTTATAGAGCAGAGCCTCCTATCATGGGGCATGCCCTTCTGGGCTTCAAGATCTGTAATGTCCTTAAATGATCGGCAGAAGCTGCCACTTTCTCTGCAGAGGCAGCTGGCTTCTTTGTTAATCGTCAACAAAGCTCATGACCCCAAACGCTGACGAAGCTCTAGCTGGGCATTGAAGGGCACACTGTGGTGGCTGAACTCATGTCTTTTGTGTCTGGGTTTTTTTTCTATTTTTTTCTATTTTTATTTTTTGGGACAGAGTTTCGCTCTTGTTGCCCAGGCTGGAGTGCAATGGTGCAACCTTGGCTCACTGCAACCTCCACCTCCTGGGTTCAAGTGATTCTCCTGCCTCAGCCTCCCAAGTAGCTGGGATTACAGGCATGCGCCACCACGCCTGGCTACTTTTTGTATTTTTAGTACAGATGGGGTTTTTCCATGTTGGCCAGCCTGGTCTCAAACTCCCGACCTCAGGTGATCCACCGTCTCGGATCGGCCTCCCAACATGCTGGGATTATAGGCGTGAGCCACCACGCTCAGCCAGGTTTTGTTTTTTCTTTCACCACCTTAAGAGGTATTTGTTTATTTAAGGTAATTTAATTTTTTTAAGTAAACCTTTTATTTTAGAATAATTTTTTGTAGGTGATTTTGACTTAAAAGGCTCCAGGGGTGGGGCTTAGAAATGCCCGGCCCACCTGGCTCATGAGGGAAGCGTGGGTGGTCTCTCTGTTTGAGATTCGAACTGTGTCCTGCCAGAGATGGGCCGGCAATGGGGCTGGTTTTGGGGAGAAGTGGTCAGTTGCACAGGTCTCCAATGAGCAGAATCAGACCAGGATTTCTACTTTGGTGCTTGCAAGAAAAGGAGGTGGCTGGGCGCCGTGGCTCACACCTGTAATCCCAGCACTTTGGGAGGCTGAGGTGGGAGGATCGCTTGAGCCCAGGTATTCAAGACCAGCCTGGGCAACATCGTGAGACCCCGTCTGTACAAAATATTTTAAAACTAGCTGGGCGTGGTGGCATGTACCTGTGGTCCCAGCTACTCAAGAGGCTGAAGAAGGAGAATCCCTTAAGCCCAGGAGGTCAAGGCTTCAGTGAGCCGTGATCACACCACTGCACTCCAGCCTGAGTGACAGATCAAGACTATCTCAAAAAAAGAAAAAAAAAAAAAAAAGAAGGAGGCCTCTTGCAGATCCAGGAGTGCAACTCTTACTGAACACTGTTAGTTCCTATTAGAAACCTCTGGACAGACCCCTTAACCTGGCCACTGACCACTGATCCTGACCCCAAGTCCTGGGTGCACAGTAGGCTCTGACCTGCTGATCCCGATCAGACTCTAACCATCAGCTAATCCCAACCAATAGCTGAACCCAGACCACAGCCACCAACTGCCCCCCAGTCCTGCCCACTTACCTCCAACCCTACCACTCACCTCTCACCCTGACAACTGACCTCTAACCTCTGTTCTCTAATCCTGAGAAAATAGGCGTCATGGTCACGGCTGACCTGAATTCTTACCCTGACCTTACACTGACCTCAAACATCAACTGACCCCTACAATGCCACTGCTGCCTCAATCCTGGCCACTGGGCTCTGCAGGCTCTTAACCTGGTCAAGCTACCCACAGCCCGGGCCGGCCAGCCCCAGCCTAGAATTCTGAGCACACAGTAACCCTAACCAGGCCCCCACTGGAGACCAACGCCAGCCCCCATAGATGCCAGGCTCTGGCCTTGGATGGCTCTTTTTTTTTTTCTGAGATAGAGTCTCACTCTGTTGCCCAGGCTACAGTGCAGTGGCAGTCTTGGCTCACTGCAACCTCTGCCTCCTGGGTTTAAGTGATTCTCCTACCTCAGCCTTCTGAGTAGCTAGGATTGCAGGTGTGCACCACCACACCCGGGGAATTTTTGTATTTTTAGTAGAGATGGGGTTTCGCCGTGTTGGCCAGGTTGGTCTTGAACTACTGACCTCAGGTGATCCACCTGCCTTGGCCTCCCAAAGTGCTGGGATTGTAGGATTGTAGGCGAGAGCCACTGTGCCTGGCCCCTGGCTGGCTTTTGATCACAGAGGGTCCCAGGCGATGCCTCCCCAGCCCCTACCCCTACTTCTACCCCCGCCAACCACCACAGCCCCAGGAGTTGCCTCCCTTGCCTCCTGAGTCTCTGCTTGGACTCTGCCCTTACCAAGGAGCTGGGCTCAGCACAACAGCAGAGCTGAGCCAGCAACCACTGCTGTCACCCCCAGCACTGCCATGAAGGCTCAGGTTTGCCATCTGTAAGATGGGAGTGACAACAGCGTGTGCCCCACAGAGGCACTGTGGGACAGGCCGAGAATGTGCAGCCCAGGGCCTGGCACGCAGCGAGTGGTGGCTGTACCCTGACTTGACTCCACTCCACCCGTGAGCTGGGCAGGACAGGCCGATTCTCCTCATTTCACAGATGAGGCAGGGACAGTCACATGTCCCAGGTCCACTCCAGAGGAGGGGGCAGCGTCTTTGCTCTTGGGGGTGACTCTCGTGCCTGAGCCCAGGCCTCTGTCCCGTGTCCCTGCAGGAGGCCGGGTCCTGCAGATCCCCCTGGTGCGGGCAGAGAACGCCGGGAGGTACTCGTGCAAGGCCTCCAACGAGGTGGGCGAGGACTGGCTGCACTACGAGCTGCTGGTGCTGAGTGAGTGGCGGGGCCTGCAGGTGGGGATTCCCGGGACTGCAAGCGCCGTAAGGGCCTCCCTCAGAAGGGGCCGAGGCAAAGTGCACACAGTCTTGCTGTACTCAGAGGTTGAAATTGGAGTTACATGCTCGGCCTCAAAGAATCATGCAGGACTGGGCGCAGGTTCCAAGTCAGAAGCTTCCTAGCTGTGTGACATTGAGCAAATCACAACCCTTTCTGTGCCCCCGATTCCTTAGCTGCATCAGGGATTGGGAGGGCTTGGAGAGAAGGGCATGAGGATCCCGACCAGCACCTGACACCAAGTGCCACTCTCGCCTCCACGGCCACCCCCGCCCCCAGGGACCTGTGCCAGCCCCTCAGCCCCCTCTCCCCCACCCCCAGCCCCACCTGTGATCCTGGGTGACACAGAGGAGCTGGTGGAAGAGGTGACAGTCAATGCCAGCAGCACCGTCAGCCTGCAGTGCCCGGCCCTGGGAAACCCCGTGCCCACCATCTCATGGCTCCAGAATGGGCTGCCTTTCTCCCCGAGCCCACGGCTGCAGGTCCTGGAGGACGGGCAAGTCTTGCAGGTCAGGGCAGCCCCCTGCACGGGCTAGGGGCAGTGGCTGCTGAGGCCCAGCACCACTTGTCTGGGAGCCAGGGAGGGGTCATTATCTGCAAATGAGGCTCTTTGCTGGGAACCATGCTGGAGCCCAGCCAAGAATCACCTGTGAGGAGGCATGCTGGGCCAGCACAGGCCTGTGCACGGCATCCAGAGCTTCAGGAGACACCTAGCAAAGGATGCACATGGGTGCGGGACCCAGAGCCCAGCACCGCACACAGCAGCCTTCCGCGGGATCACCAGCTGGCGCGTGCAGAGCCGTGCCCAGCACTCAGACATCAGGCAGCCCCCTGAGTCACCCCATGTGCAGACACAGAGCTGCGGGGACCCTGGGAGCCCAACACACACAGCACGGCCCTCCACAGGGGTGGGGGAGGCTCTTGTCACATCTGGTTTGCTACAGAGAACCACCCAACACCAACCTCACACGCCCGCTCCTGAGCGCCACACAAGGCCCTGGATGGAGGAGGTTCCAGGTCTCCATGAGCTGCCTGGTGCCTGCTTCCCTGGCATGGGATGGGAGGGATTCCTCGCAGTCATTCCTGGGGGTGGTGGTGTCCAAGGGGTCTCAGGTATCTCCCAGGCATGGCTCCCTGCACCCACAGGTTTCCACGGCAGAGGTGGCCGACGCCGCCAGCTACATGTGTGTGGCCGAGAACCAGGCGGGCTCCGCTGAGAAGCTCTTCACCCTCAGGGTTCAAGGTGAGCTGGGCTGAGCAGGCAGCCCCTGTGGGTTCCTTTTCCCTTCCCAGGGGGCACTGCCTTGGGGCTTCCAGTATCCTGGGCTCTGGGTCCTGCAATCAGAGTTCAGGGATCCCAGCTGGCCCCAGCCACATCCCGAGACAGAGAGCATTTGGGGGGCCCTGATCACTACTGGGCCAACCCCAGGTGGTTTTAAGCAACTTTGGAGATGGCCAGGCATTACCACCACCATTACTGAGCACTTACTGTGTACCTGACACGAGGCTGAGCACTTTCCCTGGGCTGACTCCTTCCAGCAGAGCTAGGTTAGCCCACCCAGCTTTGCAGCTGTGGGAGGAGACTCAGGGAGGTCGCCCTCAGAGAGGAGTGGGATTGGGGGGGTCTCACTGTCCCGGAGCCTGCACTCCTAACCTCTGCAACTCATGACGTACACCGCACTGCAGTGGCTGTGAGTTCTGTCTCCAGATGGTCTTGGAGATGGAGGAAGATAGTGTTGAGCCCTCAAGGTCATGGGCTCAAACCTGAATTGATATCTTAGCTCTGCCACTGACCAGCTGTGTGGCCTTGGAACAGTGACTCTCCCTCTCTGATCCCCTACCCAGTGTCCTTCTGTGTAAGAGAGTCATGGCAAATGGAGGTTTCTGAATTATTTGAAGTTGTGCCGAGGTGAAGCCCCAGGAGCTGGGTGAGGCTCAGGGTTTCTCTTGGGCTCTGTGCTCCCCTGCTGGTGTGATTCTCATGCCTTTCTCTACCGTGGTGGCTGTGGGGATAGTCCCGCCACGAATCGCAGGCCTGGACTTGGAGCAGGTCACTGCCATCCTCAACAGCAGCGTCTCCCTCCCTTGCGACGTCCACGCTCACCCAAACCCCGAGGTCACGTGGTACAAGGACAGCCAGGCCCTCTCCCTGGGTGAAGAGGTCTTCCTCCTGCCTGGTGGGTAAACTGAGGTGTCCGGCCCAGCTCTAAGGTTACATGGGGAGAGAGTTGCTCCCCCGACCTGGGACAGGGCCGTCAGTCGTGCAGGGATTTAGGACTGGGGGCTGGGCTGGAATGCTGGTGTGAGGGGCTGGCTTCCCCCGGCAGGCACCCACACGCTGCAGCTGGGGAGAGCACGGCTGTCGGACTCCGGGATGTACACATGCGAAGCCCTCAATGCTGCCGGCCGAGACCAGAAGCTGGTGCAGCTCAGTGTTCTGGGTATGTCCATGTCTGTCCCCAACTTGTACTGTCCCCACTCCTTCAGTCACCCCTCAGCCCATACTCCCCCAGAGAACATAGACAGGAGAGGGCCAGGAGGCACAGGGGGAGGCTGGGACGCCCGCACAGATCAGCTCTGAGGAGGGGGAGCAGTGGGACGGGCCCCAGGAGCCTGGCTGGGGAAGGGGCCTCCCCAAGCCTTGTGTGGTGGGGGAAGCCTGTTTCACAGTGGAGCCTGTTTCAAGGCTCGTGGTCTTCAGAATCCTCTTGGGGAAAAGCTGGCCCAAGGTGTCTTTAGCAAGGACTCGCTGGAAGGTTCTTTCTAGCCCCGGGGCTGGTCCATTCACTTGCACGAACACCAGCCAGACACTGCGCTAGGCCTGTGGGCTCACAGCCATGGGGAAGGAGGGCTTCTACATTGGTTCACTGGAGCCACAGGGGCTGAACGGGCCTCGACAGAGAGCTGTAACCCAGCTGGGGCCTGCCCCTGTAGGAAAAAGCCTGGGTGGGGGCGGGCGACAGCATCTCCCCCATCTAGGAGGCTGAGGCTCAGAGAGGCAGGAGGCTGTCCCTGGTCACTCAGTGGGTCCTTGGCGTGCTGGCCTGGTTCTCTTCCTCCACCTCCCCTGGGTCTGCGCCAGCCCCCGGGGCTGGGTCTGCTGTGTGACCCTGGTGGGTTTCCACTGGCATTTTCCCTGTGGCTGAGTGGGGAGGGCGCAGGGACAGCTGCAGCACCTCACTCTGCTATCTCCTGCCCCCAGTTCCCCCGGCCTTCAGGCAGGCTCCCAGAGGTCCCCAGGATGCGGTCCTGGTGAGGGTCGGGGACAAAGCTGTCCTGAGCTGCGAGACAGATGCGCTCCCTGAGCCAACTGTGACCTGGTACAAGGATGGGCAGCCCCTGGTCCTGGCACAGCGGACCCAGGCTCTGCGGGGTGGGCAGAGGCTGGAGATCCAGGAAGCCCAGGTGAGCAACCCTGGGGGCACGGGCAGCCATGAGCGCTGCAGGAAAGTCGCCTCCCAGCCCTGGCGAGCTGCGGGGAGGAAGGTGGGCAGGATGTGAGTTGCTGCCTCCTTGGCCTGTCAGACCCCAAACCGAGTGGATTAGCAGCTTCCAGGGTGGAAGACATGGGCAGAGCTCAGGGCTCTGGAGTCACGTTCCAGACCCAGCCCTGCAGTCATGGCATGAGCCCTTCCTGCCTCGGTTTCCTCAGCATCTAGATGCTTTTATCTGGTCCGCTCCGGCTGACCATCTGAGACTCCTGGGAGTCTGCCCTGCCCTCCCTCCCTCCTTCCGTGGAGTGGATTAGATGCTCACAGTGTTTGTTGGATGAATGTTTGCTGTCCCCCTCGAAATCCATTCCTGGCCAGGCTCCATCCCCACAGCAAGGGGGACCTCTTCCTGCCAGCTTGGCCCAGGGAGGGAGGTCCCCAGAGCCTGTGTATTCACTGTTGAGGGGCCCTTCTGCTTCTTGAGGCTCTTGGAAAAGGCCAGAGCGTCCTGATTCCCTTTGGCTCCCCAGTCAGGACCAGCATATTTGGGAGGCCCCTGCTCTGGAAGTTTTGGGGGCCTAGATGCTTTTGGGGAGCCCTAGCACCCCACTTCCAGCTCCAGCACACAGCCACTGTGTGCTCTTCCTCTTTCAGGTATCGGATAAAGGTTTATACAGCTGTAAAGTCAGCAACGTGGCTGGGGAGGCCGTGCGGACCTTCACCCTCACCGTCCAGGGTAAGCCAGGGACCAGCCTAGCCAACGTGACTGTGGAGCCCCTAGCAACACCCAGGGCTGCCAAGGAGGACAAAGACAATAGCTGGGCAGAGGCAGTGCTGCCAAGTGCTGAAGGCACAATGACTAGAATTTGTGTACCTATCTATATCTACATCTCTTTCTTTTTGTAGAGATGGGGCCTCATTATGTTGCCCAGGCTGGTTTCGAACCCCTGGGCTCAAGCAAACCTCCTGCCTCAGCCTCCCAAAGTGCTGACATTACAGGCGTGAGCCACTGCACCCAGCTAATTTCTAGAATTTAAAAAACTAAGGTTAGCAGGCTCCAAATAGAACTCTGCCAGTGACCTGCTTCATGGAGCTTAGTAGAGTGACTTTGTCCCTCAGAGCCTAAGGTTTACCTTCAGTGAATGAGTCTAAAAGCAGTAGCTGCCTGCCAGGCACAGTGGACCTGCCATGGATCCCATGGACCGCCATGACAGTGTCTATAAAGTGCTGGGCACAGGGCCTGGCATGTGGGCACTAAGATGAAGGAGCCCTATGAGATCAGACACACAGGAGGCCACGTTACCTGCATCTTGATCCCCAGGGGGGCCTGTCCCATCCACCCAAGGATGGAGCACAGATGCTGTTTGATTGGACATGTGGCTCCAGCTGGGGTGAGGAGGAGCCTATTTACACTGTCCAGGAAACTTGGCCAGATTTTCTGGTGCTCAGATGTCATGTTAGTTAGAATAGAGACTTAGCCGTGCCACAAAAAGACCCCAAAATATAGTTGAGTAAATGAGAGAGTTTAACTCTTATTCAAAAGCCCAGAGGTGGGTGTCTAGGCTGGTGGGTAGCTCGGCTCCATGCGGTAGTTAAGGGACCCGGGTTCCTTCCCTCCTGTTGATCTTCCATTTCTTAGGGTGTTGTTCTTGTGCATATGGTTGAAACTGGGACACGGCATCGTGTCCTGGCCCACAGGAAGCAGAAAAGAGCAGAAGTGGTGGGCAAGCATTTATTTCATACAGAAGTTGCACCTGTCCCTTCTGCGTGTATTCCATTAGTGAGCGCTCAGGCAGCTGGCTGCAGGGGACACTGGGAAATGTAGTTTCTGCTAGAGTGATCGTGGGCTCAGCTAAAACTCTGCTATGCACAGTGGGAAGAACGGGCTGAGGGGACACCAGCCATCTGCCACAGATGCCAAAGCCAGTAGCCTCCCAACCAGGTGAGCGGTGGGCACATGCAACCCTGAGCCATACACAACACAATCGTTGAAAAGGACTGACAAGATGGAGTGCAGGGGCTCATGCCTGTAATCCCAGCACTTTGAAAGGCTGAGGCAGGGATGATCACTTGAGCCCAGGAGTTTGAGATCAGACTGGGCGACATAGTGAGAAGCTTGAATCTACAAAAAATAAAAAATAAAGTAACAAGAAAGGGACTGACACCAGGCTTGCTGCTCAAAGCTCCCAGCCCTTTCTGATGGCTACATTGATGAACAGTGGAAAGGGGGAATATCTGGTCCCTGAGGGCAAAGGCATTTCATCTTGAGCCTGGTTGACTCTGTTCCGCTGGTGGTGTCTGCCTGGGGTGTGTGACTTCATCCTGGCGGAGCAGGAGAGAGTGTTGGGATCGATTAGTGATGTCTGCCCTGGCACAGGTTAAGGACTGTGGGTGAGTGAGCCTCCCATTTACCATCCTTGGGCTAAGGAGACCCCGCTGGAGCTTTGCTTTGTATGCTTTAAAATAGCCAGGCACTGGTTCTATTTACATTTGTGAATAAAACATAGAATGGGAACTCCTAACTACCAGGAAGGGCTTCTTAGGCCTCCCTGATCTGCCTGAGGGGAAGGAAATTGGGGAAGAGTCTCAGAATTCTGACAGTCTGGCTTTCTTCCTGCAGTGCCCCCAACATTTGAGAACCCCAAGACAGAGACAGTGAGCCAGGTGGCTGGGAGCCCCCTGGTCCTGACCTGTGATGTGTCCGGGGTCCCTGCACCCACGGTCACTTGGCTGAAGGACAGGATGCCTGTGGGTGAGCACATCTGTCCTTGTCTGTTTCGCGTAAAGCATTCCTTTCTTTAATAAGATGACAGCAGAAGCGGACGAAGGAAGTTATTGGTTGTTGATGATCTTGGCAAAACCAGAGACTGGCAGTGCCGTGTTGCCCCCCCCCCCACCATTTGTGTTTGAGTGAAGCGTTGTTTATTGGCCCTTGGAATCCAAACATAAAGAGCGTCTCCTGTGAGGGTTTGGAAGCTCCTTTGCATCCACGTCCTCAGTCAGCTCCCATGAGACAGCAGACGTGGGCTCTCCATTGCGCAGGGCAGGTGCTGAGGGCCATGGAAAGCCCACTGGCTGACACTGGGCTCAGCATTGGCCCCCAGAGCTGCTCCTTGGTGGTGACTCAGCTCGGTCCTAGCTGGGCCGTTGGTCAACCCCATCCCCCATCCAGGCCTCCCCATTCTGGCCGCTGCTGTGCCCACCGTTCCTCCGCATGACGGCAGAAGCCCCACATGGTCTCCTGGGCCCACTGTGCCTCTCACGCAGGCTCCACGTGGGGCAGAAAGGTCTGAAGGTACAGCTCGGAGCTGGTCCCTTGTCTGGTGGAAATCCGTCCACAGCAGGGGCCGGCACTGCCAGCCACCTCTCCCTGCCCCTCCATGCGCTAAACGTGGCTGTGCTGGCTCCTCGAACCTGCCCCTCTCTCTCAGTAACAGCTTTATTGGGATATAATTCACACACTATATAATTCACCCACTGAAAACATCCAATTCAGTGATTTGTAGTACAGTCACAGAGTTGTGTGACCATCACCACAATCAAATTTAGAACATTTTTATCACCAAAAGGACACCCGTATCCATTAGCAATCACTCCCCGTTTTCTCCCCATTTCTTCTTCCCCCAGACCCAGGAAACCACAAATCTGCTTTCTGTCTCTGTGGATTGGCCTGTTCTGGGCATTTCACATTAATGGCATCATAGAGTGTGTGGCCTTTTGTGTCTGGCTTCTTCCACTTAGCGTGTTTTCAAGTTTCATCCGTGTTGTAGCATGGATCAGTACTTCATTCTTTTTTTTTTTTTTGAGACGGGGTCTCGCTCTGTTACCCAGGCTGGGGTGCAGTGCCACAATCTCGGCTCACTGCAACCTCTGCCTCCTGGGTTGAAGCGATTCTCCTGCCTCAGCCTCCCGAGTAGCTGGGATTACAGGCTCGCACCACCACGCCCAGCTAATGTTTGTATTTTTAGTAGAGATGGGGTTCCACCATGTTGGTCAGGCTGGTCTTGAACTCCTGACCTCAGGTGATCCACCTGCCTCGGCCTCCCACAGTGCTGGGATTATAGGCATGAGCCACCGTGCCCAGCCAGTGCTTCCTTATTTTTAAAAATTAAATTTTTCTCTTCATTCCCTTCTGTGGCTGAATATTCCATTGTGTGGCTGTGTCGCGTGTTGTGCATCCACTGGTCAGTTGATGGGCATTTGGGGTGGCTGCATCTTTTGGCTGAGATGCTCAGTGCTGCTGTGAACCTCCGTGTTCGTGTTTCTGTGTGGACCTGTGTCATCGCCTCTCGCGGGTCAGGTGGCTGCAGGCCCCACCTCCCTTTGCGTCCAGCTCTTGGCACATGTGTTCCCTGCCTGGAATACCCACCCAGGCTCCCGTGGTCACCTCTGCTCCCCCCGGCTGACTACTGCTCAACATTCACGTCTCAGCGGAGATTCACCACCTCTGGAAGCCCTCCCCCACCCTTCCTGTCCCCCAAGTTCCCCGGCTCCATCAGGGGCTCACAGGGCTTGTCAGCACTGGGTCCCCTTGTTTCATGGCCCCCACCCCCGATACATTGTGAACTCCTTGAGGACAGGGACTGAGCTGCCCTCATCTTGATTCCCAGGCTCTGCGCTGGACATGGGGCAGTTGCTCGTGTCTTTGTGTTGAGAGGCTGGCTGGATCCATGAGGATCTGGGCAAGGAGATCGTCCTGGGCTGGGGCCGTGAGAGATGGCTTTGGGCAGGGGTGTGGCTGGAGAGAATGAAGGGGGAGGCCTGAAGGCCGGGAGTGGGAGGAGCCCGAGCAGAGGCCCAGGGGGAAGCCCCAGTGTGACCTGTGTAGGGTCAGTGAGGGGCTGGTTTGACTTGAGCAGAAACCTTGATAGACAGGGGTAGAGGGGCAGGGCATGGAGGGAGAAAGCAAAAGCAGAAACCTTGATTGATGGGGGTAGAGGGGCAGGGCGGGGAGGGAGAGGATGGGAGCTGAGAGCTGGGCCTGAGAGCAAATCCTGGACACTGAAGGGAGGGGGTCCCTTGGGAAGAGCTGTCTCAAGTGGAAGGAAATGAGGAAGGCTTCTAAGGAACAGAGACTGGGCTGGGGAAGGTGGGGACATATAAGAAGGCGCCTCTGCCTCTGTGGGGCTCAGTTTCCTATGAGCACAAGAAGGGGCTGGGGGATTCAGGGGACCCCTCTGTCCCACAGAGAGCAGCGCGGTGCACGGTGTGGTCTCCCGGGGGGGCCGCCTCCAGCTGAGCCGCCTGCAACCGGCCCAGGCGGGCACCTACACGTGCGTGGCTGAGAACACCCAGGCTGAGGCCCGCAAGGACTTCGTGGTAGCAGTGCTGGGTAGGTCTGCGCCTGCACCCTCCTGTCCCACTCCCATGGCAGCCCCTGCCATCACCCAGGGCCTCACTGCACCCCTGCCTCAGTGGCCCCCCGGATCCGGAGCTCGGGCGTGGCGCGGGAGCACCATGTCTTGGAAGGGCAGGAGGTGCGGCTGGACTGTGAGGCCGATGGGCAGCCGCCGCCGGACGTGGCCTGGCTGAAGGACGGCAGCCCGCTGGGCCAGGACATGGGCCCCCACCTCCGGTAAGACTTGGCCCATGCCCTCCCCAGAGGCGGTAGGGCCCATGTTCCCTTACGCCTCTGCCCTGGGCCCTCCTTCCCTGTGGCAGGTTCTACCTGGACGGCGGCTCCCTGGTGCTAAAAGGCCTGAGGGCCTCGGACGCGGGTGCCTACACCTGCGTGGCCCACAACCCAGCCGGGGAGGACGCCAGGCTGCACACGGTGAATGTGCTGGGTGAGGAGCCCCAGGGCATCTGGAGGGTGATGCGTGGGCCTGGGCACGGGAGATAAGGCGACATGTGAGCAAAGCCCACACTGTGTCCTGGGCCACGGGTCTCACTTCCCTGGGCCTCCATGGCCCATCCTCAAACTAGAGGACAATAGTGCCAGCCCAGGGTATAGCGGAGATTCGGGAGGTGAGAAGAGAGTCAGGGAGTGGCTGTGTCCCCCATGCAGCGGGCCTCATCCTTCACAAGGGACCACTGTGGTTGCTGGCGGCAGAAGTCCAGGTCTCCACTTCTGGGATTTCCCTGGGAGGAGCCCACCTTCCTCCCAAGACCTCCGCACTACCCCTCTTTTTTCTACCCACCCTCAGTTCCTCCCACCATCAAGCAGGGAGCAGACGGCTCGGGGACCCTGGTGAGCAGGCCTGGGGAGCTGGTGACCATGGTGTGCCCTGTGCGGGGCTCCCCGCCCATCCACGTGAGCTGGCTCAAGGACGGCCTGCCCCTCCCGCTCTCCCAGCGCACCCTCCTCCACGGCTCTGGCCACACCCTCAGGTAGGGGAGACGGTGGACAGGCCTTGGCTATTCCACTCAGAGTGGACATGTGGGGATTGTCAGCAAATGGGAGGTGCTGGAAGCCAGGACTGGCTGCAACACCCACTCCCCACCCCACAGCGAGTGTGGACTGCGCCCCAGATGCTAATGCTAGGATGGGTCTCAGGGACCCAGGGAAGGGGAGGTGGTGGGGGTAGGAGGAGATGCAGGAGAAGTCAGGTTTCAGGGAAGGAGAGACCAACTGGGCCACAGGAGACGAGGCCTGAGGACGGACTGTTGGCTTTGGTGCTGTGCCTGTCACTGGGGACTGGGCAAGAGCAGCTCAGGAGGAGTGGTTGGGGCGAAAGGGGCTGAGAGAAAGTGGGAGGACAGAGAGTGAAGCCAGTGAGCTGAGATGACTCCAGTGAGCTCTGAGGGCAAAGAGGGCTGCGTAGAGGAAGGGGAGCCAAGCTGTCCATATGGGACGTGGAGCTTCCCGAATTTGGGAGGCAGGAGGTCTGGCTTCAGAATGAGATTGGTTGGAGCAGGCAGCAGGGGTGGAGGCAGCTGGAGGCTTTATCCTGGGGGCACCGGGAACCCAGGTAAAGAGTTTAAGCAGGCCGGGTGCGGTGGCTCACGCCTGTAATCCAGCACTTTGGGAGGCCAAGGCGGGCAGATTACAAGGTCAGGAGATCAAGACCATCCTGGCTAACACGGTGAAACCCCGTCTCTACTAAAAATACAAAAAATTAGCCGGGCCTGGTGGCGGGCGCCTGTAGTCCCAGCTACTCGGGAGGCTGAGGCAGGAGAATGGCGTGAACCCGGGAGGCGGAGCTTGCAGTGAGCCGAGATCGTGCCACTGCACTCCAGCCTGGGTGACAGAGTGAGACACCATCTCACCATCTCAAAAAAAAAAAAGAAAAAGAGAGAGTTTAAGCAAAGGCTGGGCTCAGTCACCCCGCCCCCTCTGGCCAGCAAGCTCTTGGGAGACAAAGGTTGGAAAAGGGAGGAAGTCTTTCCACGCAGCCAGCCTCTCCTGTCTCTCTCCCTTTCTCTTCCTCTCTCTCTCTCCCTTTCTCTTGTCTCCTTCTCCCTCTCCTCTCGGGGGATTCAGGATTTCCAAGGTGCAATTGGCAGACGCTGGCATCTTCACCTGTGTGGCCGCAAGCCCAGCTGGCGTGGCGGACAGGAACTTCACCTTGCAGGTGCAGGGTATGGAGCAGGGGGTGGGGCAAGGGGGTCTCTGGCCTTGGTGGGTGAGAATCAAGGCCCTTGGCCCCCCTGCCCTTCTGGGTGGAACCAAGGATGGGCCCTGGGGGCGTCGAGGAGAGCGGACACTGCGGCTCAGTCTCTGACTCACTGTATTGCTCGTTTGTACCTCACAAGTGGCTGTGGGCACTCTGGTATGCCCAGGATAGGCGGGGGCAGAGAGGCAGGAAGCAGCTCAGTAAAGAGACAATCACAATTCCAGGGAACTAGTGACACCAGGGGATGGAGAGGATGCTGTGGGAGCACAGAGGAGGGCACCTCACCTGGCCTTGGGGGACCAGGGCGGCTTCCTGGAAGAGGTGATGTCTAAGCTGAGTACTGGAGATGAGAGTCCTGGAATAAAATGGTTCCTGCCCACCTTTCTGCCCTCCATAGTGCCCCCTGTCCTGGAGCCGGTGGAGTTCCAGAATGACGTGGTGGTGGTTCGTGGCTCCCTGGTGGAACTCCCGTGCGAGGCCCGGGGCGTTCCCCTGCCTCTCGTGTCGTGGATGAAGGATGGGGAACCCTTGTTGTCCCAGAGCCTCGAGCAGGGGCCCAGCCTGCAGCTGGAGGCAGTGGGAGCTGGTGACTCGGGGACCTACTCCTGTGTGGCCGTGAGCGAGGCGGGGGAAGCCAGGAGGCATTTCCAGCTGACCGTCATGGGTGGGTCCTCTGGCCTCTGGCCAGCTTCTCTGGGCTCGGGGGAGAGGGTGGGACTCTAGGGGCAATGGGAAGGACAGTGAGGGAGGTGAGTCCCCTGGAGACCTGGGACTGCCACCTGGGAGCAGAACTCAGGGAACTTGGTTCTGGCTGGGATGCCTCTCTCACCTTCCTTGCCTGCGGGGAGTGGGTGGCCGGGCTTTGATTCTCCCAGGGCTGTGCTCCTGGTTTCTTTCCACCAAACCTTGGTGGCAGATGCAAGAACAAGGGCCACCAAAATGTGGGAGCAGAGCCCCTGGACTCAGCACAGTGTTTTCAAGTGCGGTGCTGTCCCGGAAATGTGTGTCAATTGTGTGTTCCCCTCCATGGTGGCTTGCAGAGCCCCCTCACATTGAGGACTCAGGCCAGCCTACAGAGCTGTCGCTGACCCCCGGCGCCCCCATGGAGCTCCTCTGTGATGCCCAGGGCACCCCCCAGCCCAACATCACCTGGCATAAGGACGGGCAGGCCCTGACCAGGCTGGAGAACAACAGCAGAGCCACACGGGTGCTCCGGGTGGAGAATGTGCAGGTACCAGTGCCGCCGCCATGGGGCGAGGCTGGGGGTTGGGGGAGAGGGGAGGGACTGCAGGTTCCCCAGACCCAGTGGGCAGTTGACAAAGTTGGGCTGAAGCACCTCCTCTGTGTGGGGTGTGAGGGTGTGGAGGTGACCCACCTTGGCCGTGCCCTTGGGAGCTGCCAGCAGGGTCAGGGCCCAGGCTGATGCCAAAACCAGGTGACCCCATCTAGGCCAGAGGAGGGCTGGTGCAGTTAAGGGGGACTTCTGGGAAGAGGCAGGCATCACACCAGCCCTAAAGCAACAGTGAGATGGAGGGAGAGGGCGTGGGTTGGCTGGGAGGTGGATGGCAGACCTCGCAGGGCTGAGTTTGAATCCTGGGTCCCTCGATGCATGAGAAAGAAACCAGATTGGGAGGCGGGCAGAGAGGGGCCAGGGGCAGCTGCTCAACCCGCTCCATCCCCAGGTTAGGGATGCTGGGCTGTACACTTGTCTGGCTGAAAGCCCTGCAGGTGCAATTGAGAAGAGCTTCCGGGTCAGGGTTCAAGGTAGGTGGTGGGGGTGGGGTGGGGGCAGGGCCGGGAGGCAGGACGGGCTCGCGGCAGGGGTGAGTCCCCCTCTCATATCCTCTTGTGCCACCCCCTTCCCAGCCCCTCCAAACATTGTTGGGCCCCGAGGCCCCCGCTTTGTGGTCGGCCTGGCCCCAGGGCAGCTGGTCCTGGAGTGTTCGGTGGAGGCAGAGCCAGCGCCCAAGATCACGTGGCACCGAGACGGCATTGTGCTGCAGGTGGGCGCCAGGCAGGGCCCCAGGGTGCTGCCTTCTGTCCCGCTCAGGCCTCAGACCTGACCTGGCCGGATCCAAGATCCAGAGCGGGTGCCAAGGGCCCGCTCTGAGCTGCACTTTGCACCCTGTTCCCCGGGTGTCATACCCCCCGCCATTGTCATTGTCACTCCCATTTTATGGATGGGGACACTGAGGCAAGGCTCAGGTCACTCAGGGCTTCCGAGGCCCACCCAGTATTCTCCCCCTGGCTCCTTCAAGCTATGCTTAGCAGCTGTGTGGCCTGGACCGGTGACCAAGGCTCTCCGTGCCCACCCCTCAAATGGGGTCAGTTTGCGGCTGTGGATTCAGGGTTGTGGATGTTCTGACAGGAACTCCAGAGAAAGGGGATGCATTTCCTCCCAGAGGAGTGCATTTCCTTAGAGGGTCCTCGGCGGGGCACAGTCAGGGCCTGCGGTCAGCCTGGAAGTACAGAGCCACTGTCCAGCTTCACCAGTTCCTCAGTCTTCCACATCTGCTGCCGGGTGGCCTGACGCAGCTGGGCACTGATAAGGGTCTGTCCACCCTGGCGGGGCTCTCCAGGAGGACGCCCACACACAATTCCCGGAGCGGGGCAGGTTCCTCCAGCTGCAGGCCCTGAGCACGGCTGACAGCGGCGACTACAGCTGCACAGCCCGCAACGCCGCAGGCAGCACTAGTGTCGCCTTCCGCGTGGAGATCCACAGTGAGTAGGGCCCGCCCCACCCCACCCTGCCCACCTTACCCCACCCTGCCCACCCCCTTAGAGCCACAGCTCCCAGCACCACTCCCTCTGTGCCCCTCCCCAGCGGTGCCCACCATCCGGTCAGGACCACCTGCAGTGAACGTCTCAGTGAACCAGACAGCCCTGCTGCCTTGCCAGGCCGACGGCGTGCCCGCACCCCTCGTGAGCTGGCGGAAGGACAGGGTCCCCCTGGATCCCAGGAGCCCCAGGTGGGAGAGGGAAGGGGTGGGCCTCAGGGAGGCTCTCAGGTGCCACTTTGTGGGTTGCAAATCAAACTCACTTGGGCAATTGGAGCAGAAAAGTGACTTTATCATCAGGACGTGGGGTGTCTCAGAACACAAGGACAGGCCCACCACTCATGAAGGTCTCTTGCTTGTTTAACTTGATCAGAAGCCTTGATAGATGGGGCGGGGTAGAGGGGCATGAATGGATCTCATGAGATCTGATGGTTTTAAAGCTTCTCTCAGCTTCTCTCTGTGTAGGCTTCATCTCTTTCTCTCTCTTACCTTCTTCCTTGGTGAACATGGGAGAAACACACCCCCTGACAACCCCGTGGCCCCCAGCCCCAGGTTTACAGCTCCTCAGCTCACTAGCAAGTTGTCTGTGAATCCCAACTCTAAATTCCCAGGGCACAGAATGCCATTGGCCCAGCCTGAGTGATGTGTCCATCCCCCATCCAATCAACTGTGGCCAGGGGCGGGATTGCACAGTACAGACATGGCCCTTGGAAAGGGCATTTTTCAGATCTAGGGGCTGCTCTCAGGAAGAGCAGGGTGCTGCGCCTTCTGCGTCTCAGGAGAGGTCAAGCCCAGGAGGGTGCTGGAGATGCCCAAAGCAGCCCTTCTCTCCATCTTTCCAATGTTGGCTTGGGCTGTGGGGAGCTGCTCATGGCTCTGACCCCCTGACCTTGGCCTCACAGATGCAAGACTCTGACCTCCAAAGTTAGCATCTGTATTAGGCCATTTTCACGTTGCTGATAAAGACATACCTGAGACTGGGCAATTTACAAAAGAAAGAGGTTTATTGGACTTGCAGTTCCACATGGCTGGGGAGGCCTCACAATCATGGTGGAAGGAAAGGAGGAACAAGTTACATCTTACGTGGATGGCAGCAGGCAAAGAGAGAGCTTATGCAGAGAAACTTACGTTTTTAAAACCATCAGATCTCGTGAGACCCATTCACTATCACGAGATCAGCACGGGAAAGACCCGCCCCCCAATTCAATCATCTCCTACCAGGTCCCTCCCACAACATGTGGGAATTATGGGAGCTACAAGATGAGATTTGGGTGGAGACAGAGCCAAACCATATCAGCATCCTCTCACTGGGAAAGTGGGGGCAGAGGGAAGGGTCTTGCTAGAGACAGCCTTGCTCCAGACCCCACTGGCTTGCTCATCTCCAGGGCAACCCCCATCCATTCTAGGTTTGAAATTCTGCCTGAGGGTTCCCTGAGAATCCAGCCAGTCCTTGCCCAGGACGCCGGCCACTACCTCTGCCTGGCATCCAACTCTGCTGGCTCCGATCGTCAAGGCCGTGACCTACGGGTCTTGGGTAGGTGGCCTGGGGAAGGCCTTCAGTGTCCAGTCCCTGTCGGGGTCCAGTCCTTCTTAGTTTCTGAGTCACCCCAGCTGTAGGGGCCAAGAGCCAATGGTCTTCAAATGTTTTTGACCATGAAGCCCATTAGTAAAAAGTTGTGATCATGCACACTCAAAGGACACAGATGTATTTTAGTGCATATATTACGTAACAGAACAGCGATTCGATTAAGTAAGAAACCATGTACAAAAGGTAAAACAAGTCTGAGAGGCCGAGGCAGGAGGATCACTTGATCCCAGGAGTTTGAGACCAACCTGGGCAACATAGTGAGACCCCATCTCTACAAAAAAAAAAATGTTTAAATTAGCCAAGCATGGTGGCACGTGCCTGTAGTCCCAGCTACTTGGGAGGCTGAGGTGGGAGGATCACTTGAGCCCGGGAGTTTCAGGCTATAGTGAGCCATGATCACGCCACTGCACTCCAGCCTGGGTGACAGAGTAAGACTCCGTCTACAAAAAAAAAAAAAAAAAAAAAAAAAGTAAAACATGTGAAAGGATAAAATTCAAAATCACTAGAATCAGATGCCCCAGTCTCCTCCCCCTCCAACAGATCAGCTTGTGAGAGGTTGCTGTGGTGGGCCCTGGCCTCAGGTGGGGGCTGATGGGAGTGGAGGCCTGGAGGCTTCAGTCAAGGAAAGGCACTGAGGGGGTGCCAGGCTCAGGGATGGGGAAAGCCCAAAACACCCTGCTGGAAGCGCTGTCTCGGGGCTTTCTCCTGCCCTCTCCCTCTGTGCTCCCTCAGGGATGGGTGGAAGACAGTAGGCAGTGGCTTTGCCCCTGGGCACAGCCTCAGAGAGCCCCCAGCCCCTGTGCCCCCTGCACCTGTCTCCTGACCACTGTGCTCTCCCCAGAGCCTCCAGCCATCGCCCCCAGCCCCTCCAACCTGACCCTGACCGCCCACACCCCAGCCTTGCTGCCCTGCGAGGCCAGCGGCTCCCCTAAGCCCCTGGTGGTCTGGTGGAAGGACGGACAGAAGCTGGACTTCCGCCTGCAGCAGGGCGCCTACCGGTAACGAGCTGGACTTTGCGGTGGCTTCCTGAGACGCACAGGGCGGGGAGGCACTCTCTTCTCACGGGGGCATGGGGCAGGGACGGGGCGGGGTGTGCTCAGGTCTCACCGGAGTCAGGACCAGAACTTGTGTCTCAACTTTGGGGATCAGAGAGTCTTCACACTGAGATAGGGGTGAGGGCACTGGGGATATACAGCTAAACAGAGACATCTGGGCTTTATTTATATCCACCAGAGTCACTCTTGTCTAAAAACAAAACATGAACTGGGTGTGGTAGCTCACACCTGTAGTCCCAGCACTTTGGGAGGCTGAGGTGGGAGGATTGCTTGAGGCCAGGAGTTCAAGACCAGACTGGGCAACATAGTGAGACCCCATCTCTACAGAAAATTTAAAAATTAGTAGAGTATGGTGGTGGGTGTCTGTGGTCCCAGCTACCTGGGAGGCTGAGATGGGAGGATCCCCTGAGCCTGGGAGGTTGAGGCTGCAGTGAGCTGTGATTGTGCCACTGCACTCCAGCCTGGGCAACAGAACGAGACTGTCTCAAAAAAAAAAAAAAAAAAAAGAATGTCCATTTTTAAAAATTGGAAAACCAATGTACAGAGAAACAGGGATGAAAACGAAAATCACTCAAAAATCCACCAGCTAGACCTGTGGGGCAGAAACTTCTAGAAGACATTTCTAGAGTCAGGGCTGGAGGTCAGATACAGGAAGGGGAAATGGGCGTGAGACCCCCACAGCCAGAAAGCCACAGCTGGTCTCTGTCAGCCCAGCAGCCACTTGGCCGTCTGTCTGTCCACCCCAGGCTCCTGCCCTCCAACGCCCTGCTCCTCACGGCCCCCGGCCCCCAGGACTCAGCCCAGTTTGAATGCGTGGTGAGCAATGAGGTGGGCGAGGCCCACAGGCTCTACCAGGTGACCGTCCATGGTGAGTCGGGGCAGAGGTGGAGGGGGACACCTGGGGTGGGGGCAGCGCCTTCCCGCTCTTGGGTGCTCTCCCTGCCAGCAGGGAATTGTGTGGCTTTTTCCTGTGCTGCACTGGACACCTCCTCCAGGAAGGTCTCTCAGATCCTGCTGGGCCACACTGGCATAACCCCAGCTCCAGCACAGTTCCTGGCACACGGGAGCTCACAGGAGAGGCCCCTCGCAAATCCAGAATGTTCTAAACTCAAATCTGACCTTGTCATCACCCCCGTTAAAAATCCCTCCCTCCACAGCTGCCCGCTGCCCCCAGGATAGAATGCAACAATTCAGCTGGACACACCAGGTCCTGTGTGGTCTGGCCCTGCCAGATTCAGCTCACGCCAGACCTGCCTCATTCCAGGGTCTAATCAAGCTGCTCAGCTTCTTGTTTCTTGCCTCAAGGGGTTTGCACACGCTGTTGCCTTTGCCGGGAACACTCTTCCCCTCACTCAGCAAACACCTGCTTTCCCTTCAGATCGCAGGTTAAATGCCACTTCCCCTGGAGGTCTCCTCTGGCCTCCCCTACTCCAAGTGGGAAACCCACGAGTAACCCCCTGTGAAGTTACTAGGCCAGGGTCTCTATAGAAAGCTGTATCCCACTGGGTGCAGTGGCATGTGCCTATGGTCCCAGCTACTCAGGAGGCTGAGACGGGAGGGTCGCTTGAGCCCAGGGAGTCCTGAGCTATAGTGCACTATGCTGATTGGGTGTTCGCACTAAGTTCAGCATCAATATGGTGACCTCCCGGGAGCGGGGGACCACCAGGCTGCCTAAGGAAGGGTGAACCTGCCCAGGTCAGAAACAGAGCAGATCAAGGCTCTCATGTTGATCAGCAGTAGGATCACACTTGTGATTAGCCACTGCATTCCAGCCTGGGCAACATACTGAGACCCCATCTCTGAAAAAATACACTTTTTTTTTTAAAGAAAAAAAACTATAGCCCCGTGCCCAGAAGGATGTGCTGAGTGGGCAAATGTGACTTCTCCCTCTGTTGCCACCTCCCTCCTTGGCCCTTTGTCACTGATGTCACCTTGTGTACTAGCTTTACCCCCTGGCCCTGTGGCCGTGAGTGCCCTGTGCCCGCCGGCAGGGCCTCAAGCCTTGTCTTGGGTTTTAGTGCCTCCCACCATTGCCGATGACCAGACAGACTTCACCGTGACCATGATGGCACCTGTGGTCCTCACATGTCACAGCACGGGTATACCAGCTCCGACCGTGTCCTGGAGCAAGGCAGGCGCCCAGCTAGGAGCTCGGGGGAGTGGCTATCGTGTCTCACCATCGGGTAAGTAAGGGTAAGCCACAGAGAGAGGCAGCTGAGGGGAGACTGGGAGAGCAGGCAGAGGGGGTGAAAGGTCACATGGCGGAATAGGATGGAACTATCTGGCCTGGCACTGCCTCTCCTGGCTGTGTGACCTGGGAGGACCCTCTCGCCCTCTCTGAGCTCCATATTCTCCTCCATGCTCTGCAGTGTTGAGACCCATCAGTGGTTCCCCAAGGCCCTCTGGCATACAAGTGCTATTTCATGGCAAAATAAGAAAAATAATAGCTCCCTGGGAGTTTTTGTAAACCTGGTTTAATCCCATCAGAAAGATCCTCCTGTATTCTGAAGTTATCTTTGGTGTTGAAACTTCCTTTTCTTGATGATATTAAGATAATAGTACATGGTGATTTTTTTTAAGATGGAGTCTCGCTCTGTTGCCCAGGCTGGAGTGCAATGGAGCTATCTCCGCTCACTGCAGCCTCCACCTCCCAGGTTCAAGGGATTCTCCTGGCTCAGCTTCCCAGGTAGCTGAGATTACAGGCACCTGCCATCATGTAGGCATGATTTCTGTATTTTTGTAGAGATGGGGTTTCACTATGTTGGCCAGGCTGGTCTTGAACTCCTGACCTCAGGTGATCTGCCCTTCTCAGCCTCCCAAAGTGCTGGAATTACAGGTGTGAGCCACCATGCCTGGCCTAACATGGTGATTTTTAAAATGTCTTTGCCTGTCAAAATAAAACGTTGGAAGCTTTATGGAGAGTCTCCAAATTTATTTGTTAGTTCGTTAGCGAAACACTAAAGTCTAGGAACCAGTGGCCAAACCTGTGATTTTCAAACTCTTCTGAAGCAATAGAACTTCCTTCCAGGCCAGGCGCAGGGACTCACGCCTGTAATTCCAGCACTTTGGGAGGCTGAGGCAGGAGGATTGTTTGAAGCCAGGAGTTTGAGACCAGCCTGGGCAACACAGCAAGACCCCATGTCTACAAACACATTTTTAAAAATTAGCTGGGTGCGGTGGTGCATGCCTGTGGTCCCAGCTGCTTGGGAGGCTGAGGTGGGAGGATTGCTTGAGTGTAGGAGTTCAAGGATGCAGTGAGCTATGATTGCACCACTGTACTCCAGCCTGGGCAACAGAGTGAGACTCTGTCTCAAAACAAAATACAAAACAAAAACTTCTTTCCAATAAGTGTAATAAGTGGTAACAGCAAAGTCCAACAAGTGAAACAAACCACAGTTCTGGTTCCATCTGGGGCTGGGACAGGGGCTGTGGGTGGGCCAGAGTGCCGTGGGCCTTGCTTCCTTCCCCCACCCAGCAGGCCCCCAGGGGCCCACGGAGCACAATTTAGAACCCTCGTCACTTGACTGCCAAGGTGCAGCCTGCAGTCTGGGAAGGTTAAAATGGTGTTCACTGAGTAACCAAGGCTAAGGCCAGGAGGATAAAGGGAGGAGAGGAGGCAGTAATCCTGGGAGGCTTCCTAGAGGAGGTGAGTTTTTAGCAGAGCAAGGTGAGAATGACAGGATGTGGAACTGTGAGTGGGGGATTACAGGCAGGGGAGTGGCAGATCCTGGAACTTCACAGCCTAAAGGGTCTAGAGACCATCTTGTCTGATTCTTCATTGTGCACATGGGGAAACTGAGGTCCAGAGAGTGGAAGGAACTCGCCCATGTCTCTGCTTTGGGCAGGGCACAGAGGCAAACCTAGATGTCAGGTTCCCATACAGTCACATCCCCCAGACTGTTTGTAAATGGGCAAAGGAGGCAGGTTGAGTGACCAGAGACAGAGTGGGGTTGTGTAGGAGCCCTGCCACCTCCATCCCTGGGGACCTCTGTCCTGATCCCCTCACCCTGATTCCCACCAACAGGCGCCCTGGAGATCGGGCAGGCCCTCCCCATCCACGCAGGCCGCTACACCTGCTCAGCCCGCAACTCTGCCGGCGTAGCCCACAAGCACGTCTTCCTCACTGTGCAAGGTAAGGGTCCGTGGTCCAGACCCCAGAGTTCCTAGGGCCAGGGGAGCAGGTGGAGAGCCAGAGGCAGGTGGGGCTCAGGATGGAGGTGAGGCCCCGGGTCTCAGAGGCCCCGACCTGTCTCCCATGGGATTCTTTGGCAGGAAAAGAATCAGCCATGGCGTCCTTGTTGCTGTGGCCGATGTTTCTAGAACCCCCGTTCTCCTTAGAGGCCTCTCTCTCTGATGCTCCGAGGCCCGCTGGTTGGAGGAGTTGTGTTAAGGACATTCTCAGGGCCCTCTGCACCCCCGTCCTTTGTAGCCTCCCCGGTGGTGAAGCCGCTGCCCAGCGTGGTTCGGGCAGTGGCAGAGGAGGAGGTGCTGCTGCCCTGCGAGGCCTCAGGCATCCCCCGGCCGACCATCACCTGGCAGAAGGAAGGGCTCAACGTCGCTACTGGTGAGGGCCCCTGGCAGCCAGCCTGGGAAGGGAAGAGAAGAGCGTGGGTCTGGGCAGGGGGGGAGTCCTGCTTCCTGCCCTGGGAGACCCCGCAGACCTGCTGAGAGGTCCTGGAAAGCCCCTGGCCTGCCCAGATACGCCCCCACCCTTGCTCTGGCCTCCCCCTCCCCAACCCTTCTCCTGTCACCATGGCCTGAGATGCCATCCGAGCACTCGGTGGCTGAGGTGGGAGGTCGGGAGGGGGCAGCTGAGCTGGGCTCAGGGTCAGGCTTCTTGGCTCCTTCTGTCCCTTGGTCATTCTGTGACCCCAGCAAGTCATTTGCTGCCTGTGAGACAGAATAGCCCAATCTGCCCACCTCGGGGGTCCCCAGTCCCAGTTCCCAGGCCCCCGATTTTCTTCTTCCTCGTTCAGGAGTGAGTACCCAGGTCCTACCAGGCGGACAGCTGCGGATTGCCCATGCCAGCCCAGAGGATGCTGGAAACTATCTCTGCATCGCTAAGAACAGTGCGGGCAGTGCCATGGGGAAGACGCGGCTGGTGGTGCAAGGTGGGAGTGAGGACGGGGCCGAGGTGGGCCCTGGCAACTGAGGGGCTTTGAGGCTTCTGCAAGCTTCTCCCTTCTCTGCCTGGCAGGGCACACTGCTTATAGTTCTAGAAGGAATTAAGGGGAAAACATCTCTCATTGTGCGCCTGAGTTCTGGTTTCAGACATAAATTCCCATCCCCTCTGCCTTCTCTCTGGCCCTGTGGAACACAAGTCTAGCATCCCTCATTCATTCTGGTTTCCAGTAGCTGTAGCCTCTCTGGCCCTGCTCTGGCACACACACAATTACATGTGCCCTTCCCTTAGTTTGATCAATCATTGGCTTCAAAGATCAGGTGGCATCACTGGCCAAAAATCTGCAAAGTCTGCTGGGAATATTCAGTATGGGCCGGTCATGTCTTGGCCCCAGTGGCCTGCTTTGTGGTATCTCAGTGGCCATCCCCGCCCGCAGCTATGTAGGGCTGGAGTCAGACTCTGGCTGTGAACTCAGAGGGGCTCCTGGCTCCAGGATTCCTCCGCTTCTTGTCCAGCGTGCTCCTCTCCCCTGGGACCTGTAGCATCGCTGGTCACCAGACCAGCCAGACACCAAGCCAGTGACCCTCACTCTGCCCAGCATAGCTCCTCCGCAGGGATGCTCTGTGACAGCTGCCCTGCTTTTGTTCCTGGAGGTGGCCTAGTACAAGGTCCAAGTGGACCCTGCCCAAGGCCTCTGTCCTGCGGCTTTTAGTCTTCTGTGTGTGTGCGTGTATATGTGCATGCATGTGTGTGTGTGTGTACACGTGTGCACAGGTGCAATGGAATCACCGTCACAGCTACACCAAACTCAGGGAGTCCCCAAATCATCCTGAGCACGGGCAATGGCCTATGACTAGGGAGTTGGAGGGGGCAGCTGATGGCCAGGGAGGGCTGAAGGGCTGGGCCAAAGGCCAAGGGCCCCAGGATGGTGTCAGCCGCCTCCCTGAGCCCCGGTTCCGAGTGGGCCTCCCTCTGCCCGCAGTCCCACCAGTGATCGAGAATGGCCTCCCAGACCTGTCCACCACCGAAGGCTCCCACGCCTTCTTGCCTTGCAAGGCGAGGGGCAGTCCTGAGCCCAACATCACCTGGGACAAAGATGGCCAGCCTGTGTCGGGCGCCGAGGGGAAGTTCACCATCCAGCCTTCTGGGGAGTTGCTGGTGAAGAACTTGGAGGTGAGGCACTGCCCCAAGGGGCACAGCAGGGAATAATGGCTGAGACCCCTGTTTGTCATGCTCTGCGCTGAGCACTATGCAGCCTTTAACCCTGGGAGCCTGGGGAAATCAGTGTCACCATCCCGGGTACAGACAGCCAGAACTGAGGCTCAAAGTGTACCTAGTTGTCCACCATTGCCAAGAGGCAGAACCCAAATTTGAACCTGGACCTCGGTAGCCAGCTCCTGGGGAAGGGAGGGAACTCGGACTAGGGCTCAGGGATACGGTGATGACTTTGTGTCCTGAAAGTCTACCCAGTTGTTGTCAACCATGCGTTGGCATTAACCGTCCTCTGGGTTTTGGGGAGTGTTGAGCCAGGGGTATGGGTGGGACCCCCAACCTCCTTCCCCTCAGCACTCATCAGATTCTGCAATTTTATGATGAGACCCTCTCCAGATGGGTTCAGTGGACACACCTAGAGGGGTCAGAGGCATTGGACCCGGCCACCCAGGGAGCCTGGGGGTGCAGTGGTGAGCGCACCGGCCCTGCTTGAATGCACCATAAAACTCCTCCTCTTGGAGCCCCTGTTGGGCCCTCTATCAGGGCACCAAAAGCAAGGCCTGCAGTGCAGGTCAAGTTCTGAGGACAGGGCAGCACACAGTAGGTGTTTGGTAAACACTGGCTATTGCGATCATGCAGTCAGGGCTGGGGTTATGAAGCAGTAGAGCATGTGAATGCTGCAGGGCTGGGCAGGGGCACGGTGGTGATGCTGACCCGTTTGCTAGCTGTGTGACCTTGGGCAAGTCACTTCCCCTCTCTGGGCTGGATGCTCCATGAGAACCTTCAAGGGTCAGGGGCATCCTGACCTATGCCGAGGTGGGGCAGTTCTCCGGCCAACCCCTTTCTTTGCTCACAGGGCCAGGACGCAGGCACCTATACCTGTACCGCTGAGAACGCCGTGGGCCGGGCCCGCCGCCGCGTGCACCTCACCATCCTGGTACTGCCTGTGTTCACCACCCTGCCTGGGGACCGCAGCCTGCGCCTTGGGGACAGGCTGTGGCTTCGCTGTGCAGCCCGGGGCAGCCCCACCCCTCGCATTGGCTGGACTGTCAACGACCGGCCAGTCACAGGTCTGGGTCTGCTGGGCATGGGTGGGACAGAGAGCCAGGACACCGGGAGGTTAAGAAGGGAGGGCAGGTGGGGAGACCCAACCTAGTGGAAAGGAAGAGGTTGTCAGCCAGCCCTGTTGGTTCTGGGTCTTCCAACGTGGCCCTATGTAGGGGGACAGGGCAAACCCAGCTGTGGCCATATGTGACAAGCCATATATCAGAGCTGGCAAGAGGCCACCTGAGAAGACTCAACCCAGAGACCTCAGGGCCAGGAAGGGGAGGCCTGTGTTCTAGTCCAGAGCTGCTGCTCCCATTGTGGGACCCTCAGCAAACCCCTTTTGCTGGGGGCCCGTGGGGACTCTGTCCTCCTACCGGAAACCCAGGTGATGTCTAGGGAGACACAGGGCCTGTGGAGTACCTGCTGGGTACTCAATGTTTGCTGAATTGATAAATTGCTAAGTCCCCTCCACTGCAAAATGATACTTTCCTACATTAGGATATGACATCACACATTCCTAACTCTGAGTCCCCAGGTGTGGAATACCCGTGCTCACCTGTGGTGAAGGCTTTGCTCGGCTCCACCACTTCCTGGGGAGGGACCTTGGGCAGGTATAATAGTTCAGCCTGTCTGAGCGCCGCTCTCCATCTGTCAAATGGACATAACCAGGGGTCCTGAGGACAGAATGACAATGGAGGGGCCGTGCTCGGCACAGGCCTGGCCCGGAGTAGATGCCCAATTGATGGTACTGCTTGTCTGTATTCCTCTCCTAGAGGTGATGGCCCACCCCAAAGGAAAAGTTCATTATTAGAATCCTTCTCTCGGCTGGGCGCGGTGGCTCACGCCTGTAATCCCAGCACTTTGGGAGGCCAAGGCAGGTGGATCACCTGAGGTCAGGAGTTCGAGACCAGCCTGGCCAACATGGTGAAACCCCATCTCTACTAAAAATACACAATTAGCTGAGCGTGGTGGCACATGCCTGTAATCCCAGCTACATGGGAGGCTAAGGTAGGAGAATCGGTTGAACCTGGGAGGTGGAGGTTGCAATGAGCTGAGATTGCGTCATTGCACTCCAGCCTGGGCAACAAGAGTGAAACTGTCTCAAAGAAAAAAAAAAAAGAAACCTTCTCTCTAGAAATCATGGCAGTGTTTCAGTAAGTGTCCTGTGCTGAGAGGCCCCCAAAAACCTGCCCTTGACCGTTTATCAAACACACAGTGTGCACTGGAAGATGGTAGAAGGCAGGTTCATTAACCGCAGCCTCCAGTGTGGCCTGTGCCTCCCAGGAACGTGTCTGATTTGATCAACCTTCACCCGGGACTCCCATCTGTTTCTGCATTTTTATTAAGTTCCTGCAGGTACCCAGGCACCAGGGAAGTGTTTAGGGCAGGAGTTCCCTGCACCCGACTTCTCTTTCTCCACCACAGAAGGGGTGTCTGAGCAGGATGGAGGCAGCACGCTGCAGCGGGCCGCTGTCTCCAGAGAAGACAGCGGGACCTATGTCTGCTGGGCGGAGAACAGAGTGGGCCGCACGCAGGCGGTCAGCTTCGTCCACGTGAAGGGTAGGGCACATTCCCCAGGTGGCTTCTCTCTCAAGACCTCCAGTCTATTGGGACCCAATCTATTGGTTTCCTAAGAACCCAGCCTCCTGTCCTCTGAACTAGTGGTTCCCCACCCTGGCTGCATGTTAGAATCCCCTGGGGGACTTTAAATTCTGAAGTCCAAGTTCTACTTCCAACTCTGTAAACCAGCCTCTCTGGGGTGAGGCCTAGGCATCGGTATTTTTGACACTCCCAAGACGACCCTGGCTGCAGGTAGAATTGGAATCTGACCAATTGCCCTACAGCACTACCTGCAGCTGGATGGTGCCAGGGTTGGAGGAGAGCATGGAGGCCAGGGCATCCTGGCAGAAAAATGCCAGAAGCTTGCCAGCCAGCCAGTTGTCCCCTATGACCTACTCATCCACCAGGAGTAGCACAGGAGCCCTCGGTGACAACGTGTCTTAGTTTGCACAACCTCAGGATGGGTGGGGCTGGATGGGGGGAATGAACAGCCCCAGGCACCAAAAGAGAACTGCAGCTTTTGGTAGATCCAACCTCAGGAAACCAGGAAGGATATAAGCCAGTCCAGAGCATCGAAGAGTGTTTTGAGATTAGCATGAATCTCATAGCGTTGCTTTGTACAACAGAGGTGTCTAGGGTTCTTGTTTTTTTATAGTTATTGATTTCCAAAGTACCTGGCAGGTACTCCGCTGCTAGTGTAATCCATCTGTGAAAGAGAGTATATGACACGCGTAACACTGCCTTCCTGCCTGTGCCCATCTCAGGCATCACTAATCAATCACAGCACCATTCTCATTCAGCTTCAAATGCTTCTCAGCACAGTTCTTGGAAAGTCTTTGCCAGTCTTTGTGACTTGACCCATGACATGAACACTGTTTGCTGTCCCTGATGCACTGACTAAACACAACCATGCTGTGCTAGCAGAAGCCTCTGGAGGCCCCTGGAGGCAGGAGTTGGGCAGTCCTTTGGGGTTTATGGGAGGCTGAGCCAGCAGGCAACCTCTTTTCTGACAACTTGCTCGATGTCACCCCATGCAGAGGCTCCTGTCCTACAAGGGGAGGCTTTCTCCTACCTGGTGGAACCTGTAGGAGGCAGCATTCAGCTAGACTGTGTGGTGCGTGGAGACCCAGTGCCGGACATCCACTGGATCAAAGATGGCCTTCCACTGCGGGGCAGCCACCTCCGGCACCAGCTGCAGAATGGCTCGCTGACCATCCGCAGGACTGAGGCAAGGCGGGGCCTGGCACCTTGGGTGGGGCCACTGAGGACAACTCTACGCTTTTTCAGATTGTTCAAGAGGGTTCTTCCTATTGCCCCCTCTGCTTCTGCAGTGTACAAAGCACCTCCCTGCCCATTCCTCAGATATCCTCCCACTACCACCAATATTGACCTCCAGCCAACTGGGCTTTTCCATTCCTCCGTCATCCACCCATTCAATGGAGCGAATTAGTTCTACCTCATAGGATTGTAATTAGAAATCAGTGAGATGTCTCATACCCATTATTTAAGAGTGATCTGTGGGTAATGCCTCCAAAATGTTGTTATTAACAACCTCAGGGGGTAGGGTAGGCAGGTAATAGTGCTCCCTATTTACAGACGAAGACACTGAAGTTCAGAGAGGCCCACAACCAATAAGTGCAGGAGGCAGCGCCCCCACCCCCAGGTCTCCTGCCTCAGGCCCCGTGCTGTTTCCAAAGCCTTGGGCCCTGGGGCAGCCCCTCTCAACTTCCCTTTTGTGTCTCAAGTTCTGGTGATTGTGCAGAAATCCCCAAGTCAGTCCTGACTCAAGTTCATCTTAGGGGCCTTGATCTCACCCATTTGGGAGCCTTTCTCTGGGTAGTAATGATAATAGGACTAGTAATAAGAGCAGTAGTAAGAGCAGTGGTAATAATGGCTCCTGTTACCCAAGTACTAACTGTGGGCCAGGCACGGGGCCTTGCACTTAGCAAGCATTATTCCATGTGATGCTTATAAGATCCTAGCAGTTATCACTCCCATTTTACAGAAGGGGTAACTGAGGCTCCAGAGGCATGAAAATGTCCTAAGTAATGGGCTGAGGGCAGTAAGCAGTGGGGCTGGGATTCAGTCCCATGTTGGTCTGACCTCCAAACCTACACTCTTAACTTTGTGCCATGCTATCCCCCCCAGTCCCTTGGGTGTGGCCCCCCAGATACCATCTTCTGGGAGTGGACGTGGCCTCAGGCTGCCCCAGGCCCATCTGATGGTGGCGCTGCCACTCAGAAGTGATGTGAGCCAGCGCGCCACCTGAGTTCCATCACATATCCATGGGTCACCTGTTAGGGAAACGCTGCAAACGATCTCCCTTCTGGAAGACTCACTTTGCACACTGGCACAATAAATGCCCTGAGAGGTCCTGCAGTTCAGACTGCCATCCTGTTCATACAACAGAGGTGTCTCATGTTCTTGTTTTCCTATAGTTATTGATTTCCAAAGTACCATAACATGTTGTCAACTCAATGTCTCCCAAACTTACTTGACCATGGAACCCTGTTCTCCAAGGAGTCTCAAATAATGTGCCATGGGACAGTAAGATTTCAACGTACACAGTTTGGAAGAGGTGGATCTACACCATGCTTTTCCAGCAAGTTGTTCCACCTAAGGCAACAAGGACCGTAGTCACAGCCCCCTGTTTTCGGGTGTGAAAAGGGGCTGGATTCTCTTTGCATGTCTGCTGACAAGTGGTCACAGAGGCCCTTCTGATGCTCTGCGGGGGATCAGGTGCCCCTGGCTGGTTCACAGCCTAAGCCCCTTGCTGGCTGGCTGCCCTCAGTCCCCTACCCAACTGTCTGAGCCACTCATCTTCTTCTCTGAGCACCATGCCTCCTCTCCTGTGCCCACTTGCAGAGGGACGATGCGGGACGGTACCAGTGCCTGGCAGAGAATGAGATGGGCGTGGCGAAGAAAGTGGTGATCCTCGTCCTGCAGAGTGAGTCTCGGCCTCAGCAGAGTGGGGACGTGGGAAGTGTGCTCGGGGACAGCGGTGGCGTGTGCAGCCTAGAGGGCAGACGGCAGGGCTGGGACTTGGAATTCTTTCATTAATACTTACTTGGAACACACACTGAATCCTACCAAATGTTTCCCAAATGTGGGGTGACTGAGACTCAGGACTGAGCTAAAGAAAACCTGGCAACCTGGGCCTGGGGGAGCTGGGCATTTAAAACTCAGACCAGCCGTCAAGATCACCGCGACAGCTCTCGCATGTGCCAAGCAGCTCGTAGTTTACCAGGCGCTGTTTGAGCCTCAGAATAACACTGTGAAGTTGTCTCAATAGGGATTCTGTAGAAAATGTTTTATTGAAGATGAACACCTGTGGAGAAGAGCCAGGATCCTAAGTGCAGAGCTCATGAATTTTTACAATGCGAACCCACCCAGTTAACCAGCAACCAGATCAAAGAAATAGGACAGTGCCGGCTCCCAGCCTCCAGCATGCCCACCTCTGCTTACTGCCCCCTGCCCCAATAATCACTGTCCTGGATTCTGCCTCTTTAAAAAAAAAAACAACAAACTTTATTGAGTTATAATTTGCATACCATAAAATTCACCCGTTCATGCAATGCAATATTATTTAACCTTAAAAAGGAAGGAAATTCTAGGGCTGGGCTCGGTGACTCACAGCTGTAATCCCAGCACTTTGGGAGGCCAAGGCGGGTGGATCACCTGGGGTCTGGAGTTCAAGAACAGCCTGACCAGCATAGTGAAACCCTGTCTCTACTAAAAATACAAAAATTAGCTGGGCGTGGTGGCACGCCTGTAATCCCAGTCATTCAGGAGGCTGAGGCAGGAAAATCACTTGAACCCAGGAGGCAGAGGTTGCAGTGAGCCAAGATCGTGCCATCGCACTCCAGCCTGGTTGACAGGCAAGACTCAATCTCAAAAAAAAAAAAAAAAAAAAGAACAAAAGGAATGCAATGCAATTCTGACACAGGCTACAACATAGATGAACCTTGAGGTCATTATGCGAAGTGGAAAAAGCCGGTCACAAAGAAACAAACACTGTATGATTCTGTTTATATGAGGGGCCTAGAGTGGCCAAAAGCATAGAGACCCAAAGTAGTATGGAGCTTGCCAGGGGCTGCAGGGAGGGGAGAAGGGGGAGTTAGAATTTAATGAGTCCGGAGTTTCAGTTTAGCAAGAGAAAAAAGTTCTGGAGATTGTACAATGTCAAATACTCAACACTACTGAAGTGTACACTTACAAATGGTTCAATGATAAATTTTATGTAATGTATTTTTTTTACAACTATTATTGTTACTAATATTTTTTGAGACAGGGTCTGGCTCTGTTGCTCAGGCTGGAGTGCAGTGGTGCCATCTCTGCTCACTGCAACCTCCGCCTCCCGGGTTCAGGCGTTTCTCCTGCCTCAGCCTCCTGAGTGGCTGGGATTATAGGCGCACGCCACCACACCCGGCTAATTTTTGTATTTTTAGTAGAAACGGGGTTTCACCATGTTGGCCAGGCTGCTCTTGAACTTCTGACCTCAGGTGATCCACCTGCCTTGGCCCCCCAAAGTGCTGGGATTACAGGAGTGAGCCACTGCACCCAGGGCTTGTGCTCATTCTTAAATGGAGTTGTTTATTTTACTAGTGAGTTTCTAGAGTTCTTTACATAGCATGGATATAGCCCTTTATCAGATACATGATTTGCAAATATTTCTCCCAGTCTGTGGCTTGTCTTTGCATTTTCTTAATGGTGACTTTGAAGAGCAAAAGTGTTAAAATTTGGTGAAGTCCAAATTTATCCATTGTGTATTTTTTGAATCATGTATTTGGGGTTACACCTTTTAAAAATCTTTGCCTAATCTAAGGTCGTCTTTTTCTTTTCTTTTCTTTTCTTTCTTTCTCTTTTTTTTTTTTTGTTTTAATATTTTTGGGACAGAGTCTCACTCTGGTGCCAAGGCTGGAGTGCAGTGGCAAGATCTCAGCTCACTGCAACTTCCACCTCCAAGGTTCAAGCAATCCTTGTGCCTCAGCCTCCCAAGTAGCTGGGATTACAGGCACGCACCACCACACCCGACTAATTTTTGTAATTTTAGTAGAGACGAGGTTTCGTCGTGTTGCCCAGGCTGGTCTCGAACTCCTGGCCTCAAGCAATCCACCTGCCTCGGCCTCCTAAAGTGCGGATTACAGGCAGGAGCCACTGGGCCCTACATTTTCTTATACGATTTTTGTAGTTTTAGTTCTCACATTTAGGTCAGTGATCCATTTTGAGTTAATCTTTGTGTGGGGTAAGGGTCTAACTTCCTTTTTTGCATACGGATAGCCAATTGTTCCAGTACCATTTATGTTGATCTTGAATTTCTTTCAGTGATGTTTTGTAGTTTTGAATGTACTGGTCTTATATTTTTGTTAAATTGATTTTAAGTCTTTTTATTATTGTTGATGCTATTTTGGGTGGAATTGTTTTCTTTGATTTTTGGATTTGTAATTGCTAATATGTAGAGATACAGTTGAATTGATATCATATCATCTATGAATAGGGACAGTTTGACTATCTTTCTTTCAAATCTGCGTACCTTGAAGTTTTTTGCTTTGCCTTATTGCCTTGGTTGGACCCTCTGGTACACAGTTGAAGCAGCGAGAGCAGCCATCCTTGCCTGGTTCCCTGGTTTAGGTGGAAAGCAGTCAGTCTCTCACCATGGGGCGTGATGTTAGCTGTGAGTTTTTGTGGATGCCCTTTCTCAGGCTGAGGAAGTTCCCCTTTTGTACCTAGTGTGTTGAGAGTTTTTGTCATGCATGGAATAGGTTTGTGGTCCAGACAAGATGGTATAGATGCACTTCTCCCTATTTCTCTTGCTAAGGACAGCTAAACACCTTGGACTTTATATAGAAGCAAACATAAAGAGCCTCTGAAAAGTAGAGAAAAGAAGGAGGATAGACTACCGATCTTGGGACCTGAGGAGCAGCATGGTGGTGAATGCCCTGGTGTTTCTTTTTGTCCCTTATATCCTGGGCCGCATACTTGAGAAGCCAACAACCTGGAACCACCAGTGGGCTCAGACACACGCATGTGCACGTGCGCACACACACGCACACACACACACGGGGGCATGTGCACCTCAACGAGAGCCTGTCCTCTCTTGCAAAGGACTAGGAAAGGGACAGCATAGTAAGAAAGAAAACTTGTAAATAACAACCCCTAACTGGGTGTGGTGGCTCGTGTCTGTAATCCCAGCACTTTGGGAGACTGAGGCAGCCAGATCGCTTGAGCTCAGGAATTTGATATCATCCTGGGCAATATGGTGAAACCCCATCTCTACCAAAAATACAAAAAAAAAAAAAAAAAAATAGCTGGGCATGGTGGCGCACACCTGTAATCCCAGCTACTTGGGAGGCAAACACCATGAAAAACACCCCTGCCCCATCATCACACCAACTGGGAGCCTCTAACTTCCACCCTCGCCCCTGTACCGAGGCACTGCTCTCCCCACACTGGAGCAGGATGCTGTCAGGTGACACCTAATGAGGAGACAGAATTGTCACCACTGTCATCTACTGAGTGGGAAGCTCCTCCCCCGTGTGGCCAGGTGGGCAGCGAGGGTAGTGCCAGCAGAGGCCCGGTGTGGGCGTGCCTCCACCCATCCACCCATGCTCAGCAGTAATGAGGCACCCCTCCCTGTTCCGGGCTGACCATGGAAGCCTCATAGGGAACCTGGGCTTCCACGCTGACCTGGCGGAAGTGAGTGGCACCACTTTTTCTTGGCAGTTTTATAGCTCTGCCAAAAACGGAAGATTTAAATAAAAATCCGAGTCTTACAATACTGAAACTCACTTACACACCAGGAACAAGGAAAAGCTCAACTTACACACCAGGAACAAGGAAAATCTCAATGAAAGCAGACAACAGATGCCTACTGAGATAGTACAGATATCAGGTAATCTGATAAGGACTTTTTTTTTTTTTTTTAAGACAAGGTCTGACTCTGTTGCCCAGGCTGGAGTGCAGTGACATGATCAGGGCTCACTGCAGCCTGGGCTCGGGTGATCATCCCATCTCAGCCTCCCAAGTAGCTGGGACTGCAGGCACGTGCCACCACACCCGGCTAATTTTTATTTTTATGTATTTATTTTTTGTAGAGACAGGGTCTCCTTATGTTGCCTAAGCCAGTCTCAAACTCCTGGGCTCAAATGATCCACCTGCCTCAGCCTCCCAAAGTGGTGGGATTACAGGCATGAACCACTGTGCCTGACCAAGACTGAACTGTCACCACTGTCACCACTGAGTGGGAAGCCCCTCGCCTACACAGGCCGAGTGGGGAGCAATAAGCAGTGCCCCTCTCCCTCCCAGCCAGGATGGTGCCAGCAGAGCCCCACTTGAAGCGCCAACTCCCACCGATCCCCAGCAATAATGAGGCACCCTCCCTGTTCCCGGGTGTCCATGGAGGCCACGTGGGGAACCCGGACTTCCACTCTCATCTAGCAGAAGTGAGTGGCACCTCCTTCCCCTGGCAGTGTTCCAGGTCTGCTAAGATGGAAGATTTAAATAAGAGCCCAAATCTTATCATACTGAAACTCACTTATCATACCAGGAACAAGGAAAAATCTCAGCTTGAATGAGAACTGATACTCAACAGACACCAACTGAGATAGCACAGATGTTTGAGTCATCTGGTAAGGATTTCCTTTTTATTTTTTGATGGGGTCTTGCTCTGTCACCCAGACTGGAGTGCAATGGCACAATCACAGCTCACTGCAGCCTTGACCTCCTGGGCTCAAGCAATCCTCCCACTTCTCAGCCTCCCAAGTAGCTGGGACTGCAGGTGCATACCACCATGCCCGGCTACTTTATTTATTTTTTGTAGAGATGGGGTCTTGCTATGTTGCCCAGGCTAGCTGACAGGGATGCTTCTGTGAGCAGTTGTCAACATGCTTGAAACAAGTGAAAAAAACAGAAAATCTCAGCAAAACGTGGCTGTGGAGTAATTTGAAGTTCAGGCAGTTTTCAAGTTGGCCTCGGTTTACTGTCCTTTGTACCCCTCAGGTCTCCCCTGCACAGGTGCATATTTCCCACGATGGCCAGGGATTGTGGGGAGCCAATCCAGCCTGTCCGTGGCTCCTTCATTTCCAGGTTCTCGCCGTTCAGTTGCTGGCTGGGTCCCTGCTCTTCTCAGCCAGGGCCATGCCGCAGGCCAGCACAGCAGCCATTTCCCTTTTGGCTCCTACCAGTTTTGCCCCTTTTCCTGATGATATTTCTCAGGGCATACTTTCATCCTCTACTGCACATCAAGGCAGCCCCCAGGGGTGGCAAAAGCTGCTGTTTTTCACAGCCATCCCTAATAAAACCACTGTGATGGTCACGGTGGGGTAGGGATGGGCACAGCCCCAGGCAGGAGGGCCAAAGGCTTCCACTGTTCTTATCCAAAGTTCTAGAGGCTTTATTTTTTTTTTTTTTTTTTTTTGGAGACAGAGTCTCACTCTGTCACCCAGGCTGGAGTGCAGTGGCGCGATCTCGGCTCACTGCAACCTCCACCTCCCAGGTTCAAGAGATTCTCCTGCCTCAGCCTCCCAAATAGCTGGGATTACAGGCACCCACCACCTTGTCCAGCTAATTTTTGTAATTTTAGTTGAGACAGGGTTTCACCATGTTGGCCCGGCTGGTCTCAAACTCCTGACTTAAGGTGATCCACCCGCCTCGGCCTCCCAAAGTGTTGGGCTTACAGGCGTGAGTCACTGCGCCTGGCCTCGACCTTCATTTAAGTGGAATCACCCCACACGTGCTCTTGCGTAGACTCTTCTTTTGCACATCATAATTTGTGGCATTCGTCCATATTGTTCACGTGGAATTAGTTTATTGGTTCTCATTGCTGTGTGTTTTTCTGCTACATGGATGTACCACAGTTTATTCATGTATTCCACTCTAGGTTAGTTTCCAGTGATGGGCGGTTAAGAACAGGGCTGCTGTGACCTTACGCACGCCCTCCAGTGAACACGCACACACACCTGTGCTGGGGTATTCGTCCAGGAGCAGAAGCGCTAGGTCTCACAGTACACATGTGTTCCACTTTAGGACACACTGGCTGTGGTAGTATCTGATGAATGGCCTCCAAAGATATGTCCAGGTCCTAGTCCCCAGGGCCTGTGAATGTTTCCTTACTTGGAAAAGGAATCTTTGCAAATGTAATTAAGTTAAGGATCTTAAAGTGAGCACATTATCTCGGAGGCCCCTAAATGCTATCACAAGTGTTTTATTTATTTATTTATTTATTTAGAGATGGATTCTCACTCTGTTGCCCAGGCTGGAGTGCAGTGGCGCAATCTCGGCTACTGTAACCTCTGCCTCCCAGGTTCAAGCAATTCTCCTGTGTCAGCCTCTCAAGTAGCTGGGATTACAGGCACAGACCACCACACCTGGCTAATTTTTGTATTTTTTAGTAGAAATAGGGTTTCACCATGTTGGCCAGGCTCTTCTCAAATTCCTAGGTTCAAGCAATCCACCCACCTCAGCCTCCCAAAGTGCTAGGGTTACAGGCATGAACCACCATACCCAGCTGCAAGTATTGTTATAAAAGAGAGCCGGGGCCGGACATGGTCGCTCATGACTATAATCCTAGCACT